>NC_000006.12:39756969-40060000 GCF_000001405.40 Homo sapiens
TTAACAGATGTCAGACCTACATTACAATCTGAAGGCTCTTCCTCCCATGTCCTGTTCTCTGTCCCTTTATCTTTTGATATGATTGGATGTTTTGTCCCCTCCAAATCTCATGTTGAAATGTGACCTCCAATTTTGGAGGTGGGCCTAGTGAGAGGTGTTCGGCTTATGGGGGTGGATCCCTCATGAATGGCTTGGTGCTATTCTTGCAGTAATGACTGGGAATTCTCACTCTATGAGTTCATGTGAGATCTGGTTGTTTAAAACAGTCTGGTTTCTCTTCCCTTACTCTCTTGCTTCCTCTCTTGCTGTGTAACACACTGGCTTCCCTTCACCTTCTGCCATGATTGTAAGCTTCCTATGGCCCTCACCAGAAGCAGACACCAAAACTTTGCTTTGTGGTGTATAGCTTGCAGAACTGTGAGCCAAATAAACCTCTTTTCTTGATGAATTACTCAGTCTCAGGTATTCTTTTATAGCATTTCCAAGGGACTAACACATCTTTACAGGTGTTTCTTTTTTTTTCTTCCTTTCTTTTTTTTGGAGGGTGGGAAACAGAGTCTTGCTCTGTCACCCAGGCTGGAGTGCAGTGGCACGATCTGGGCTCACTGCAACCTCCACCTCCCGGATTAAAGCAATTCTCATGCCTCAGCCTCCCAAGTAGCTGGGATTACAGATGTATACCGCCACACCCAGCTAAGTTTTGTATTTTTAGTAGAGTGGAGGTTTTGTCATGTTGGCCAGGCTTATCTCAAGCTCCTGGACTCAAGTGATCCACCTGCCTTGGCCTCCCAAAGCACTGGGATTACGGGCTTGAGCCACCAGGCTTGGCAGGTATTTCTTCAGTAAATTTCTTACATGCCTAATCCGGTCTTGGCATCTGCTTCTCAGAGGACCTGAACTGACACAACAGGTAAGGCCATTCTTTATCCAGCCCCCTCCTCAATTTTGCCAGTCCCTCAGTTGTCAGTGAGATTGTGTCTTGCCTTTCTAGATACCTGACTGTGGAAGGAACAAAGGCTTCCTCTGCTTCATCCGAGACTCCTCCTTTCCTCTCAAGCTTTTTTAGCAGCAAAAGGGAAATCATTGTGCAACACTACAGAGGCTATAACAGTGTGCCCAGGAATCCTTGTATGAATGAGAAGAGCAGAAACACCAAGGTAAGCTCAGCTTTTTTTTTTTTTTTTTTTTTTCAGATGGAGTCTCACTCTGTTGCCAGGCTGGAGTGCAGTGGCATGATCTCGGCTCTTTGCAACCTCTGCCTCCTGGGTTCAAGTGATTCTTCTGCCTCAGCCTCCAGAGTAGCTGGGACTATAGGTATGTGCCACCATGCCCAGCTAATTTTTGTATATTTTAGTAGAGATGGGGTTTCACCATGTTGACCAGGATGTTCTCCATCTCTTGACCTCATGATCCACCTGCCTTGGTCTCCCAAAGTGCTGGGATCACAGGCGTGAGCCACTGTGCCTGGTCAAGCTCAGCCTTTTATCTCCATCCTTGCCCCCTTCTATACCACACATTTTTTTTGAGCTCTGAATGTTAAAGGGAGAAAGAACAAAACAATAACATTTTTTTTTCCATGGGGAGTTATTCTCCCCATGCCCATAAACAAATTGACTCCTCTTTCACCAAGATGATGCCTCTGACAGTGCTCAACTGTGCTGGTAGAGGGGTTTCTTTAGTAGCAAGAGACAGCTGAGGGAAGTGAAATGTTTAACATGATAAGAGTCTCATGGGGGCTCTTTAAAAATATTACAGGACTCTGCGTCCCAAGCTATACTTCCAAATTAGTCTGCTCAGAAAAATGGCACTGGGAAAGTGTTTCTAACAAGTGCCTCAGGATCAGATGTATTTGAAAGATACTAGTAGAATGGTTAAGAACCTGGGTACATAAAGCCAGCTTGATTATGTTTTCTTTTAGATTCTGACCCTCGCTTGCTATGTCACTTTGGAGAAATTAGCTAACATTTCTGTGCTTTACTTTCTTCCCTGCAAAGTGCAATAATGAACAGTGCCTCTGTCACCTGATGCTACGGGGACCCAAAGAGTTGATGGTTACTGAGTGTGTAAGACAGTGCCTATGATGTAGTAAATTGCTCATGACATTTTAACTCTTATGATTGTTGCTGTTATTATCATTATCATTCTTACTAGTGACAGATCTAATTCAAGAAAGATCTTGAGCACTTGCCAGATATTACGCTAGGGTCTAGTGCAGTGTGCATGTGTTTGTGGGGGTAGGGATAGGATACAGAAGTGAGCAAGATCCACCATCTGCTCATAGCTAGGTGAGTTTTTTGTTACCCATTCACATTTTTCTGTCTAATCTCCATTACTCAGAGCATCCATTCAGCAGCTATCTGCCAGTATTAGGAGTGGGGTCTGTGGTTGTTACAGGAGCAAGCTAACAGTCTTTGATCTTGGCTTCAGAGAGTCTCTGATGTGTATAGGAAAGAGTTTCTGAGTCATCAGATCAGAGTTCAAGTCCCAGGCTATCTCACTTACTGGAGGAATGAATGCCCTTGGGCAAATTATTTCAGTTCTCTGAGGTTCTGTTTCCTAATTTCTGAATTTATTATACCTTTTTGGGCTATTGTGAAGCTTAAATGAGATGATATACATAAAAACTCCTGGCACATCATAGGGGCCGAATAAATGGGTGTCTCACCTTGTTTCATTAGCATTGTTTTGGCTCACTGAGCTAACCCACCTACAGAGCCCAGATAAGCCCAGCTGTTTCTCTAGGAGAGCAGAGTTCCAAAACCTAAAAGGATTCCAAAACTGCCAGTCCCATAAGTCAAATAGCCTATCTTCACTTTGGAGGTCTTCATGGAACTATTAGATTGTGATGCACAGGACTTTTCACTCCTTACTCTTGTACTGTCTTGTCATTCACTCCTACAGTCTGGGGGTGTTATCAGAGTTTCAGGGTCATTTTCAAATACTGATAGATATACATGCCAGTTCAATAAAGCCAATTATTTCCCCACAGTTTGGCTTTGATTTCATCAACCTGATTTGGAATCCTTGCCCTCTGCCTCAATGTTGAGCACATCTGGCCCCTATAAACATGCTATTAAAGTGTTTTCAGAATGAACTTTGAAACAGTACAGTAAGTAATACCATCAAAACAGTAGTCATGGTAAAATAATCTTTTTAAACAGCCTAATTTTTTTGGGCTTTGATGTGTCCAAATTTCAAAAGAACGTATAAACTAATTGGTATAAATTTCATTTAAAAAAATCAGAACATTTCCTAAAGTAGTTGCCAAAATGATGCCTAATTTAGAATTGTTCTTTCTTTCTTAGTTTGCAAGGGATTTGGTATGGGTTAAGGTTAGGTAACAGAGGTTGCAAATCAAAATTTACTTCTTACAGATCTTAAACTTCAGAGAAAGTTAGTCCCCCAAAATGGATTGGAAAGTCCTTGAGAGCTTTGTGAAGGCGAAGGGCAGGATTATGCAAAGATAGTAACAGGCAGTTCATGACCTTTTTGCCATTTTTCAAGTGTGATGGTGCACTCCTCCAAGTTAAAACAGAAATAGAAATGTAACTAAAACCTTTTGGCACTCAGAATAATGCTAAAAATCTGCTAGATAAGCAACTAGTGTTCAAAGGTAAAATAAATCATACAAATTATATTATTAATTTATTTAAACATGAGTCTGTACTTTGGGGAAAAATTATTTCTGGAAGAATAGAATGGAATTCTGAATGTAGTTGCCAAGACATCCCTTGAGGAAAAATTCCAGCCACTAGATAACCGGGATGTAGTAATAACCACAAGAGTAGACTGCCAGTTCCTAGAATACTTAGCCAGAACTGATCCTGTGTCCTCTGTACAGAAAGAAGAGGTTATACCTGCAGTGATAGAAAGAATGCCACTTTTTTTTTTTAAGAAAGTCAAATACGCACCTTTAATCAATCACATAGGATGCCCAGGTTCTAATTAACCTTAGAGCTTCCCCATGCCAACAGCTTCCAGTCAGACCATCCCTAAAGCATTCTTTTTTTAAATTCCCTGACTGTAGGTATACTTCTCACTTCTTTGCCTGCTTTTGAGTCTCTGTGAAATGCAAGTGATGGTGGCTACTTCCTTGTGATAGCAAGCTCTGGATGAGCAAGACTTTGCTTGGTCTCACTTGAGTAGTCTTTTTCTGTTTTTTTTTTTTCTATTCATATTAAAATTATTTATAGGTCTCTTACCTCTACATAGAGAATTTGTGGCACTTAGGACACATGATTTTCTTTCTTTCTTTTTTTTTCTTTATTTCTTCTTAAAAAAATGGGATACATGTGCAGAACGTGCAGGTTTGTTACATAGGTATATGTGTGCCATGGTGGTTTGCTGCACCTATCGACCCGTCCTCTAAGTTCTCTCTCATCAACCCCCATCCCAAAACAGGCCCTGGTGTGTGTTGTTCCCCTGTCTGTGTCCAGGTGTTCACAATGTTCACCTCCCACTTATGAATGTGAACATGTAGTGTTTGGTTTTCTGTTCCTGTGTTAGTTTGCTGAGGATGATGGCTTCTAGCTTCATCCATGTCCTTGCAAAGGACATGATCTCATTCCTTTTATGGCTGCATACTATTCCATGGTGTATATGTACCACATTTTCTTTCTTTCTTTCTTTCTTTTTTGAGACAGAGTCTCACTCTGTTGCCCAGGCTGGAGTGCAATGGTGCGATCTCGGCTCACTGCAACCTCTGCCTCCCGGGTTCAAGCAATTGTCCTTCCTCAGCCTCCTGAGTAGCTGGGATTACAGGCATGAGCCACCAGGCCTGGCTAATTTTTGTATTTTTAGTAGAGATGGGGTTTCACCATGTTGGTCAGGCTGGTCTCAAACTCCTGACCTCATGATCTGCCCGCCTTGGCCTCCCAAAGTGCTGGGATTACAGGCATGAGCCACCGCGCCCAGCTGTACCACATTTTCTTTATCCAGTCTATCATTGATGGGCATTTGGGTTGGTTCCATGTCTTTGCTATTGTAAACAGTGCTGCAATAAGCATACGTGTGGCATGCATGTGTCTTTATGGTAGAATGATTAATATTCCTTTGGGTATATACCCAGTAATGGGATTGCTGGGTCAAATGGTATTTCTGGTTCTAGATCCTTGAGGAATCGCCACACTGTCTTCCACAATGGTTGAACTAATTTACATTCCCACCAACAGTGTAAAAGCATTCCTATTTCTCCACAACCTCACCAGAATCTATTGTTTCCTGACTTTTTAATAATCGCCATTCTGACTGGTGTGAGGTGGTATCTCACTGTGGTTTTAATTTGCATTTATCTGATAATCAGTGATGTCGAGCTTTTTTTCATGTTTGTTGGCTGCGCAAATGTCTTCTTTTGAGAAGTGTCTGTTCATATCTTGTGCCCACTTTTTGATGGGGTTGTTTTTTTTTTCTCGTAAATATATAAGATCCTTGTAAATTCTGGATATTTATTAGACCTTTTTCTGATGGATAGATTGCAAAAATTTTCTCCCATTCCATAGGTTGCCTGTTCACTCTGATGATAGTTTCTTTTGCTGAGCAGAAGCTCTTTAGTTTAATTAGCTCTCATTTGTCAATTTTGTCTTCTATTGCAATTGTTTTTGGCGTTTTTGTCATGAAGCCTTTGCCCATGTCTATGTCCTGAATGGTATTGCCTAGGTTTTCTTCTAGGATTCTTATGGTTTTGGGTTTTACATTTAAGTCTTTAATCCATCTTGAGTTAATTTTTGTATAAGGTGTAAGGAAGGGGTCCAGTTTCAGTTTTCTGCATATGGCTAGCCAGTTTTCCCAGAACCATTTACTGAATAGGAGATCCTTTCCCCATTGCTTGTTTCAGTCAGGTTTGTCGAAGATCACATGGTTGTAGATGTGTGGTGTTATTTCTGAGGTCTCTGTTGTATACAAAATGTTGCAAATAAGTGGAATCCTTATTCAGATATGCCAATGAATGAGGGCTAGCACCACAGCTGTAGTAGCAGCAGAAAGGCCTCTCCTCCTTTCCTGGTGTGAGTTAGGAACCCATCACATTCACATTCTATCTGTTTAAGAGAGTCCCGTCCAATTAAGAAATTTAGGGCCAGGCATGGTGGCTCATGCCTGTAATCCCCACACTTTGGGAGGCTGAGGCTGGTGGATCACCTGAGGTCAGGAGTTTGAGACCAGCCTGACCAAGATGATAAAACCCTGTCTCTACTAAAAATACAAAAATTAGCTGGGCGTGGTGGTGGATGCCTGTAATCCCAGATACTCAAGAGGCTGAGGCAGGAGAATTGCTTGAACCCTGGGAGGCAGAGGTTGCAGTGAGCCAAGATCATTCCATTGCACTCCAGTCTGGGCGACAGAATGAGACTTCGTCTCAAAAAAAAAAAAAAAAAAGGAAAGAAATTTAGAGCACAGCCACAAATGCATCCCGGGCAAGAGACTTCTTTACATTTACTGCTGCATAACAAGTTTCCACAAAACTTAGTGGCTTAAAACAACAACATTTTGTTATTTCTCCAATTTTGGATTCAGTTGAGCAATTTTCTGCTCCAAGTTTTGTCAGCTGGGGACACTTGGCTATATTCAGGTGGTGGCTGGCTTGGGTTGGAAGAACCAAGAAGGCTTTGCTCACATGTCTGTTGAATTAGTGCTCCTTCATGTGCCTCTTCATGTGGTTGGCTTGGGCTTTCTTATACGTGGTGGTCTTAGAGTAGTCCATCTTCTTACGTGGCCATGGGTATTTTAAAAGGGAGAAAACAGACACAACTTTGTCTCAGAAGTTTTCAGTTGTCACTTCTATCACATTCTATTGGTCAAAGCAAGACACAAGGCCAGCCCAGATTCAAAGGGAGGAGAAATAGTTCCCTCATCTTGATGGAGTAGCATGCACACGTGAAAAGGAGAGGAAGCAATGGCAGTACACTTTGGAGACTTTCTACTGTAGTCTGAGAAGGTGAGGATGGCAGTGGATGGCTTTGGGGAAGAGAGTGAAGTCAGGGTAAGCAGAGAGAGTTCTATCTAGAGGCAAAGCCAGTGATGCTGAGACAGCTTGGGACCAAGTTCAGGTAGAAGTTCTGAGATAGCACAACAGAAAGTTGATTCAGAGAAATTCCAGGGGACAGAAGAAAAGGAGCTGGAAAGATTATACTAACACTAATCAGACTTCCTGTGATACCATGGATCTTTAAAAATTAAACATCTGTGCAAAAACAAAGCCTTTTTGCATCGTCTTTATATCACTGATGACATTGTAAGTTTGTGGCTTTAGGTAAAGGGAAAAGAGATTAGTGGCCCAGAAAAGTTAGGGCCAGAAAAGCACAGCCAGTTGCCAGGCCCTGTCCTGGTTGCAAGTGGCTTCCCTATTGCTGCTTTGCAATCCCTGGTTTTCATTCAGGAAGACAGAAGTACCCTCCTAGGGAGTTCTTGCAAATGTGGTCATCCTAAAGACTTTTGGTGGTGGTAAGAGTGCTATGGCATTTAGTGGAGAGAGGTCAGGGATGCTAAATATCCAAGCATGCCACATTCTTGGGGAGAATTGTTCTGGCCCAAATGCAAGTAGCATCCTAGGTGCTAGGTAGACCACTGGGGTGATGTAGGGTATTTGGGTAGAAAATATGGATGTTGGAAGATGCAAGGATGGCCATAACCCATGATAGGCTGTTGTCTTCTGGTAGGACCAGAGTCAGGTATGATGCTCAACTGCAGGAAGTATGGTGCCTATAGAAAATACACTTTTTAGATCACATACCAAAAAAAAGGTCTATCATTGAAAACATGCATTTTCTCATTTATCTCAGTGGCATAGTCTTTATGAAATGTTAAATGGTGAATCAAGGAGGGTTATAATTTTATATAGAAACAAGACTAGAACTGGTTAGGGGAAGGAAGGTAGAGAGAACAAGGGCAACTGTACCATAAACACTTGAAAACTTCCTTCTATTGATTGGCTTATCTGCATCTGTAGAAATCATGACATCCTGCTTTTGTTGTTGTTGTTCAATATAAAATATGTTCTGTTTTGCTATGAACAGACATTCCTGGTAACTATGCACAGAATCTTCCCTAATCTAACTGATTTTTCCCCACCTGCAAATCAACCAGTTATACATTTTCAATCCCAGTGCTTGATGATAGTTAAACCTAACTTATATTTAAACCTTACATTGGGCTGAATTAGTTGATTTTCCTCCAGGATGAAATTCACCTCATGTTGAAGAAGCATACTGTCTAATCTTTCTCCTGCAGTGTTATATGTAACAAGTGAGCTTGATCTGGGACTCCTGATCAGCCTGGTCATAAAACTGCACCTCTCAACTCCAATCTCTTTTTCCTGATTACCTTCTTCATTTTTTCATGTACACAGAGCATTCCATGTGATGCTTGGTTTTGTCCATCCTGAGGCCTGCAAATGACCTATGAATTTGCTGCTCTGTGGTCAGCATATGGGAATTATAGTGTAGGAGCAGCCAAGTAGAGAGGGTACATCTCACCCACTCTTAAGCTCAGAAACTTTCAAATTTTAAAAGCTTTTTAACTAACTCTAATTTGTCAATGGATAATACAAATTAAGCACAAACAGCCTTGATTTAATTGGGTACACTGACATCTGCCTTTACAGCTGTGTGCTTTCAAAAGTTGAGCACAAGCATTAATATTTTGGTTGAGTCTACATTGTGCACAAAGAAACGCACAGAAACAGCAGAAAGGTCTAACCAGTGTACTGTAGGTATTCATTATCCACAGGGGGAAGTACCTGTGGCAAATTCAACATTCCTGTTTTAGTTCTTCTTCTACCTAGCACTTTCTGGACTCCTGCCCTCTGTGGTTGGTTGATGTGTGCTCTGGGAATGCAAGCTCATTTCAGTATGTTCTCTTTGATGGTTCAGAAGGCATTTGAGACCACGCAGAGCCCCTGGGTCATGATTATGAACAACAATTATTGTACTAGAGATTTACAGATGTGCTGGTTACTGGAGGGTTGTGGTTAATAGAATGCTGAACAACAAAGACTTTATTGTATAACTGACGAGGGAAAAGTTCCCCAACAGCAAAATACATAGTCTCAAAAAGTCAGGGGAGCTGGAGGAAAACACATGAAGTTGAGTTTTCCCTTTATACAAAAAAGTTGTTTCCCCAAATTAAATGGTCAGTTTTAAAAAGTCACCGTGTAGTAAATACTTTGCTTCAAAGAAGAAAGAGACAAAATGTAGAGGCAACAAGCCAAAGTCTCCCATATGTAAATTCTTTTCCACAGTGTGGCAAAATCTTTGGTGAAATCTGATTAACTCGTCACCAGGGAACTGTTCAGCGGCTTTTTCTTCATTACAGCGATTCAGGTCCCATGAACCTCCTGCTGCGCATGAAATATCAGACCTGATCTTTCTGTGGCAAATTCAAATACAGGTCAGGCACTACCTTTACACTAAATGCATAAACATGACACCAAATTTTAATGCTAACATTTGGCTTAGTCTTTGGTAATCAGATGTCCAAATTGGGTCATGTTAAGAAGTTCACCGAAACCTAAGAAAACTCCCTGATGGTGGTGTTAATTATCTTATGGTGGATGAGGTTCTTTCTGACCCATTTCCCAAAACCAATGGAGTCAGCTCTGTAACAGACCAAACTTCAGTGGGTTTATTTCATTCATTATGTAGAAAGATTACCAAGCACCAGACAGGTGGTGGTAGAACATATTTCTGTTCAATGACTGTGGTAGATGGCTTCCATTTGGCCCTCCAGATCCATTCGTCATCCCATTTCATTTTTAATTGATAGGGCAAATTTTAATACCAACTGGAGATTTTTTTGTGTGGAGTCTGTGATCTAAGAGAAGAATCTGACTGGTGTGAGATGATATCTCATTGTAGTTTTGATTTGCATTTCTCTGATGGCCTGTGATGATGATCATTTTTTCATGTGTCTGTTGGCTGCATAAATGTCTTCTTTTGAGAACTGTCTGTTCATATCCTTCGCCTACTTGTTGATGGGGTTATTTGTTTTTTCTTGTAAATTTATTTGAGTTCTTTGTAGATTCTGGATATTAGCCCTTTGTCAGATGAGCAGATTGCAAAAATTTTCTCCCATTCTGTAGGTTGCCTGTTCAATCTGATGGTAGTTTCTTTTGCTGTGAAGAAGCTCTTTAGTATAATTAGATCCCATTTGTCAATTTTGGCTTTTGTTGCCATTGCTTTCGGTGTTTTAGACATGAAGTCCTTGCCCATGCCTATGTCCTGAATGGTATTGCCTAGGTTTTTTTCTAGGGTTTTTATGGTTTTAGGTCTAACATTGAAGTCTTTAATCCATCTTGAATTAATTTTTTTATAAGGTGTAAGGAAGGAATTCAGTTTCAACTTTCTACATATGTCAACTTTCTACATATGGCTAGCCAGTTTTCCCAGCACCATTTGTTAAATAGGGAATCCTTTCCCCATTTCTTGTTTTTGTCAGGTTTGCCAAAGATCAGATAGTTGTAGATGTGTGGTATTATTTCTGAGGGCTCTGCTCTGTTCCATTGGTCTATATCTCTGTTTTAGTACCAGTACCATGCTGTTTTGGTTACTATAGCCTTGTAGTATAGTTTGAAGTCAGGTAGCATGATGCCTCCAGCTTTGTTCTTTTGGCTCAGGATTGACTTGGCAATGGGGGCTCTTTTTTGGTTCCATATGAACTTTAAAGTATCATTAAAAAGTCAGGAAACAACAGGTGCTGGAGAGGATGTGGAGAAATAGGAACATTTTTACACTGTTGATGGGACTGTAAACTAGTTCAACCATTGTGGAAGACAGTGTGGTGATTCCTCAGGGATCTAGAAGTAGAAATACCATTTGACCCAGCAATCCCATTACTGGGCATATACCCAAAGGAATATAAATCATGCTGCTATAAAGACACATGCACACGTATGTTTATTGTGGCACTACTCACAATAGCAAAGACTTGGAACCAACCCAAATGTCCAACAATGATGGACTGGATTAAGAAAATGTGGCACATATACACCATGGAATACTATGCAGCCATAAAAATGATGAGTTCGTGTCCTTTGTAGGGACATGGATGAAGCTGGAAACCATCATTCTCAGCAAACTATCTCAAGGACAAAAGACCAAACACCGCATGTTCTCACTCATAGGTGGGAATTGAACAATGAGAACACTTGGATACAGGAAGGGGAACATCACACACTGGGGCCTGTTGTGGGGTGGGGGGAGGGAGAAGGGATACCATTAGGAGGTATACTTAATGTAAATGACGAGTTAATGAGTGCAGCACACCAACATGGCACATGTATACATATGTAACAAACCTGCACATTGTGCACATGTACCCTAGAACTTAAAGTATAATATATATTATATAATATATTGTATAATATATATTATATAATATATTGTATAATATATATTATATAATATATTGTATAATTTATATAATATATAATATATAATATACAATTTATATAATGCTATATAATATATATTATATAATATATATATTATATATATATAAAAGAGAAGAATCTGGCTGATTTCATCTTCGAGATTTCTGAGATCCTTCTAGAACAGGACAAGAACAAAAATTACAAAGACATGACACTTAGTAGTCAAAATGGTCCCGAGAACTCACTCAGAGACATATGTACCAAGCGGTTAGCTAGGCACATTGCTGCACTGAGCGTGTGGCTGAAGGGTCTTGGGCCGTGAAGACTGCTTACCCCATCTGTCCATGATCATAAAGGATGCCCACCCTGCCAGCCATCTTACACAAAGTTCCAGTGATGGTGCAGACGAGATGGTGCAAATGGATCCTTCTGCTCTGGAAAGACCTGAAGGTGGTAGGTCCTCTCCGTTCATCAAATACAACACTTTATCAGGAGATGCTGTCCTGCCATTCTTGTTCCCTTGAGTTCACAAATACAACGGCAACATCATTACCTTGGCTGTTGAGAGGCCTCCAAGATAGAGAGTTTAAAAAATCTGCTTCTGGGCCAATAGAGGGAATGGAAGTTGTGTATAAGAGAAGCAATATGGTAAACACTGGAGACATAATGAAAACATGAAGTATTGCCTTTAACTTTACTTTGATGTGAAATTCTCCCTCATTATGTTCCCCATGGGTCATTTGGGCATTTTCATTGGGATCTGGACCACGCTCCCATGACAGTAAGCCATGGATGTTGGTGTCATAAAGACTCCGCAGCTTAAACCAGAACACAAACTAGACACTTCACAGCGGCTTTGGAAAAGTGCCACAGCTTTGTTTCCCTCACCAGTCACAGCCAGTCCTCGATGTAATGGCTTATATGTCACTAATTATAAACAAGCAGACAATGGAGTTTGTTTTTCACCCTGAGAATCTGTGCTCAGTCCCAGTCAGTTCTGAATGCATTTTCAGCTGTAATAGAAACCAGAGCTAAGCGCTTTGGGGCTTTATTATGTGCAGAGAAAAGGAGAAATAAATGGAAAACCCAGTCTAAGTTTTAAAAAATTGAGTACCTACTATGTGTGGATTGCTTTACATGTGTTTTCTCTAGTAGGTAAAATAATCCTGTCAGTTCACTTTGATCCCTATTTGATCTAATCTCTGGACTAGAAAATCCAGGCTTGATGGGGTTATTTCCACTTAGGCAAAGCCACCCAGTTAACAAGTGCTGAAGTTGGATGTAATATTATGTTTGTTGGACTCCAAAACCCATGCAGGCATCAGCCATTTCACCATGCTGCCACACCAACTAATTTTCCCCCAGAATTTAGGGATATTTAACTTTCTTCTTGGGTATGCATTACTAGGTCTGGAAAGAAACTCTTGCCTTATTTGTTCTTTTGCCTTCCAATGAAACTACATCTAAACTACCTCAGATAAATAATTTCTAGTATTTTCTCCAAATGGTTCTCACTGCCAAGAAGTTCTTTCTTATGTCTGACCCAAATAGTTCTTGCTGTACTCTGAAGCCTTCTCTTTTGCTATGCTCTTACTGTAGAGGGAGGGCAGCTTCACATAAAAGCACCTCAAAGACCAATGGATTGTGAAGGTGCTGCTCACTGGCCTTTCTGGGACACAGGAGAACACAGCCTGTCAGTACAGACAATGGAGCAGCCTGAGAAAATCCATCTCATGTTTTAGAACTCAGTTAGGTTTTAACCTTTCCTGGTCTCTCCCACCTAAAAAATTTAGCATGGAATACATCTTTAGTGCTCTCAACAATCCTTCCTACCCATGTACTCCCTCCACCCCCAATTCCCCAAGACCCTTGAGTTAAAAGATAGATAAAGAAACAGAAATTGGAAATGAGGGGAACTGTGTTGGATGTAAAAATGTAACAGCAATTGCTGTATTAAACTTCTTTGCTGAGAAATGTCCTTGTAGCGATTCAGCTGACAGGAACACAGAAGACCAGGAGCGCCGAAGAGACCTCCTCTCCTGCCTGGACCTCAGATACCATTCAGCACAGCTGGCTGCATCTGTGTGCAGCACGAGAGGCCTCTCCTGTGGTTGGAAGATCAAGGCAAAGAGGCTTTCCCAGTCTGGTCTCTTCTGAAAGAGTCTCCGGCTCATCTGGGAATGAGAACTGAGCAGAGGGAGGCTGCCCACCATGGACGGAGATCATAGGGAGGGCTGGGCAGTGTGGTCAGTGGTTGGTAATAGTATCCTAGTCCAGGGATTAGGAGGGCTTTGTAAGGGAGCCAAGACGCTAGATGGCAGATGGCGCTAGATGGCAGTCCCCATGCTTAGTTCAGGGGAAGCCACAGAGCATACTAGGACACTGTGAAAATCTGGGAGCTAATGGAGTTCCCAGTGTTGGTGTCTGATGCCTTGGATGTACTGGCAGATGGGCAGAAGGCCTTGCATGCTGGCTTCCTGCCATGCTGTCTTCTGTTCTGTGAGGCTTCCTAGGGCTTTGGCCTCCACCTTAATGAATATGCCTCCCTCCACTCTCAATTTCTATGTTCAGCCTGGATTGCTCTTCCGAGCAACAGACTCCCCTTTTAATAACCACTGAATGTGACTCATTAAATATCCCAAACTGAGCTTACCATGTTCTCCTCTTCAGAAATGCCTCCCCTGATTCATTCCCTACCTTGGTCATTGGCATGACCGCTGCCAAATTATCCTAAGTTAGGGAATTCAGAGCACTCTGAATCCCCTAGTGCTTAGATCACACCCTCATCAGCATCCTCACTGTCACTGTCACCTCGCTTAGCCCAGGTCTCCCTCATCACTCACTTGAAGGATGAAAACAACTCCTCATCAGCTTTCCTGCCACAGTCTCTGGCCACCATGATCCATCCTCCTCCACCCTACCCTGGACCTTCCTAAGCGTTCTGGATCAAGCCACGCCCCTGTTCTAAAGCTCCCCAGGCTTCCATGGTATTTGCAAGACACAGACAAGACGACAAGACTTGTCCTTCATACTTTGACCCCTAACTAGCTTTCCTAACCTTATAGCCTATTAACTCTCCTCACACCCCTGCAGTCCAGGCTCTGGAATCAGCTTGCTGAGCTTTGAATCCTACCTCTGTGGGAAATGATTTTTTCCCTAAAGGAGAAAGGCTATTGTGAGGGATCTGGCACCCTCTGCCACACTCACTGATAGACCTTCAGACCGCACCAGAGTGATATATGTATATATACACACATAAATGTAAGTATGGATATATACTTACATAAAAAGTATCCACTGTGGCCAGGTGTACCAGGTACAGTGGCTTATGCCTGTGATCACAACACTTTGGGAGTTGAAGGTGGGCAGATCATTTGAGGCCAGGGTTTGAGACCATTCTGGCCAACATGGTGAAACCCTGTCTCTACTAAAAATACAAAAATTAGCTGGGTGTGGTGGCGCACATATGTAGTACCAGCTACTTGGGAGGCTGAGGCACGAGAATCGTTTGAACCCAGGAAGTGGAGGTTGCAGTGAGCCAAGATAGCACAACTGCACTCCAGCCTGGGTGACAGAGTGAGACTCTGTCTCAAAAAAAAAAAAAACCAAAAAGTAACCACTGAGCACTTACTATGTGAGCAGGTAGAATTATGGATGCATTATACACATTAACTTACTTATTCCTCCTTTAAGCCCTCTGAGGTCACTATCACTATCAGTCCCAATTTACATATGAGGTTATAAAGGCATAGAGAAGTTAAAAACCGGCTGAAAGTTGCATAGCTAGGAAGTAGGAGAGCCTGGATTTGAACCCCTGCTGTAGAGCTCTGGAACCCACACTATTAACTATGATGTCATACCACCTACCTCTCCATTTCCCACTCGAAGCACACCTTCTGATTCTAGGAAAGCCAATCTGCCTGGCCAACCTAGGAATTCTTTCCACCATTAACCCCTCTGAATTTTAGAACCATGGAAAATCCAAATTGTGGGGGCAGGGGAGCTCTTGGTTCTGGTCCACATTTTCCACTATTCAGAGAAGGAAGGTGGCTTATTTAGGCTCACAAAGGGATTACAGAAGGCCCAACTTGGTACTTCCATACTGTTTTATTTTAAGTTTCTGAGCATCTTATTTATTATCCCCTCATTTCCTCACTTCTGATTTGGGACTCCCACAATATCTCCTGTGTTTCAGAAGGAAAAAAAGGTGTGTGTATTAATATATTTTAATATTAGCAATGAATACATGTCTACACACACATACACTCAGTTATATAAATGACGATACACTCTCAAGCGTCTCCATAGTGATTTGTCTATCTTCAGTCAAACCCAACTTCACTTTTCCTGGGCTTCTAGCCACAGCATCCTTCCCTGGTTCTTGTTGATCTTATCTAGGCTAGAAATGTGAAAGCAATGACACTGCCTCAAAGAGCTAAATACCTTAATATGACTGTGCTCATCTGTTACTAATGCCCAGTGAATGCAAACAAGGACTAACAAAGGCAAAGAGATAAACACATTTAAGCCAGACCTATTTCCAAAGAAATAATTTAAAAATGGCTCAAACAAGCGCTTCAAACACACAAGAATAATGATTTCCCCATGGATACACTGTGTGCTTGCTGGCATTATAACTTTGGCCTTACATGCGGATTCCCATAAAAAGTTAGGAGCAAGATAAAAAGAAACAAGTAGTGTACAATGGAGGGAAGCCATTGGTGTTGCAGCCAAATATCCCAACCCAAAACTGCCCAGCCGAGTCTGCTGTCTGGACATTCCAGACACATTCTGCTGTCTACAGAAGCGCCATGTATGGACACTGGGACATATGAGAGAGGACTCCTAACTATTGCTTCCCTGTGATATTTTGCAATGAGCCTCTTAGCTTGCCCACAAGGTAGGTTTGCTGATGTTTATTTGTCTCCTTTTTGCAGAGAGAAACACCAAAGCAAATATGCAGCTGGAGAGTTGGGGAATGGCCTGGTCTCTCTGGATGAGACCAGGATGACAGGGGAAACATTTGTTTCTGACTCTAGTGCAGTCCACCCTTTTGCCTCTCTGAACAATTGGAAACCAAGAGAGGAGTAGTCTGGCCCTGATTCCTGAAGGCTACTTTAGGCTTTCTCACCACCCTCACAATAGCCCATATTTTAGCAGGGGTCTGTCAGTGGTTGGAGTTGGGGTTATCTTAGGAAAAATCAGTGCAGCCAGCTCTATTTTGACCTGCCTCAAGCCCCCCACTGGAGACATCATCATGGATGGCAATGACCCTTGAAACCGCTGCCTTTTGCCTGAGGTTTCCAGGCTGTAAAGGTCCATCAAAAGTGACGAGCTGTTTTCAGTATTTCAAGAAAGCTAAAACAAAACCAACCAACCAACCAACCAACAAGAACCCTACCTCTTCTATATTAAGACTGCACATTTTGAGTAAATAATAGGTTTCTTTGCTTATGGCTAAAATTATATCAATTCAGAACATCATAATGCTATTCAGTCCTGTTCATAAATGTTGATTGGCTATTTATGGCTACTTTGGATTTGCGGGACTTCTTTATGGCATTGGACCTGGCTGCCAGAGCCCCTGCCAAGTTTCTCCTTTTCT
The DNA here is from genome assembly GCF_000001405.40 of Homo sapiens. NCBI lineage: Eukaryota > Metazoa > Chordata > Mammalia > Primates > Hominidae > Homo > Homo sapiens. Next base: position 39,773,937 of record NC_000006.12, read on the forward strand.
CCCAGTGTGTATCCTTCCAAGTTCCTCACTGCTCACTTAGGTTTCCAAGAGATACAACACTTGCTTCATCCTGATGTGGGAGCTGCTGAATTCTGTTCTCTCTCCCAAGCTTGCGTTCCCAGTTTACCCTCTACACACAGATGACAGACTAGAGAGAACACAAGAATGAGGACTTTCCTGGCCTCCTTACTTGTCTTCTCCAGAGGTCTCATCAGCAAGGAGGGTTGGTGGGGAACACAACAGGGCTTTATCCTCCAAGGGCCTCATTGTGGGTCCTGGATATACACCAAGGCGCCTTGCTGAGGAGCTTAGAGTGAGGGAAAAAGCTGTGGGCCAATCAGAAGTTCCAATGCTGAAAGGACTCTCACTCATGATTTGATCAGGCTAACCTATGGATGCAGAACGATGGCCAAAGCTGAACTACCAGTCACAGAAAGTATGTAAAGGGGTACTGCTGGTGAGACTGGGACCCACTGTCTCATCCGCAGCAGCTCCACCCACTGGCATGGAGTCAGGAGGTTTGACCACTTGGAAGATGGTGCACTCAGTCCCAGGACCTCACGTGCCACTGTTGTGTGCTACAGGTTTGAGGAAGAATAAAAGCCAAGGATCAGAATGGGGCAAATGCAAGAAAGAGACTTGGCTTATCTAGAAGGGATCAAATTCCAAAAGACCAGTAGAAAGGGAAATGTGGATTCTGTATCTCGCTAAAGGGAAAAGAATTTTGGGGTGAGTTCAGAAGCTTCACAGGCTCTAGGCTCTGGCCTTGACCCATGTCTTAGGTAGAGTTCCCCAGGAGCAGACCTGAGAACTTATGTATGAGTAATTCATTGAGAAATTATGGGCCAGGCATGGCGGCTCACACCTGTAATCCCAGCACTTTGGGAGGCTGAGGCGGGCAGATCACTTGAGGCCAGGAGTTCCAGACCAGCCTGGACAAGATGGTGAAACCCCCATCCCTACTAAAAATACAAAAATTAGCCAGGTGTGGTGGTATGTGCCTGTAATCCCAGCTACTTAAGAGACTGAGGCAGGAGAATCTCTTGAACCCAGGAGGTGGAGGTTGCAGTGAGCCAAGATCGAGTGACCACACTCCAGCCTGGGCAACAGAGTAAGACTCCGTCTCAAAAAAAGAAAATAAAAGAAATTACTCCTGGGGATACCCATAAGGGAGTGGGAGGCTGGGCAGGGAAGTAGGGGAAAAGAAGCAAGGAGCCAATTCAGGTGCAGGTCCAGTGGGGGAAGGATTCAGCCTCATGGTGCGCGAGCCCTGCCTCAGAACTTGCAACCCGAGGCCAATGATCCAAACTTCTATGTTCCCTACCCCATAGTTATGGCTTAAGGGCTTTTGAGGGTGAGGAGAGGTCCAGAAGCAGACCTTCCAGCTCTTGTGTGAGATGCCAAAGTGGCTCCAGGAGCCAGAAGACAAGCCTCCAAAGAGGAAGTACAGAAGCAGGCAACTGAAATGACAGCTACACAGGTAGCAGGTGTGCAGAGGAAGGGTGGAAAGGGCATCCAGGGGACCACCCGGGAGCCTTGACATTGTCTCAGCCTTACATTGAGGTGAGATCACAGCCATGATCCAGCTACCCTACCTGGATTCTTGTCTCTGACCTGGCCTTTCTGGCTGCCCAAGCTCTGGGTCTTGGGTTTGGAACTGACCCCTCAGACTCTGACCTGAATATCCCATCCTCCCACCCCCTCATTTAGGACCTAGAGGGCTGGTGGTCTGTCCTAGAAGTGCCCTTGCTGAGGCAGAAGCAGGACCAACAGGAGCCCAGCTCCTATTCACACTGCCCTGCCCTTTGGAGCCACACCCTTAATCTTACTGTAGAGACCAGCAAGGAATGTCCGGGTCTGTCTACACAGCAGGTATTGCATGTGCTGAACATTCAAATCCTGATTATCTGCCAGGTAGGATTATGCACACCACTGTTCCCTCCCACCGTCATGTTTACAGAGGTGTTGCATTTATATGTGTGAGTTTATTTATTTTCTGGGTTTGTCAGATGAAAAGGTAGAAAATAATATATCAGTGACTTATGGATACATGATTTTGTTGAAGGAAGAAATCCATTTTTATTAAAAGGCATACTTCAGTGATATTCATTCCAGGCTTGTTTACACTGATGATAATGATGATGATAATAATTATTATAACAATGCAGCTAGTGTTTTGTGTACCATGCTCTGTGGCACATATGAATTATGTTGTCATCATTTCTATCATTTCCATTTTGCAGAGGAGGAAATGGAGGCACAGAGAGGTTAGGTAACTTGATCATAACCACATAGCTACTAAGGCATAGCAAAGAGATTCAAACCCAGGCACGTCACCCTCCTGAGTCTGCCTTCTAGTCACATTACTGTCTGATGTTGGCTGCTGCTACAGATATGTGTATAGCCCAAGAAATTTCATAAAACCAAACGAGCAGAATTATTTCTGCCATGGACTCCCACTTCAGCAGCAAAGTGGAAAGGTGCCCCAGGGACATTTAAGGGTAAGAATAAAGTGGACAGAGCTCTGGCCCTCTAAGTGGTTGTGATCTGACCTCATTATAAGGCCAATGATAGTTGCATGCCCAACCTGAATAGAAACGCAGACCACTGAACAATTGATGAAAACTCCATGAATAAATATGATACTGGCTCAGCTTCAACTTGTTTTTTTGTTTGTTTATTTGTTTATGCCCCCAGTTTTTTCCAGCATGTATTTACTTTTTGTTAGCTTCAAAGGGAAATTGAGAAAAAAATGTGGGGAATAAAGAGAATGGGGAAGCCCGCTGGCAGTGACTTTGTTGATTCTCTCACACACACACTGGGGGACACACTTAGATAAGAATGATAAGAATGCTCACATTGACATTCCTACACATCAGATCATGGCACTCAGAACATGGGGCCTTCTGGTTATAATGAAAGGGCATGGCCTGGAAACGGATGAAGATGCTACTCTGTAGAGAAAGGGAGGAACCCTTTATGAAGTTCAGGTGTTATTTTTTAAAGTGATGACCACAGAAAGACAATCTGACTTATTTGCAAAGGCTTACTTTTAATCTTTCAGAAATGACTACTTTCTACTAAAAAGGGAGACTTGGGGGAAATAAAGAAATAGTTTTCTGTGGGTGATTTATAAAGCCAGCTATTTCTGGGGATTAAGACTGTCCACCTTGGTTTGAATTATTTGATTATTTAAAGACTTGAATGAGCATAAGGCAGTTAATTTGTCGGCTTTCTGGTTGACCTCCATGTCAGCATGTCCTTTCCAGATGAGCTCTGGTGAGATTTATCTGGGGTGGCCCCTCAGTTGAGCTCGAGCCTGCAACAGCGCTTAGCTCCTCTTCCTCTGGACAGGCCCCTCCTCAGGGTCTTTCACAATGGTTGCCTTTGAGTACAGAGATCCTCAGTCATGCAGGCCTCTGTCTAATGTCTCTGAGGAAAATGCTGGAATCCCTCGGAACAGAGCGGAACTGGAGGGGGAGACGTCATTATCCCAGAGCGGACTGTAAATTGTGCTGTTTAGTCTGTAAAGCAATTAGGTCTGGGGAGTGTAATGCGATCCTTTTGTGGCTGTTGTGGCCCCTGTAGGGCTGTTGTCTCTCCGTGGGCACTGAGTTTTTCAGGCTAGGCGGGTGTCCTGAACTCCCTAACTCCAATGGATGCTCCAAAAATAGGTCGGCTTTCTCTTCTCAGTTGAGCTGCTGTGTATACAAAGGGCCTGCACTTGGTTTTCAAGGACCTGATTTCAAATCTCAGCTTTGCTTCTTTCTTGCTGTTTGATCTGAAGCAGACACCAGTCACTACAGCTCTCCTGAGTGAGCCTCAGCTGCCTTAAATAGGCCTCCTCACCTCTCTTGCACCCAGGTTTAGCAGAATTGTGCAAGGCCTGGCACAGGTGCCACGTGCTTTCACTTCAGTCCATCTGGTCCTTGCACAGTGTGGCCGGCGGCCACTGGGTTGGCTGCAGCCATGCTCAGAAGGTCTGCCAGCATTTCTGTCTGCTGCTTGAGAATCCTGGCTGGCCTGAGACCTTCTCCATGTTCTCCATGTTTGTCTTTCCCCTCCCTTGTCTGTGGAATTCTAGCTGTGTCCTTACCACCCTGTGTAAAGTAGGTCACCCCCGCTATTCTCTGTCACAGTAGTCTGGCTGTTTCCTACATACCACTTAACTATAATTTTAATTTCATTTGTTTATTTCTTTTCTATCTTCCCCACTAGACTGTGGGCTTCACGAGAGTGTGACCTTAGTTGCCTTGTCACACTATGCCCTAGCACAGCGCTTGGCACACAGTGACTGCTCGGGGTTCGGGAAATATTTTGTAGGTTGAATGAATGAAAAATTATACATGCCCAATAAGGAAGCCAACAGGCAGATTAGGGCAGATGCCCTCCTCCTTGCTTACATGAGGGCAGAGTCACGTCCCTGCAAGGTCCAACAGGGTGGCTTCTTCCCTGGTTACTCCTGGTACATTCTCACACCCTATATGCCACAGCCTTGGAATCCCTACCCATGGACTTCTTGTATTTGAACAAGAAGCACTCGCCTATTTTATTTATGCTACTGTTATTTTGGATCTTTTGCTATATGCAGCCAGAACTTACTTAGCTGGTGCACCAGGGAATTTGTGTTCAAAGGCAGTTCCACTGGGCTAGAGGCTGCTTTGGGACAGCAAATAAAATAATAAGGTGCCTGTGTGTGTTTGGTGGTGGGAGGAGGGGGCAGAATTTATCCAGTCCTGGGTGTGTTCAGTGCAGGAAGGAGTCTCTTTTCCCCAGTGAAAGAAGCAGCTTTAGGAAGACTCTTGCTTCACTGCACATTAAACCAATTCTCCTTTGCACTGTGTGGACTCCAGCACACATTTGTTTTAAATTATTCCCTAATTGTTTAAGTGTCTGTGGTGTCTTTGCTCTTAACTTAGGGCCTGGAGAGTAAAAGGAGGGACTATCACTGTCCCCACCCCTGCACACCCAATGGGGACCCTCCTGGAGGCTCCCCTTACTAGGCTTGATGAGATGCTGGTTGACTAGAAAGCCAAGACTGTAGGGCGTGAGAAATGGAATTACCACCGGGCTTCCCATCTAATCCTCCAAATTCCAAGCCCAAACTTGGCATTGTGTTGGGAAATCTGACTGTTTTGCTTTTGTGGCAATGCTAACATATACCTCATTAGTCAGTTTGTCTTAAAATCCACCCACTCTTCAAAAGGCCAGGGCTTAAAATAGTTTTGTTGTATGTGTGGGAACTATTGCCAGAGCTTTTCTAAATACTAAAAACCCCTTTCAGGTCTTTGCTGGATCCACTTCTGGTGCAAAAAGCTGCGGGGATTTGGCTGATGCTCTCTCTGCTGGGATTATAGGTGAGCTCTCATGGCTGCAGGGAGGGAGGGACACACATCAAATGGCTGTTTGGAGTCAACGTACAGTCTTAGACTGTCAGAGATGGGAGAGGCCCAGGAAATCATGGAGATCAGCCCTATTGTTTTACACCTGAGGTAACAGAGGCCCAGAGATGGTGCATGACTTGCCCCAGGTCTCACAGATTGAAATGGCAGAGTGGTCACTTAAACACACCCTAGGTTTGCTCCTCTCCTGCTGTACCTCAAGTCAGAGGCATATAGAGTCCAACTTCCATATTGAATCGACAGTCCTCTCATGAGCCTCATGCACAATCTCTTCCTGTCCAAATCCAGTGATATCTGCATTTTTGTTGTCTGTAAGAAAAGCGAATCATTTGTTGAGTCCCCACTTTGTGCCTCAGCCCTGTTCTTACACATGTAACTCATTTGATCTTTTTTTTTTTTTTTGAGATGGAGTCTCACTCTGTTGCCCAGGCTGGAGTGCAATGGCATGATCTAGGCTCACTGCAACCTCTGCCTCCCAGGTTCAAGTGATTCTCCTGCCTCAGCCTCCCAAGTAGCTAGGATTACAGGCACCCACCACCACACCTGACTAATTTTTTGTATTTTTAGTAGAGATGAGGTTTCTCCATGTTGGCCAGGCTTGTCTTGAACTCCTGACCTCGTGATCCAACTGCCTCGGCCTCCCAAAGTGCTAGGATTACAGGTGTGAGCCACCTCGCCCAGCTGACTTGTTCGATCTTTACACCAATTTTATAAGGTCGGTGTAACTGTTAGATAACTATTATACCTATTAGTGGTTATAATTAATAGATAAATTTTATTATCCCCTCTTGGAGAGGTTAAGTTATACATGACTTGCCCAACTAACACATCTTAAAAAGGATGGGACTTAGATTTCAGTCTAGGTATTAGTGCAGTCTGACTCTAGAATCCCTAGTCTTAACCGCTGTATTATATAGCCCTGTAGACTTTTCACCTTTCTGTTCCAGGAACTTAGTACTGCTCACCAAACGTCAATAGACCATGTCTAGCTAGGCACAATGGCTCAAACCTGTAATCTCAGCACTTAGGGAGGCCGAGGTGGATGAATCACATGAGCTCAGGAGACTAACCTGGGCAACATGGAAAACCCTGTCTCTATAAAATTAACCAGAAATTTGCTTTTTATTGCTAAATAGTGTTCTATTATATGGATATACCATGTCTTCTTTGTTCCTTCACCAGCTGATGGACACTTAGATTATTTTCAGTTTTTGGCTATTATGAACAGTGCTCTAAGAAACATTCACATATATGTTTTTGAGTGGATATCTCTTTTTATGTCTCTTCAGTTTGTTCCTAGAAGAGGAATTTCTGGGTTAAATGTTAAGTTTGTATTTAAGATTTTAAGAAACATCCAAACTGTTTTTATGTTTTCATTAGCAATGTATGAAGGTTCCGGTTTCTCCATATCCTTACCAACACTTATTATTGTCTGTCTTTTTATCGCAGTCATTCTAGTGGGTGTGTAGAGGTATCTTATTGTGGTTTTAATTTGTATTTCCTTGATAATGATGTTGAGGATCTCTTCATATACTTATTAGTCATTTGTGTAACTTTTCTGGTGAAATGTCTATTCAAACCTTTTACCCATTTTCAAATTGGGTTGTTTGTCTTCTTATTGAGTTTTAATAGTTCTTTATATTTCTGGAGACAAGTCTTTTATCAGATAAATAATTTGAAAATATGTAATCCATATATGGCTTGCCTTTTTATTTTTATTGTCTTTCCATTTTCAGTGTCTTGTGAAATGGAAAAATTTTAAATTTTGATGAAGTCTAGTTTATTAATTTTTTCTTTTATGGATTGTGCTTTTAGTGTCATATCTAAGAATTCTTTGCTAAGTCCAAGGTCACAAAGATTTTTCTCCTGTTTTTATCCTAAGAAGTTTTATAGTTTTATTTCTTTCATTTAAGACTATGATCTATCTGAGTTAATTTTTTTTCATGTGGGTTTCCAATAGTCTCAGAACTCTTTGTTGAAAAACTATCATTTTTCAATGGAACTATCAAAAATCAATTGTATAGAAATGTAAAGTTTTATTTCTAAACTTTAATTCTGTTCCAGTGATCTATAATATAGATCATGTGTAGATTCTATATGCCCATTCTTATATGCCAAACACCACACTGTCTTGATTATTGTGGCTATAGTAAGTTATGAAATCACATAGTATAAATCTTCCAAGTTTGTCCCTTATTTTCAAATTCATTTTCCTTATTCTATATCATTTGCATTTCTATATAAATTTTCAATAAGTTTGCTAATTCTTTCTTTGCTAAAACACAAAAACAACCAAAAAACCCTGGTGAGATTTTTTATAGGATGTGCACTGAGTCTATAGATCAATCTGGGGAGAAATGGCATTGTAACAATATTGAGTGTTTTAATCCATGAACATTCAGAAGTGTGTTTTTTAATTTCCAAATAATTGAAGATTTCCCAAATTTCTTTTTGTTGTTGTTTTATAATTTAATTCCTTTGTGATCAGTTTATGATTCAAATCCTTTAAAATTTATTGAGACCTGTTTTATGACCTAGTATATGGTTTTTCTCCTGAAGAATGTTCCAGGTGTGCTAGACTAGAAATAGTATTAGAGACAAAGAAGATGTTTCATAATGATAAAATGGTCATCCAATGGCTACAGAATACGTATGGTTTTCAAGCACATCTGAAACATTCTTCAGGAAATACCATATACTAGGCCACAATACACACACACACACACACACACACACACACACGCACACACACACCCATGAATCCATTTGTGCTGCTATAACAGAATATAGTCATACATCACTTAATGACAAGGATATGTTCTGAGAAATGCATCATTAGGTTATTTTGTCATTATGCCAACACCCTAGAATGTACTTATATAAACCTAGGTGGTATAGCCTACTATACACCTATGCTATATGGTATAGCCTATTGCTCCTAGGCTATAAACCTGTACAGCATGTTACTGTATTGAATAATGTAGGCAATTGTAATAAAATGAAAATTATTGTGTATCTAAACAAGTCTAAACATTGAAAGGGTACAGCAAAAACATGGTATTATAATCTTATGAGACCACTGTCATATATGCAGTCCATTGCTGGCTGAAATGTCATTATGCAGCATGTGACTATACCTGAGATTAGGTATTTATAAAGAAGAGAAATTTATTTTCTCATAGTTTTGAAGGCTGGGAAGTCCAAGATCAACGTACCGGAAGGTTTGATTGTCTGAGAACTAAAAGGGAGAAATGCCTTCACATGGCAGAAGGTGAAGGGCAAGCTAGCCAAATGTTGCATACGGCCTCCTTTATAAAGGCCTTAATCCCCTTCATGAGGGAGGATCCCTCATGGCCTAATTACCTCTTAAATGTCTTGTCTCTTAATACTACCACTTTGGTAACATCCAAATTTTGGAGGGGATACAGTCAAAGCATAGTGTACAGGAGCACACACACACATACACAAATGTTGTGTCAAGTTGGTGATAGAATTGTTCAAGTCTTCTAAATCCTTGATGATTTATCGTTTAGAACTTGATCAATTATTGAGAGTCAGATATTGAATTCTTCAACTTCTATTATTGAATTCACTATTTCTCCTTTCAATTCTATCAGTTTTTAGTTTATGAATTTTGGGGATTCTGTTATTTGTTACATCTTCTTAATGTATTGACCATTTTTTAAATTGTGAAATATCCTTCTTTGTCTCTGAAACTATTTTGAGTTTCGAAGTCTATTTTGTTTGATAATAATACAGCCACTTCAGTTCTCTTATGGATATGTTTGCATTATACATCTTTTTCTATTCTTTTGCTTTCAACTTAGTTGTGACTTTGAACCTAAGATATGTTCCTCGCAGGTGGCGTATAATTCATTCCTGCTTTTAAAATACAATCTAAAAATCTCTGCCTCTTGTTTTTTTAGACCATTTATACTGAATGTACTTATTTTTATAGTTGGATTTACATTTGCCGTTTTGCTATTTTTTTCCCATGTCTCCTATTCCTCCTTGACTGCTTGCTTTGTATATTAAATAAAAATTTAAGGGTACCATTTTGTTTAATGTTTATTTTTAGCTATGTTTTGGTGTATTTTGCCTAAATTTTTGAAGAACAGTTTTGTTGGATATAGAATTATTGGTTAACAATATTTTCCTTTCAGCACTTTGAATGTCATTTCTCTGCCTTCTGGCCTCCATTGTTTCAGATGAAAGTCAGCCATTAATCATACTGATGCTTCTTGTGCATGATGAATTATTTTTCTTTTGCTTCTTTCAAGATTTTCTCTTTGTCTTTCAAGAGTTTATGGTATGTCTAGGTCTAAATTTTTTATTTATCCCACTTAGAGTTTGTTGAGCTTCTTGGATCAGTAGATTAAAGATTTTCATCAAACTTTGGAAATTTTATGCCACTATGTCTTCAAATGTTTTCACTGTCCCTTTCTATTTGATATCTCTTGGGACTCCCATTACATATATTTTGGCACAATTTATGTTGTTCCACAGGTCTGGTCTGTGATGGTCCATTTATTTTTCTTCATTTTTTTCTTCCTTGTTCTTCAGATCGGTGATTTCTATTGATCAATCCTCAAGTTCAGTGATTCTGTCTTTTGCCATCTTGAATTTTCTACTGGGACCCTTTAGTAAATTTTATTTTAGCTCTATTATTTTCAACTCCATAATTTTTATTAGTTTCTTCTAAAATAATTTCTGTGTCCTAATTTAGAATCTCAAATTGTTGATTATTGCTCCTTTTTGTTTTCATTCTTTAAACATTGCTTTCTTTAGTTCTTTAAACATATTTATAGTAACTGCTATGACGTCTTTGTTTTTTGTTTTTTTTTTTGAGACAGAGTCTCGCTCTGTCACCCAGGCTGGAGTGCAGTGGTGCAATCTCGGCTCACTGCAAGCTCCGCCTCCCGGGTTCACGCCATTCTCCTGCCTCAGCCTCCTGAGTAGCTGGGACTACAGGCGCCTGCCACCATGCCCAGCTAATTTTTTATATTTTTAGTAGATATGGGGTTTCACTGTGTTAGTCAGGATAGTCTCAATCTCCTGACCTCATGATCCACTTGCCTCTGCCTCCCAACGTGCTGGGATTACAGGCGTAAGCCACTGCACCTGGCCTAAGTCTTTGTTGTCTAAAGCCAGCATTTGAGGACACTCAAGACAGTTTGTATTGATTTAATTTTTTTTGCATATAAATCACACTTTATTATTTGTGTGTCTTGGATTTTTTTTGTTGAAAACTAGACATTTGAGATAATCTGTTACAACAACTTTGGATTCTGATATTTCTCCCCGTGAAGGTTGCTGTTTAATTTATTTGTTTTGTAACTTGCCTGGGCTGAATCAGTGAAATCTGCAGCATGTGAACAATTATGTCTCAGCTCAATTTTGTTTTTAATATTCAAATTTTTATTTATAAGATTGCCTTTCTAAGGGTCATCTTTGTATTTGCCTAGTATAGTGGTCAGCCAATAATTTGACTCAGTCACAAGCTAGAACACCGAAGAGTTCCACTATTCTTACCCAAAGTTTAGCAGTTTTTAAAGTATAAATACTTCTCAGATTATTATATGCCTTTGATTGATTTTCAGAGTGCTGAAATGGTTGTTTTTGTTAATTATATCTAGATGTATAGTTGCTTTAGGGGGTATAAGCTTTGTTGATCTCCTTACCTGAGCCATAGCTAAAAGTTCTTCCTTCCATAGGAAAGTAGTTACTTGACTGGTATACTTGTAAAATGGCTTTATTAGACTCTTTCTTCTGTGAGCTCTTTGGTGGGTTCTTGAGAGCCTATTCAGTTGGGCCCTTCTAACTGAAACCCCTATGACACTGGCTGTGTATTCTCTTCCTTCAGCTGCTTCTTTCTTACTTGGCTGGCTTTTTCAATGGTCCACTTCACACTAACTCTCAACATCATGGTCCCATAATTTTTTCAGGTAGTCCTTTCGGAAAAGATCTTGAAAATAGTTCCTGGCTCACTTTCTCTTCATGTGGCCCATATATGGTCCTCAGGAAATGTGCATTAATCCTTGTCCTGGCAAGTTCAAGGAGTACCAGCCTTCCCAACAAAGCAACTACTCTTCTTTAATCCACCACCAAATCAATTCACCGTCTGTGTCTCTTGTCTTCTAGATTTCCAGGCTGGAGTCCAACACTGCCCATAAGTTCCAACTTTAGGGGGCACTTAGTGAGGTCCTTGAGTCATCTCCCTGAAGCTCTCCTCAATGTGGGAATGGGTAAAAAATTCAGTACAGTTCTCTCAAAGAAATCCTCCTCATAACATTCTTTCTCAACCCCCACACTTCCAATTCTTTTTAAAAACTCCTTGTAGGAAGGGATTTTTGGAGGCATAAAACTGGTTCCCAAATATTTCCTTTTGAAAATCTGCTTCTTACTCTGAAACATTATTTTAGAATTTCTTATCTATTGTATCTTGTTGCCCCCATTAAAACTTCCAATTTGGCATTTTATTACACTCGTGTTTATTTTTAGAGACTTCTGGTCCCTATCAGACTAAACACTGTTTCTTAAAGCTATGGGATATTCATAGATATTACGTGAAAAATGGGACCTAGGAAAAAATAACTTTGGGGAATAAATACTGTGGTAAGCAAAGGTAGGCAGATCTCTTTTGCTATAGGAATTCTCAAATTCTTCACTATGTTAATATGAACTACGAAGTTACAAGTAGGGCATATAGACTATAGATTTTATAAAATTATTTGACCATGAGGACCCCTCCCCTACCTTTTTTGAAAATTGTTTCAAAGGATTAGTATTCTATAGGAGGTATTTTGGAAATATTAGCCTGGAAGGTACCAGTGGAAAGGAAAGGTATATTCTTCTTCATCCAGAAAACTCGCCTAAGGGAGACAACATGTTATTGTCCTTCACCTACTCCTCATCCTGGGAATTTTGAAAGTTTCATGTGTTTTTATGTTTTTGCTTTTTTTTAAACCTGATTGTGGTAAAGCTTAATGGCGTAGTTCCTCCACTAGACCATGAATTCCTTGTGGAGAGGAACCTCGTCTTATTCATCTTATATCTCCAGGGCTTATGAAAGTGCCTGGCACCTAGCAGGACCGAATGAGCCAAAGTGTTAGTGGAGGGTTTCTTTACTTCTTCTTTTAAAGAAAGTAAGAAAGGTCTCCACACTGGGGTCCCAAACCACCGACATGCAATAGTCAGACAAGCCTATTATTGGGTGCTTATGAAACCTGCCAGTGTGTGAAAATCTGTGCTTATAAATATTTGGCATACAGAAGAATGTGTATGCAAATTAAATGTGCAAATGTCCTGTGCTCTTTCCAAGGGCAACCAGGTTGAGTTTTCTTTTTCTTTATATCTGTGAGTGTGATTGTGTACACACAGCTTAAGAGACGAGTTGCTAAGAACTTTCTGAAAGAAATGAATGGGATAAAACAGATTGCCAAGTTACTGAGTGGTAATTAAGAACAGATTCTTAACATTATCACTTTACCATTTTTAAGCTATTTTCCTTTAAAAGACAAAACCACTGAATGATGAAATGTGTCATGCTTCTCCTGATGTCCCTGAGTCTTTGCTCAGTTGCACACACATCCATATGCCAGTCCAAAGTCACACATCCTGAACATTGTAAGCAGTTTCAAACTATTTTTCAATGGAGAAAAATGTGTATGTGTGTGTCTGTGTGTGTCTGTGTGTGTGTGTGTATGTGTGTGTGTGTGAGACCCATCATCACCCCCAATATAGATCACCTGGGGAAACTTATTTCTTTTAAATATTCCAAAATATAATTTTACCCTGAAGCTAACTGGAATACTTGGCCCTGAGCATTATTTTTCAAAGGATTTTGAGCTACTGAAAATGGGGTATAATGGAAGTTTTGTATGTGATCATGACAGTGCAAGTACCCTGGCTCCAGAAATAACAAAAGTGGTGGTGGCTACTAGCAGGAATGGCCTTTGCAGACTGGGGACCTTGGGCTCTGATCACAGATTGGCAGGAGGATGGTCAGAAAAGAATTCCACTCCATTTCCCACCCATTTTGGCACTCTACTCACTGTGCGATAGTCCCTCTCAATTTGGCCAGGTGTGGTGCAGTGGGCCACAGTTGCCTTGCTGGCCTTTGAGGGAGGCCACATGCCAGATTAGACATACGCGTGGCCTGTCTCTCTGCGGGGGTGGAGGGCCGCCGCCACTATGTCCTGGAATTGTGTGTCTTGTGGTTAAACACTTGGGGTTTTGACGTAGGCAAGGCAGCAGAGCCGACCCTCAAAGCTGCTGCAAACAACCTGAGAAGGCTTCTCAAAAATGCAGTCCTGCTCCTCAGGAGGAGATGGCCTTTATGGGGGCAATTTTCTGATTGCTGCCTATTTGCTGTGGTTATGCTTGAGCCAGGGGAGATTTCTTAACTCCAAGAAAGAGGTTTGCAGAAAGCTGGACTCCAGAAACCTGTACGTTAACGTTGAGTACATTCTTAAAATTAACTAACAGAGGAGCTGTGTGTGTTGGGTGGAGGGAGTGGGTATAGAGGTAGGAAAGAGGGCAAAGAGAAGAAAAGGCATATAAGAACAGTGGTCATCTGTAAGGTACAAATATTCTGCAATTTAATCCTTACTCTCGCACCATGGGATTGGTCCTTCTATTAGTCTGAATTTTGCAGAGAAGTGAAATGATGCTCTTACTTACAAGAGTCAGAGCTGGAATTAGAAACCAGGTTTTTCTCATGCCATATTCTGGGGTCATTTCTACCACATGACAATGAGGACCTAAAATATCTTCAAGTTGTTGGGACATGCAGTTCATGTTCTATTGATAAGTATGTACTTTCAGGAAGAAATTGTGGTAGCCATGGGCTTTTTCTCTCTTTAGCTGTATCCTTGGAAGTTACCGTGAGATAATAGAAGTCCAGGAGTCTTGTCCTGAACAGTGGAGGTTGTATCCCTTACTAGAAGTGACAGAAGCAGGATAGGCCCCAGGATCAGGCTCATGATCAAAATACCTGAAGTGTGATGTGTCTGTGCTGGATGGGGTCCAGTTCAAGACAAGTTGCTTCTGCCTTCTAGGCATTAACAGCACACCTGATAACAAAGTTTGACACCTCCCTGAACAGAGTCTAAGAGCCAGCAGATTGATACTGACCACATAAGTGGTAGGATGAAAAAGACTTTGAAATTTTGAGGCATCCTTTTCCTTCCAAGTTTCAGAAGAACTTATTGAGGTAGAGGCTTTCAATTTATTTTGCTTCATTTGAACTTTACAACAATACTTTAGGGTGGAATAATTTTCATCCCATGTTGTTGTTGAAGAACACTGTATTTTTTAGGATTCTCCTACTAATAGGAGATTCAGAGAAACAACCAACAGGATGTAGTATATGAATATTGAGAGAGAGAGAGACTGATTTTAAAGAATTGGCTTATGTAATTATGGAGGCCTGGTAGTCTAAAATCTGGAGGGTAGACCAGCAGGGGTAGGCCAGCAGGCTGGAGACCCAGGGAAGCATTGCAGTTGGAGTCCTGAGGCAGTCTGCTGGCACAGTTCCCTCTTGCGGGGTGGGGGTCAGTCTTTGTTCTATTAAGAATTTCAGTTGATTGCATGAGGCCTACCTACATTATGGAGGGTACTCAGCTTTACTCAAAGTCCACCAATTTAAATATTAATCTCATCCAAAACCACCTTCACAGAAGTATCCAGAATAATGCTTGATCAACTATCTGGGCACTGTGGCACAGCCAAGTTGACACATGAAGTTAACCATCACAAAAACTATGCTTGAGAAAGTTTCCTGCCATGCTGAGGTCACACAGCAGTGAGAGGCAGGGCTGGGATTTAACCAAGGTCTTTGGTTCAAACACTTGCTATAGTCCACAATAGTAAATCAGAGAAAGGTATATGTTATTTGCGGAGAGTCACATATTGATTAGATGACATATTCATGGGGCCTTCATTTATTCTTCAGAAAGTCTTTATGGAGTGCTATTGTGGTCCATGCTGTACTAGACTAGGATCTCTACCCCTGGAGAGTGAGCAAGTGACTTTTGTGAAGCCTGCTTCTTATCATGATAGGCTGGGCCTTGGAAGTATATAGTGAGCTTTGGAAGCCAGGTCAACCATAATGTGCTATTTGAGAATCTTTCATCAAGCAGGTACAATTTTCCAGATGAGTAGTGTGCTACAGAGGGCCTCACTGTATGTTCCGGGAACATTCCTAGAATATGCAGGTGAAGAAGGATGAAACCCCTTTCTTGGGAATCTTGAGAATAGGAGAGACTCCCACATTAGGACCCTGTGAGTGATAGGGCTGGGGGTAGGGAGTGAATCAGATGATCTTCGAGTGGGCCCTACTACTTCATGGACTCTTCAGGGCTTGCCAACCTCAAAAACAGCTCCTCAGCACTGACAGCCACGTATTTTATGAATTTCACTTGCTCCTCATCCCAATAGAACCCAATTAAGAATGCTTGGGGGCCAGGCGCAATGGCTCACACCTGTAATCCCAGCGCTTCGGCCTCTCGAGTTGAGAGAATTGCTTGAGACCAGGAATTTGAGATTAGCTTGGGAAACATAGCAAGACCACATCGCTACAAAAAAAAAAAAAAAAAAAAAAAAAAAAAAGGTTAGCAGGGCCTAGTGGCATGCACCTGTAGTCCCAGCTACTGGGAAGGCTGAGGTGGGAAAATCCCTTGAGCCCAGGAGTTCGAAGCTGTAGTGAGCTATCATCGTGCCACTGCACTCCAGCCTAGGTGACAGAGAGAGACCCTGCCTCCAAAACACTTGGGCAAGGATGGAGAGACTCCCCTCTCCCAGACCTAGAATGCTTGCTCCTCAGCCTCACTTCCCCTGTTTCTGTCCTCATGATGTCCCCAACCTGCCACCTCTGAGTCTCTGGCCCTATCTTTTTTTGTGTTTTTATTTATTTATTTATTTATTTATTTATTTATTTATTTATTTATTTTTTTGAGACGGAGTCTCGCTCTGTCGCCCAGGCTGGAGTGCAGTGGCGCAATCTCGGCTCACTGCAAGCTCCGCCTCCTAGGTTCACGCCATTCTCCTGCCTCAGCCTCCGAAGTAGCTGGGACTACAGGCGCCCACCACCACGCCTGGCTAATTTTTTGTATTTTTTAGTGGAGACGGGGTTTAACCGTGTTAGCCAGGATGGTCTCGATCTCCTGACCTCGTGGTCCGCCCGCCTCGGTCTCCCAAAGTGCTGGGAATACAGGCGTGAGCCACCGCGCCTGGCCAAATCTGATCTTCTCTTAAAGAGAGTTTGTGGAAGGCATCCTCTGTCTTCTGTATTACAATCTCACTGGTCAGAACTTGGTCTCATAGCAATTGTGAGCTACCAGGGAGTCTGGGATGGTGAATATTGTAGATTTCTAACTTCTTTAGTTGAGAAAGGCAAGGGAGAATGGGTTTGTCAATGGCTTCTGGAAACCTATTTGCAGGGTCTGCTGAAGAACAGAGCTCACCTTGCCAGTGGAGCCTTGATATGAGAGAGGGAATGGAAGGAGGTAAAAGTGGGGTATTATGCCAGGGAGAGCAATCCCACAGTGACCAAACAGCAGCTCCCTGCTGCAGGGCCCTCGGTGGCTTGGGTCAAAACAGCGTGGCCTCTACCGAGAGGCCCAGCCCTAAGACAGCTCCTTCTGGCAATCAGCTCTAACCAGCTGCTGCCAAAGAGGTAAACACATTCCAAGTCCTTGAGTCCCTGCTGCACTGTAACTGTGGTTAAAACACAACCCCGCCTCTACCAGTTTGGGCTAATGGAAAGTTCACTATAGTTGTGTTTTAATGATGATTTGCAATTATCCGTGCCCCCTCCCATTCATGGTGAGATGAATACCTAAACACTTATGTTGTCTAACCATATAAGTATTTTGCATCTCACGTGTATCATTTTAAGTTCATTTCATTCTCCAATCCTTGGGAACCATGAAGGATAACACATTACATTCTCTTTTTTTTTTTTTTTTCCTCTGGAAGATCATGCATTACATTCTCTTTTTTTCTCTGGAAGGGTGGCCCTTAAACCAAGCCATTTCCCTAAGCCCCTTTGGTGAGGTGGAGAAACAGACAACCACTAACACAGAACAACCACTGAACACCCAGAAAACTGTATACAGGTCATCACCCAGTGGGGGCACCATTTGCTTGCAGAGGGAGCTGGGGAAAATAGGAAACAGAGAAGATCAAATACTCCCCGTGAGGGTGTTGCCAATCCCAGAGAGGACAATTGCTCTTGACCAAAGCAATCTCTAGTTCAGTCAAGGAGACAGACCACAATCACATTTAAAAAAAAAAGAAAAAAAAAAACTAAAAGGAAATTTTAAAAGTATGAATAAGAGCTATTGTAAACTGCTCAAACTATGCATACAAGCAATGAAGTAAGATGAATTGACTGGCACTGAATTGGAAAAGCTATACAGAGGCAGGGAGTGTGGAACATAATTTAATAAAAATAAACTTAAAAAAATATATATACACTCCCAAAAAAGAAATGGAAAAGTTGTTAGGGCGTGGACCAGGACTCCTAATTAGCTGTTCTGTTGTGCCTGATTTCGCTCCTGTCTTGCCCAGCACCCCTTGGGACACACTGTCCAGTGCAGGGACACTTTGGGGAGGGACAGGGGATTCCTTGGCACCGGGACCTTCACCTCCGAGCCGGCCTCAGACCAGGCCATTTGCCCGTAGCCCAGAGGAGGAGCCGGGGAGAAACCCGCTGCCCAGGTGGCCACTTTTGCCTCTTTGACCCTTCCATGTTTCCAAAACAGAAGGGGCCCTGAGAACGCTCCCTGCCAAAGTGGGGAACAGCTACCCTCATTGTACGCCTCGCCCTGCCGGTGGCGCTCTCCCCCCGCCTGCGTTCGGTCTGAAAGTGTGAAAATTACAAATCCCAAGAAACTGCAATCAGAAGTCTACCTAGGGAAAATTCAGAGTAACCTTGCCATAAATATCCCGCTCCAAGACGCCTGACGTCAGAGCGGGGCGGGCGGACGGGCGCGAGGCCGGGCCTGGAGGGGCGGCAGCCGCGGCTTCCCGGGGATAGCGCGGAGCACGCAGCAGCGAGCGGAGCGCGGGCGGCGGCGCCGTACCTCGGGCTGCGGGAGCGCGGGCGCCCTGGGGTCCTCGGAGTAAGTGCGGCCGGCCCTGGCGCTCCCCGTCTTGGGGCCCGGGCCGCGGGGAGCCCTCTCCGCTGGGCTCCCACACTTCTCTCCCTCTGCTTTCTTTAGCATGCCCCGCGGGGCTTGGGGAGGCAGCAGCTCCGCAGGCTGGCGGTTTTGTTTCTCCAAAGTGTTTGCAGGAGCCGCCGACCCCGGAGTGGGCTCCCAGGGCCTGTGTGTGTGTGAGTTGTGTGTGTGTATGAGTGTGATTGCGTGTGTCTGTACTGGCACATCTGGACATAGGAAATGTCTTTGGAAAACTTTTTAAAAATGTTTTTTGCGGCTTTGAAACCTGACCCCTGGTTGTCACAAGTGGACAAACACAGAAGATACCCCGCAAAACTGACAACTTTTTGGTGGTGGCTTTTCCGGGTTCGGCTTGAACCTTCACTTGGCTGGGCTGAAGTCTTCACAAGCCCCCAGCTCCCACTTGCAGGCCTGGCCTCTGGCCAGTGGGCAGGGCAGCCGTAAGGTTCTTGTTCTCAGTGGCAGTGGGACCCTGGGCGGGGGAAGGAGCATCTCAGGAAAGGGGTCCCCGGACTCTGGGGCTCTCAGCACCTGCGGTCGCAAACCAACCTCATGCCCTGACTTTACCAGGCGTCGGGACTCTGACTTAACCGGGGAATGAGGGACTTGGTCTGGCGGCAGGTAATTTTGTGAAGAGGATGAGAAGGAAGAGGGGGAGGTGGTGGTGATGGCCAGGACGCTGTGGCCCTGTGTCCAGCCGTAGCTTGGGAGTGGGATGGTTGGTTCTGCCACATGGCCACGGTGAGGTACGTGCCAGGTTCTCCAGGAGTGCCGCGTGTGGTGCCCCAAACAAGATGCAAGCTCCTAACATAAAGAGACGTGTCTGAGCTGTGGGGTGGAGGAAGGGGGGCGGTGGGGGAGAGGGAGATTTTTATCAAAATTGAACACAGATTGCTGAGATCTGGGCTTGATTTAACTCTTCTCTCTCTGCCTCGGCCACTTCTCCACAGTTTTGGAGTGGATTTGGAACGTTTCTCGGAGGGTTAGAGGAAAATCACACCTCTCCGGAAAAGAGTCCCCATAGGTTTTCCCTTGATGCCCACGTGGGAATGAAAGCAGCTTCCCATCTTTAAAAAGTTCAAAGTCTTGTGTTTTCCCCCTTCTGAGTTTGGTGTTAGTTTCCTGAGTTTCTTTGCAAAGCCAGCTGAAGCGGGGGATGGATTTTCCCTAGGGCCTAGGGCGGAAAGTGTGCTCCACGGAGAGTAGGGGAAAAAAGCAGCAGTGAGGCTGTATCGATCCATCATCCCTGAGTAGCACAGTGCCAGGCACTGCCTGTCAATAGCTGGGTTCCACAAACGAGTGACCACAGACAGACTGAATTTTCAGCTTTGAGCTAGCCAGGTCTCTGGTTTTGTATTTTGCAGTAGAGCCAACCTACAATGTCTGGGTGGGAGGAAGATTACTGGACTCTCCCTCTGTCCTAGAAAAATGAGAAAATGAAGGGACAGGGAGGAAATCTGGATGTAAAAACAGACCCACAGGAAGTTAAGATTCAGGAAGGATTTTAGAAATTATATAAATTGAACCCCAGGGAAGCTCCATAAAAGATGGAGCAGGCAGCAATGTCAGAAACAGACTCATTTAACTTCAGGAGTACGTTGTCAACTGAAGTGTAATGAAGGAGGAGGAAATCATCCCATAGGCAATGTAAACAAGGGTGCATGTAAACAGGAGTGACTGGTCCCCATGAGATGCACATGCCTATGTGTTTTTACACATACATGACTGTGTGGTGATGGCCATGGCCTTAGACATGGGAGGATAAATGGTCTATTTCTTCATCTGTGCTGGGAACTCCATCTAACCCCCATTTCTTCCTTTATGCAAACAACTGTGCTATTATTGTCTTGCTCCCTGGTAGTTGCAAACTCTGGCTCCTAACTCCCAGCTGAGTTTTCAGAGCTTTTCCTCCAGCGCCTCGGATGCTGAGGGAATACTCGTGCCCCCATCAGGACAAAAAGAGGAGAGAACATTCTCCTGGGCATTAGAACTTAGAGAGTCAGGGGCTCAAGAAGGCGGAGGCTGTGCAGGCAAGACCAATAGGAAGGCCTGTAAATGATTTTGTTTTTGGTGAGCGTGGAGGAAGTTGAAATACTACTGCTTGCTGTGAGAACATGTTCTCTCCCCAGTCTTCTTTCCCGACTGTCTCCAAAGTTTTTGATGCAAAACAGATTAAACTCCCCATTACTAAAGAGCCTTGGATCCAGGTGTAAAGAATGAAGATAAAGGGTAAGTACAGGCAGTAGAGAAAGCATAGAGATAATGAAAGATGAGGCTTTCTTATTTGATTTTACTAGAGCCAATGGAAGTAACAAGTTTAAATGTTCTCATTCATTTCCATTATTTAAACATAGAAGACTACCCAGGGACAGAAGGGACCCCTCGGAACAGGATTCCCAGAAATACTCTTATCCCAGCATACAACTCCTCAGGGACAGGTGAGGGGCAAGAACTGGGTTTTCAACTCTTTCTACATGTGGGGTTTCTGGGAGTGCTGCATGTGGGATCAGTGGAGTCCTGATGCTTCTGGGCTTGTACTAGGAGACATTTCACTATGGCCGGGATGAATTCCCAGGCCATGGATGCCTAGGCTGACATTGAAGCCTTCTCATGGCTCATTCTATCAGTTCAATCTTCTGGCCAGCTCTTTGGTCATCTTTGAGATTAGATTAAGTAGATGGGATGCATTCCAAGACATCCTTGAAGGTCCAGAGGGCAAACACAGCTGGCAGAAAGAACAAGTTGAAGGATATCCTTGGCTTTGATAGCGGATGACCCTCTAGATCTCAACAGCCAGAGACTCTGTCAAGGATCCTGTGTCATTCAGCCCTAGACTTCAGAGGCAGCCCGACAACAATGGAAAGAGTGCAGATTTCTGATCAGCTGCCTGGAGAGAGAGAACTGTGACCTAAATACGAATTAGTAACCTGGGCTACATGACTTATTCCTTCTGAGCTTCAGCTTCCTCATCTGTAAAATAAGGATAGTATTTCCCTCCCCAGGTCATTATGAAAACATTTATGCACAAGAACTAAGAACAGAGCTCAGAATGTTATAAGACCCTTCATAAAGGGAGTGCTGTATTTTTATTTTTCAGTTTTTCAGCCATCACAAGCCAGTATTGCTTGGAAAGAACCTCTCCCCAAATCTAGCTACATATTTTCCATGATTGAAGGCTAGTGGGTGGAGTTTCTAGGGCTCTGATCATCCTTACTTCCTTCCTCTAGAAAAGGTGACCAATGAAGATATTCCATGAGCATCCCTGGTCCATTATCCTGAAGTGTGGGAGAAGAAACCAGGGATCCTGGATGTCTGGCCTAGAAATCACTCTTGTGTTTGTGCTCTTTAGGGAGGGAGAAGGACAGAAGAGCAGGTTGTATAAGTATGGTGGGGAGGGGAAAGGTAGGGAGGTGGGGGTAGGGCAGGAGGGTCAAGGACCAATTGGATCTTGAAGGACAAGCCTGAGTCAGAGAGCGGGTAGGCAGCCACTCCTTGTCAAGGGTGCTCAGGTCAGAGTAATGGGGGAATCTGATGGGTTGTAAAGAATGAAAGCTTTAGTCATTGCAAACATCTCCAGTGGGTATGGGGTGGGAGGCTGCCCCCTGAACCCTGATTGATACATTATCCAAGGGAGTGACTACTCCAAAGGAACAAAGGAACATCTGATGTTAGAGAGCAGCTGCAGGTCCTCTTGGCCCATCTCAAAGCTTGTAAGTTATCCTTCAAGTTGACATTTAAGATTTTGAAGATCACATTTGTTTTTGTTTTGTTCAAGCTCTCTCTTTAACCATGGCCTGGGATGACTTTTAAGCTTTTAAGAGGCTCAACCAGTGGTCAACTTCTCTTGAGATGGCCCAGAGCGGGGGTCAGTGAATTCCTCACTCTTGGCAGCATCTATTTCTCCAACTCTCTCCACATTTTTTGGTTTGTTTTTTGTTTCATTATGAGGTTCTAAAACTGCACAGTCAAGATGCTGTGGGGGGAGGAAGTAAGTGCCTGTTCTTGGAACCTGTGCAGCGTTATGCTAGCACTGGCCAAGACTTATCAGACTATGGTTATTAATAGGTGTTATGGGTTTCTTTCTGGGGTCCCCCTCCAAAAAAAAAAAAAAAAAAAAAACCTGTAAAAAAAAAATGAACTTTAGGCAGTTTGATGTCTCTTTCAATCCTGGCCAAAGAGGAGCTGAATTATTTGTGGTACATCCTATGGTTCCAAGGAAGAGCTTTAGAATCAAGCAGACAGAGATTTGAGTTCTGGCACCACCAGGTCACAAGCTTGCTAACCTCTCTGAGTCTTCTTTATCTGTTAAATGAGAACAATAACTATTCTCATTCCCCAGGGTTGTTCTGAAAATGAAATGGAATGATATAAGGGAAGAAGCTAGCAAACTGCTCAGTAAAATGTTAATGCCATTCCCCTCTCCAGTTCTAAGTCCGTGAAAATACATGGGTTTAGACATTTGTCCACAGGTCAAAGTAAATAAGCCACTTATTCAAGGATTAACAACTGTGCTTGGAGGTCAGATATCTCAGCCTGGAGATGGAGACCCTTTATACAAAAGTGGGGCACAGAACAGTGCTCCCCATGCCAAGCAAATGGCAGCCCCATGTGACCCTCTATTGGAATAAAGGAAAGGCCACTAGCTCACTCACCCATGAATTTGGGCTATTTAGTGAGCTCTCCATAGAGCTTGTTTAAAAAGCTCAAATACTGTCCTGAGAATCAAGGTCAAACTGAGGACAGAAATCATTGAGGCAGTACCTAACATTAAAATCTAATAATGATGTCACAATGACAGCAGTATTTTAAATTTATATAACATTGTATCATTTGAAAGGTACATTGTCTCATTTAAACATCGTTGACAATCATATGAGATTGATATTAACCACATTTCACAGCCCAAATTCTGAGGACTTAAAAAACTTACCATATTTCACACCTTAAGTAAGTGGAATAAACAGAAAACAAACTGTTCCCCAAGCAGTGGGTCTCAACCCTGGCTGCACATTAGAACCACTTGGGGGAGCTTGTAAAAGTATCAATGCTTGGGCCCACCCCAGATCAATTTAATTAGACTCCTTGGGAATGGAACCTAGGCGTCCACAGTTCTGTAAGCTTCCCAGGTGATCTGAAGTCTAAGCTGAGAATCACTGGTCTAAGAGGAGTGAAAAGCACCAAAGTTAGGACCCAGGATACCAGGCATGGGAAAAAGAAACAGCCAAGACTTTGCTAGGATTTAAGCCCTATGAGGGTGCAGACTTCGTATGGTTCTCCCTGTATCCCTGGAGCCTAGGAGAGTGCCAGCTACAAGGTAAGTGCTCAATAAACATTGGGTAGATGAACAAATGAACAAGATACCATAGATTAGAAGTTGTCAATTTCAACAGTGAAACCCAGCTTGTCATCTTGTTTTATAGATAAAGTTTTATTGGAACACAGCCATCTCTGTTCATTTGTGCTTTGCCTATGGCTGCTTTCGTGCTGCAATGGCAGAGTTGAGTAGATGTGACAGAGACTGCATGGCCTACAAAGCTGAAAACATTTACCATCTAGCATTTCACAGGAAAGGTTTGCTGGCTCCTGCTCTGGATCCCAGACATGAACAGAGCAAGTATAGTAGCTTAGGGAAGGTCATTACTGCATGGTTGTTAAGAATATGGGTTCTAGAATCAGATAAACCTATGTATGATTCCTGGAACACTTACCTATTAAAAGAGCTTGCAAATTATTTCACCTTTCTGATTCTCAGTTTTCGCATCTGAAAAGTGGGGATGATAATAAAATACCTCCCTCATAGGATGACTGTGAGGGTTGTCAGCCCCTGGCGGAGAGTAACATTAGCTATAGCTATGGTAGTTGCTGTAGTTACTAGCAATCAGCCACATAGAGAACTAACTAGACAAAAGTCAAAATCTAAATCCAGTATCACAAGGTAGATCAAGGGATGAAGTAGGAAAAAATAGGCAGTCAGTAAGCTTGTGTGAAGAAAGACTAATGTGAGGTTTCTGAGATAAATGGTGTCCTTTTAAGACAACACAGATCAGGCCCCAGGAAGTGTGAGTGAGGTGCTTTTGTATGACCAATTGCTGTGTCGGCCAGCAATCCCCATCAGTCCTCAAGGGTTAACTTAAGTTTCATTGCACCAAATCTAGTCTCAAGAACAGTGCACCTGTATACATAGTTCTTTCTACCTGAAAGTCCTTGCCTCAGTCCTGGTCTTCCTGATCTACTCATCCTCCAAGGCCTGCTCAGGTGTCCCTTTTTTTCTCAAATTCCCTCTACAAGGCTCATTCCAACCCCCTTTTCCTCCTTATTCCCTTGAACCTGGCACACAACTCTGTCATCACATTGAACACATTGCATTACCGTCGAGGAAGGACCAAGTCTCCTTCATGCTTTCTACATGTTTACAGCTCATAAAAGTCAAATTGCATTGTAGAATCGACGCCTGGAAGCCAAACCATATCAACTAGGCCCTTAATCCAAGGCAATCATGTCTGAGTTTGAGGAATGAGTAGGACTTGCCCAGGTGTGATGGGCTTGCAAGAGCTAGTCTCCATAACCAGAGGGGCAGGAGCTACCCAGTTTATCGACTATGTGGATACTTTGTGTCCTCGTCTCCCCACTGTTTGGTGGCTCCTGCCCTCCACAACACTTCTAGGGGGTAGCCAGAGACAGGGAAAGATGGAAGAAACTTAAAACCAACTCTTTGATTTCTTGTCAGCAGATGTGGTGAAAAGTCGGGTTTTGTCTTCTGTAGGCTTTTCATGGATATGTGCCAAGATAATTGGGAGTTGATTTGGTATGTGCCAAGAGAATTGGGATTTGGCTCTTTCGTTAGCACCGTAATAGAAATATGGCCACAAATAATAGCAAACAAATAATGCACAGTTTTGCTGTTTGACTACAGAATGTGTTGCATAATTTTTATAGACTTTAGTGGCAGACTTATTTTGGTGGCAGATATATATTGTGTGTGGAATAATGTAAAAATGAAGTTCTATTCTGATGGTGAAGGGGAGGGCACAGAAAACTCTTCACCTTGAGTTAAATATTTCTTTTGATCCTCCCCAAATGAACGATTGGGAGCTGCCTCCTAAGAGGGGCAGGAGGAGAGGAAATGAAATACTATTTATCTATATGCTCCACTATACATGACACTAGGCAGGTCATTTTAAAAAATATATTCTTCATTTGATTTTTCCATATTATGAAGGTAATTCTTTCTTGCTTAAGCAAGTGAATTAATATCATGCAAAGATATATAAAGACAAGTAGAAATGTATTCACCCCCTTCTACACCCTGGTAATTAATGTTAATAGCCTAGTAATATATCCTGCTGTAACTTCATTTGTCCATACAAATACCTACTGGTGTGTATACAGGATGGAGGTATTTTGCCTGAGTATTTTTCACTGAAAGGGAATCTTATAGTACATGTTACTCTGTAGCATACTTTTCTTTCCCTTGACCATATGTCAAGGTCATCCTTACACTGGATGTAACTCATTTTTATTTTTTCTGATGTCTTTATGCCTAGACTTACACAGCTTTACATATTTGGGATCACATTGTTCCTGGTGAGGTGGTCATTTTGTCATCAGTCAGCTATTAAGTGTGGTTTCTTTCTGGATGATCACTAGATTGGGTCTCTGAGCTGCCAGATCAAGCATCATCCATCACCCAGGCAAGCTTTGCTTTGGCTCTTAGGCTGCGTGACGGATGTACACAGCCTGCTGACCACCCTGGGGTGTGACTACCTGGTGTGTGTGGCCTCCTTGTGTCTCCTGGGCCTGGGGTAGCTATCAGGCATCAGGCCCCTATGACTGCCCTTCCTGCTCATCAGAGTTAGGCTTACCTCCTTGGAGCTCCTTAATTACTGAATATGCGGGAAACATAGCAGGATGATCAATGAGATTGGAGAACAGTTTTGATGGAGCAAATCGGGCAGCATAGTATAATGGCCAAGCATGTGGGCCCTGCACTCAACTTGCCTGGCTGGGTCCACATCCCTGTGTAGTGGACACTGGGCTGTGCTCTCTGACCCCTTTGAGGACTGAGTCCCCAGCTGCAGGGAGTGCTGGACATGGTTAGCCTTTTTGGAGCAGCCCCGGCTAAAGAGACTTGCTGTGTCAGGCACTCCTGTCCATGCTCCTCTCCTGGGTCACCCTGAAACCAATGATGGTGGGGAGCTGTGACTACCTGGCCCCTCTGCCGCAATGTGGGACAATTCTAACGGGCGTGCCAGCTTCAGGGCTCCCTGTGGGTTTGGCGGAGGCCTTAGCTGAGGCTACATCAGAGCTTCATTTCTCCCTCTGCCCAGTGCTGCCTCCAACCTGCCCTCCTGCCTGGAGGACTTGACTCGAGGAACCCTTCCTAACAAGCCTGCTGCCCACTGTACTCCATCCCAGAGTCTGCATCCCAAGAAGAAACCCTACCTACTTTGCCATTTAATAACTTGCCCAACAAGTTATGAACCTTGTCTGGGCTTCAGTTTTCTTATCTGTCAAATGGAGATAATAACATTTCCTTCCTCATGGGGTTGTTGAGACAATTAAATGGGAAGATGCATGTTAAGTCCCTGGCACAGTACCTGGAAAAATGCTACAAGTTTTAGCAATTTTATATAAAATCGTTTTAGAGGAGTTCATTATTTTCTAGGTAATTGTTGGTAGCTATGTCAGGATATGAAAAAGTACATTTTTCCCCCTGTGCTTTGTGTGGTTTTTAGGCAACCCTCAACTGATTTCTCTACAAATAGAGCTGTGGCAAAACTGGGCAGACTGAGTGAATGTCTTGACTTTTATTGGCAAATTTGCTTTTGTTCCCCAACCCCATGCTAATCTGAGGGGTGTGGATGTATCTGGGTGGAAGCATAATGAGATGGCCTTGTTGCCGACCTGCCTGGAGACAAGGGGCTGGACAAGTTGACTTTTGGGAATTCCTCTCTACCTCACCTGTGCTTCTGCAGTATGAAGGGGGTGGTCCCAAGGGACCCTGCTGGCCCACTGGGAGCCGCCATCCTGCCTGCGTGCTTATTCATGTCATGACTGCATGGCTGTCTGCCAAATCTGATTCCTCCTGATGGGTGTTTGTTGCTTGCTCCTTTGTCCCAAGCACAGGCGGTCTTTGGTGCTGTGCTTTGAACATTCCGCCTTTCAGGTTATGTACACCCATTGTCCATCCAGAATGCCAAAGCAAAGCTTGCCTGTGTGATGAATGCTTGATCCGCCAGACTCCGGGATCCAGACTCACAGCTCATGTCTGACCACATTCCCGGGGGGTCAGTGTTAACACTCCCTTCCTTGTTTCCTCCCAGACACCAAAGCCCCCTGCCTCCAAGTTCCCTTGACCAGGGCAGGGAGGGGAGAAAGTGATTCCAGGTCAGTGGGAAGATACGTCAATATTTTCACAGTGCCAGAGGCAGCTCTGAAGTTATTTTGAAACAAATTCAGAGTTTCTGTGGACTTTGGGCTGCAGAAGGATCAAGCTATTATAACACTCTATTTCTTTTGTAATCTCTGTCAGTGTATTAATCAGACTGTTCCCCACCAGGAAGCATTGCACTAGCAGCTGCCCAGAGATAGTTAGGAACTGCTCGGCCCTTCCAAGACACAAAGTCAATAAGTTACCATCCTCGCTGCCCTGAACAGAGGTAATGTTATCGATGTCTGTGGCTGCCTAAATGGAAGCTGAGGCTGACAGCTGATAAACAGACCAGGTTTCTCAACTGTTAGAGGCAGCATAAAGCTGTTTTTCAGAGCACAGGCCCTGGATTCAGATGGCCTGGATTCTGATTCTGGCTCCACTTCTTGCTAGCTGTGTGACCTTGCACAAGTTACTTTATCTCTCTGTGCCTTAGTTTCCTCATCTGCAAAGCAGATTGTTTTGGAGGTAAAGTTAATACATTACTTGGTTAAAAAAAAAGAAAAAAGAAAGTCCTTGAAATCATGTCTGGCACATAGTAAGCACTAAGAAATGTTAGTGAGGATGAAGATGATGATGGTGGTGGTGGTGGTGAAGATAGTAGAGAACAGAGAGTGCATCTCATTAGCTGTTTCCCCAGCATCCTGCATAGTGTCTGGCACAGAGTTAGGTCTCAAGAAACATTTATTAAATAATACATCCCAGTGCCTTTTGCTGTCTACTGCCTACCTAGTCCACTCAACTCTCTACCAAAGAAAGAAATATACTTTCCATTAAAAATTTTTATTTTGTCTTAACTTTTTATTGAAGCCCAACATAAATGAGAAAAAATACACAATTTTTGAGGATGTAGCTCAATATATTTCCATAAACTGAACATCCACCACCCCAGCCCTGCCCAAGAAGCCCCCTCGTGCCCCTCTCTGGTTACTACCCTTCCATGATCCTGACTTCTAGCACCATAGATTAGTTTTGCCTTTTCCTGCTCTTCATATAAATGGAATCATACAGTGGGTGCTTATTTGTGTCTGGCTTCATTTGCTCAGCATTTTGTTGTTGTGTAGATCATTCATTCTCATTGTTGCGTAGTAGTCCATTATGTGAATACAACATACTTTACTTTTTCCATTTTTCTGTTGATGGGCATTTGAGTGGTGTCAAGTCTGGGGCTGTTGTGAGTAGCCTTGCTGTGAACATTTGTGCACTTTTAGGTGAACACATGAATGCGTTTTTCTTGGTATATTCCTGGGAGTAGAATTGCTAGAGCCTTCAGCATGCATATGTTCAGCTTTAGGAGGTATGGCCAAAGTTTTATAAATGAGTTGTGCCATGTTTTGCATATTCTTGACAGATGAAGAAGCTGTTCCAACTCAATAGTGCAGAGGCTTGACAGTGATATACAGGGATTCCTGAGACGTTCACAGCTCCCAGGCTCTTTCTAGCTGAGAGTTCACATGTTCTAGAAAGTCTGCTGGGGTAGGTAGTCCTCTAAGAAGCAGGCAGTGTGCCAGGCATTTTCGCTTACACTGTTTCACCAAATCCTCACAGCAATCCCATGAGATGGGGAGTGGGAGTATCACTCCCTTTTCACAGATGAGGAGACTGAGGCTCAGATGAGGAAACTTGAGAGACTTGCCTAAGATGTTAGAAGCAGAAACTGTCAGGGTCAGAATATAAAACAGGGATGCCCGAATCTGAAGCTCATGCATATTGGATCCCATGGTGACTCGCTTTAGCCTCAGTGCTAACACTGGAAGGAAACACAGACACAGACTTGGGTGCTGTCCCCCTAGAACCTGTGCAGGCTGTGGGGTGGGGGCTGTGAGGAGAAGTCCTGTAAAGAGGAACAGACATAAGCAACTCAGTGACCTTGGGAAGCCAAATTGTTTTCCTGCCCAGGGGCTGCTGGAGAGTCATGAATTTCCTGGAAGGCAAAGGCGACCATATAATTTACTTTCTAAACCAGGACTCTCAAGAGTGAAAGGGGCATTAACTGGATGGGACACTGGAGGGAATAGTCACAGACTGAGACTGTCCTGGGCAGCCTGGGACAATGCTCACCCTCTGGAAGTCTGTGTGGGCATTGCTGTCCTGGTCAGTGGGGCTGTGTGGGTTATTTTTAACTCTTTCAGAGCACTGTCTGTCTGGAGTTTGGCCTGATGTGGCATCCTCCCCAGCCTCCTCTGTTTATGGGAAGAGTCTGGCAGAGCCTGGCTTTTTTCTTCCCCTTTCCACACCATTTCCTGTTCAAATGGCGCTCTGACGAGGTGAGCTTCTTTTCTCAGATTCAGTTGCTGTTGAGACTCTTCTGTTAACAGATTTGATACTCCTAGAAGGTTAGGACTGTGCCTAAGTCACTGCAGTGTTTACAGTGTCTGGTGGCAGACACAGAGTTAGCGCTCAGGGGATACTTGTTGACTGTATGTATCAATTATCCCTGTGTGTATTCATTTACTCAGTCACTAGCTCACTCATTCATTCATAGTCCATAAACAAGAACTTGGTTTAGATTCTTTCCTTTTTTTCTGAGCTGACGCCTATTGCACTGGTCCAGAAAGAGAGATCAGTTCTGTGTGTGTGTGTGTGTGTGTGTGTGTGTGTATGCATGCATGCGCACATACACATACAAAGGACAAAGAATAAAAGGGATCAACTTAATTAGTAACAAAAGATGTGGTATCATGGGACTTGGTGTCAGGACTTAGGTTTGAATTCCAGCCTTCCTCTAATTAGCTGCACCGCCATAGATGAGCTTCTGAGCATTTCTAGTCATGTGTGAAATGGAAATGACAGTAATACTGGTGGTACCAGATTGAAGTGAGCCGGAAGGTGTAAAGTATATGAAAAGTGCTTGGCACACTGCAAAGTGCTGTGTAAGTCTTATTTGTTAATGCTTGTGGTCACTCAACAAACATCTGGGAAGCTGCCTGGTATGAGACACTGTGTGCTGAGTCAGGTGTTGTGGAGTGAATTCTGGTGAGCAAAATTCCCGCCCACCTCCAGAGCTCCAGTCTGTTAAAGTGAGGTTGACTGCATATGAGCCAAACCCCTGTGACTGGGAATTTTTATTAATAAGAAAGGAATCAGCAAATTCCTCCAAGGCCCTAAGGATTTGATGTGGGTTTCCAAGATAAGGATGCAAAGGATAATTAATTTCTTATTAAGCCCACAGCTGCATTTTCACCAGAACAACAGCAAGAAGCATCTAAGGGCTTGTGTGCTTCCAGGAGAAGTTTTGGTATAGCACAGTGATTTCTAGTGCAGATTCCGGGAGTCAAACTAGTGGGACCTAAATTCAAATTTCACCACTTGCTAGGAGTGTAGTCTTGGAAACTGAGCCTCAGTTTCCTCATCTGTAAAATGGTGATGGTAATGATACCTACTCCCAAATGAGGATAAAATTAATATATGTAAAATACTTAGAACAGTGCCTGGAACATAGTATGTACTCCATAAATATTTATTATTATTTGCCACATAGTTTTCTTTCCATTGGAATGCTAGGTATTATACTACATGGTGTTACTGCAACACATGGATGAGGAAATATTCTGAGTTGGGGGAAGTCAGGGAAGGTTTCATGGGAAAGAAGTATCCTAAGGTTATTTTTTTTTTTTTTTGAGACAGAGTCTCGCTCTGTTGCCCAGGCTGGAGTGCAGTGACACGATCTCGGGTCACTGCAACCTCTGCCTCCTGGGTTCAAGTGATTTCCCTGCCTCAGCCTCTGGAGTAGCTGGGACTACAGGCACCCACCACCACACCCGGCTAATTTTTTGTATTTTAGTAGAGACGGGGTTTCACCATGTTGGCAGGATGGTCTCCATCTCCTGACCTCATGATCCACCCGCCTTGGCCTCCCAAAGTGCTGGGATTATAGGAGTGAGCCACCGTGCCCGGCCCCTAAGGTATTTTTAAGGTATCTTTTATAACCTGAACAAGACTGGCTTATTTCTACCATTACGCTGTTCTTAAAGCTCAGAGAAAATTCAGTGTGGAAGAATTTCCTTCCCTTAAGAAACATAAATCAAATGCCTCCTGAAATTTTGAAGTTGAATAACATGTGGTCCTTACTCTCAAGCATTTCCAAACTAGTTGATCTATTTTGCCACCATCCTTGAGCCAGAGACAGGGGACATATAGATGAGTCCTCAAGGTACTCAGCAATGTCATGGGGGAAGGATCTAGAAGTGAAGATTATTGCTATAAGAGGGAGATGCTCAAAGTGGATGGAAATTAAACAAGTCCGTCTTGCTCAGAATGTAAAAGATATTTGAAAAATATCTTAGGATGCCTCTTTCTCATTTAAGAGTATTTGGGAGTAGAAGGACATTGTGGAGTCTCCTTCCAGGTATGTTATTAGAGGAGCCATTTCATCTGTTGATATGGTCAATACGTGGTGCTTCTTGCAGTAGGAAGATGGACAAATGGTTCCTTTGATTCCTCCAGCCTATCTGCTATACCCATATAGCTATGTGCCTTGAAGGTGAAGGGTATGATGAAATCATTCAGAGCTGCTCCTAGACAATGACAACAAGGTCTAAAAAGTGCATTCCCCACATTGCCCAGGAATGGCTGGAATTTCTGCTTCATGTGATTTATCTCTAATATTATGGCTTATTTAAAAAAAAATCCCTGTCTCATAGCCAGGATGCAAAAGGGAGTCTTCCCTCTGCCTCCATCCTCAACCCTTCTTTCCTCTGCAAGTTTTCCAGTGAGGAATTAAAATAAAAAATCCTTTAGTGTCTTAAAGCATGTAAATGTAATGCTAACATTAAAATGATGCCATAGAATCATAAACATATGAAAAGATGCTTAACCTGACTTGGAATCAGGGAAATACATAAATTAAAATCACAAGGAGACTCTGTTTTATACTCATCAGATTGGCAAAAAAAAAAAAAAAGAAAAGAAAAAATCATGCTCATCATACTGGATGTGGAGCCAAAAATAACTCCTCTTCACTAAGGGTGGAATTAAACTGATAGGAACACTTCAAAGGGCAATTTGACACTATCTGGTAAAACTGAAGATGCATTTACTGTAAGACCCAGCAATTTCACTCCTAGGTAAGTCCAGACAAAGTCTAATACATATGGAAAGAAGATATGTTCAGGAATATTCACTACAGC
Organism: Homo sapiens; assembly: GCF_000001405.40. Taxonomy (NCBI): domain Eukaryota; kingdom Metazoa; phylum Chordata; class Mammalia; order Primates; family Hominidae; genus Homo; species Homo sapiens. Next base: position 39,807,082 of record NC_000006.12, read on the forward strand.
ATGGTTTTTTAGAGCTAAAAAGCAACCCATATATCCATTATCAACCAGAAGACTGGTTAAATAATTTGATACATACATACTTACGGTGGAATACTATAGAACACAGCAAAAAAAAAAAAAAGGGTGCTAGACATTGTTAAAGACAGATACTAGTGACATATAATCTCAGAAACGATATGAAGTGGAAACAATATTAAGCAAGTTGCAGAAGGATGCCATTGCTAGTAAGTTAAAATCATGTAAAACAATACTCTCTTTTATTTACAAACATTTATATGTATAATTAAAGCATAAAATTATGTTTGTGAACAACCATAAAATTCAGAGAAGCGGCTCCTTCTAGGAAAGGCAGTAAGGCAGACCAGGGGAGAAGCACATAGGGGCTTCATTTATATCTGTAATATTTTATTTCTTAGACTGAAGGGTGGGTATACAAATGTTTATTTTATTTTTGAGACAGAGTCTCACTCTGTCACCCAGACAGGAGTGCAATGGCGTGACCTCTTTTCACTGCAACCTCCGCCTCCTGGGTTCAAGTGATTCTCCCACCTCAGCCTCCTGAGTAGCTGGGATTACAGGCGAGCACAACTATGCTTGGGTGATTTTTGTATTTTTGCTAGAGATGGGGTTTTGCCATGTTGGCCAGGCTGGTCTCGAACTTCTGACCTCAAGTGACCCGCCCACCTCGGCCTCCCAAAGTGCTGGGATTATAGGCTTGAGCCACTGCACCAGGCCTAGTTTATTATTATTTATATTTTTTAGATATCTAAAATATTTTTTGGTTTAAGCAAAGCTAATTTTAAAAACTAGGCACAGACTCCTAGTTCATCTCCCTTGACCATTGGTGAGTAGTTATGCTGAAGAGTGAACAGGAAGCTGTCTCCTATTGGCTGTAGGTCCATCTGGAAAATTTCAGGTAGATGTGACATCTCCAAATAGGCTCTTCTCCAAACATCTATATCTCATGTGCACATGGTAATCACTGTTTTTGACCTTTTTTTTTTTTTTTTCTAATTTGCGGATTTGTTGGGATCATATTTTGATATACTGGTGGAGATGCCAAATAGGGTCGTAGTAGTATAGGTTGGTCCAAAAATTATGGCAAAAACCATGATTACTTTTGCACCAACCTAATAGAAACCAAACAGCAACTCTGTGGCTCATTCCCACACAGCAAATTCTGGAGCCTTCTTTCTCCCATCCCTTCCTTGAGAGCTACTGGGATTTCTTGCAAGTGCTAGAAAGTGACCACAGGCTGTCCTTTTGATAAGGACATGGGACCAGATAATGTCAAGTGCTTCTCATTGCTACAGGGTGAAAGAATTTTCCTCTCTCCACCATCACTGCCTTGTCGCCATGAAGTCCTCCTTCCCTTCTGATTTTCATTCATATACAGCCATTGCTCTGTTCCTTTTGCGAACACCCCAGCCTGAGGTGGGAAAGTACCCACCACTGGGAATTGCTTCACTTTCTTTTACTTGACAATGAAGCCATGCTGACTTCTTCTCTGGTGTCTTATTGAAGTGCAGTCGATTCAGCTCTTTCATGTCCCTTACTTTTTATGATAGCTTCCTTCCCTTGAAATCTGGTCTGAGCCCAATCCAAGTGACATACACTGTGTTGGCCCTGAGGGCCCTTGTCCTTGTTATATGGCCTTTGTCCTTGACCCAGTCCGTGAACCTTAACTCTCAGTTCAGCAGCAGTGAACCCCTTATCGGGTTGGCGTGGTGCTTGCACTGGGGACTAAAGTTGGGGGTGGCTTTCCTCTCTGCATCCTGCTTATTTATACATCGTGTAATTCACCTTAATTAAAAGACAAAAATCATGAAATTGGGACTTGTTTGAGCAAATCATGGGAGCGTGGTTTCTCTAAGAATGTGTATTGTTGTCTCTGTCAGTCAGGCTCCAGGCAGGAAGCAGTTGGCACTCCCAAAAGGGTTTGATGGATAAGAGTTTAATGAGAAGGCTATTTACAGAGGAGGGAGTAGAGAGATGGTGACGCACTCAGGAAGGAGCAGCACCAGGAAGCCGTTAGTGCTTCTCCACCTGAAGATGTGAGAGCAAGGAGTGGTGTCGTCAGAGCTCTGCCTGCTGGAGCTGTGCAGGAGGGACCACTTGGCAGGAGCTGTGGATCCAGAGGGACACAGCCTCTGCCAGACTCATGGCTTAGCAGAAACGTAATGGGGGAGTGGGCACTCTGAAATTTCAGGGACTTGGCACCTCCCTGAGTTTCTTAATTTACCTAGTTCATTGCTCTTCCGTGACCAACCTCACAGGCCTCAGTTCTTTGGCTCTCATTCATGTCTCATTAAAGTCACGTACCAGGGCTGCTTATAGACCTGGCTATCTGCTCGGTTTCTTCTAGCTGGGGAATGGTGAAATGTTCAGGAGGAAAGAAATCTGAAGAGGTCATCTATTGTAGCATTTCCCAAACTGCCTTTGATGGAACACTAAGTTCTCACAATGGTTGTCCTAGGGAAAAAGAAAGTTCTGTGGTTAAAGAAATTTAAGTAGCCCTTTTCCATCTCCCCTACTTTTCCCCCTAGAGAGCCACAATGCTCAGAGAAGCACTGCAGTAAAAAAACAAAAACAAAAAACACCCTAGTTTTACGATGTCTAAACTAGCGCTTCTCAATTTATCTAAAGGGACTTTTTCCATGGTATACCCCACAGAACGAGTGTTTTGAGGTTTGTATCAGAATTTATATTCAGCTATAGCCACATGGAACAGAAACCTGGCTAGAGTTGTTCTGTCAACTGGGGTTCTTTATTTTTCTTACACAACCAGTTCAGCAGACACACTCCAGAGTTGGTAGGGTGGTTCCACAGTGCCATCAGGGACCCAGGCTCCCTCTCTCTCTCTCTTCTTCAGCCTTCTTTAGAATGGAACCTTTGTCTTTGTGCTCATTGCTTCATGGTTACAATGTGGCTGCATCACCTCCATCTTCAATCTGCATTCCAGGCAGGAAGAAAGAAAATGACAATGCATAAAAAGTGCATGCCAGCTACTTCCAGTCTCTTTAATAAGCTTCTCGGAAAGTCCTGGCCATACACATCAAAATTCTGTTGAATAGAGGTCCCAAACTGCAGTGGAGTCCGGGGGGAAGCTGAACATTTTTTAATTGGGCATGTTGCTGCTGCAAACAAAAGCAGGGACCCATTCATAGGAAGAAAGAAGAAGAGATCAGACATTAGGTGAACAATGAGCATCATGTGTCACATCGATCAAACCTTGTTTCTCTCTTCAGCAGGCTGATTCTAAAATCTTCACAGGTAAAATAAAAACAAACAAAAACCTATGTAATCAATAGAAAAAGCAAATTCTAAGCAACAAGCCACTTGGTATGGCAGAGTCTGCAGAAAATACTATTGGTGCTCTTCCCAGACCCCTGGTTGCTGTGGGTGCTCCAGCTAATGGTTCACACCTGTGTGGGCTGCCCTTGGGTTGTCCATCCCCTCTACCCAGAGGTACCTGGAAGTTACACCCACTTGCCCCACCCCAGCCCACCTCTCCCCTGCATCCTGTGACCAATGACTCACTAGGAAAGGGGAAGAGCCCCATTTTTTTGCCCCTTATGGGGACAAATGTGTCTCGGTCCAAGTCACCCTTCAGAGTTCCTCACAGCATGAGGCTGAAGTTAGACCTCACCCGAAACCACATTCTTTCCCAGATCCCTCCCCTGCCTTTTCCTATTTCCTTCATTCCCTTTCTGGTTCTTCCTGAGAGCTCAGTTTCACCAAATCACACATACACCCATCCTGTCCGAGGCTCTGCTTCTAGCGAACCCAATCTAAAATGTCCTGGGTAAAGCAGGCTATTCTTTATTACACCCTAAGGGAAGGGATCTAAAACCCTTCCCCTCAGCCCAGTTTGTGGCCACTGGTGGGCTTTGGCTTGGCCTGGGTGTTGTGGAGGCAGATCCTCATTCCACCCTGATGATGGCTGTGGGAATGCTCCTTGCCAAGTCCTCAGATATGTTTGAGGAGGCCTCCTGACAAGGCATTTAGCACAAGGGGTCCAGCATTGTCTCTTCTCAAGGCAGATATTCTTAGAAACTTTGATTTGCATTTGTAAGCCTGTAAACTGAAGGGAGTGTGTGTGTGTGTGTGTGTGTGTGTGTGTGTGTGTGTGATTTTCCATCTTGTGGCAATGGCAGCTGGGTATTTATAGCTGGATCTTCAGGGCCATTCTCACGTGGCTAAAGAAAATGAAAACCTCATGTGGATGTTGTTTTGTTTTCTCTCTCTGCCTCCGCCATTGCAAGCACTCCAGTTGTTAAACCCTTATTGTTGTAACTAGAGCCACCCTGAGCATCCCTGCGATGGAGGGGTTATGTACATTGACTATTTCAGGACAAAGTGCCTGTTCTCCTTCAGGCAGGCCACAGAGTAAAGGAGGGGACTTTTGGGGAGAGCTCGTGGGCAACACCAAATGGCAACCCCACCCGGCACCCTCCTCTCTGGAACGTCTGCCTGGATTTACCCCATGGAATGTGGATTCCTTAAATCACCTCATGATCCCTCTGCATATATAAGCTCCTTTGAAAGAAAACTGTTTTCTTTCTCCCTTGTTTTGCTGTATTCTGAAGTCTTTTATGTCTGGGTTTGGCCTTCTCTGTTAGGCTGAGAACACCCTGGGGGCCATGGTCTGTTTGCCCAGGTTACTAGAGCTCTTGGCAGGGGATGTTGGCGGGGGGATCTGAGAAGGGTGGCAGGAACTCAGCCCCTGGCTTTCTCCAGGATGGCTTGAGAACTCATGGAGCTCCTTAGACACCAGGGTTGGATGGTTTGCCTAATGTTTACTGAGAAGCCAGTCCCCTTCCTGATAATTGAGGGAACTGAGACTGAGGATGCAGGGCCCCTGTAGACCCTCTGTGATTTCATTCTGGTGACCTGGAACCCACACATTTACTCCTTGGACTTAAACACTGAGGCTACAGAGAATTTGTATCTGGGGCATAGGGCAGGGTGCATAGCCCAAACCTGCCAGAACTAACAAAGGCTACCAAAGAGCATGTTAGGAGGGGAATATAAGCCTGGTTGCTGCGGACCCCGGGAGCTAGGTCTTCCCACTCCCTGGCCAGACCCACGGCAGTCAGACCTTCTGCAGCTGTTCTCCTATGAAGGGTTTTATACACTCCTACTCTTCAAATTCAAATTCTCTAAATAATACCTACCATGTATGGAGGGCTCACTAGGTGCCAGACACTGGGCTAAGCCCTTGCACATTTCAACACATCTCATTCTAACAGCTCTGCAAAGTGGGTATTATCCCATTTTATAGAAGAGGAAACTGAGGTTCTGAGAATTTAGTCAACTTTCCTGAAGTTGCACATCTAGTTTGTGGCACAGAGGGGATTCCAAGTAAGGTGTGCCTGACCCTAAGACCCGTGCTTTCTGTACCGTACCCCAATCATTTCACTTCATGATGAACTTGACAATCGACTGTACCTGAATTCTGCTTTGTTATAACTCTCTAGCCTCCACAAACACTCAGTATCCCCCGCCTCCCCACCCTGCCCCTGTCAGCCTTCTATTCTTAGTGTGGATGGTGACCTCTGACTGTGGAGTCAGCAGGTAGCTTTTGGAGTGCCTGTAACTCAAACAATTTAATCTGACATCTCAATCCTGCCACCCTCCCCTCTGTTGCAAACACACCCTCAACTCCCTTTTCCTGCCTGCCTCTGTCCTCCTCCAGCTCCTGTGAGTTCTAGAGGGTTTCCAAACCTAGGATAGAGCCAGCAATTCATTAGTCTTTGTCCTGTTTCCAAGAATCCCAAATATATAAGAATTCCTCATTGAAAAGCCAAGCATTCTTGGGGGAAAGTGTGTGTCACCAAGAAAGCACGATTCCTCACATTGGGAAAGGGGATCGTAGTCCAGTCCAGGAAAATAAGTGTAGATTTCAGTGCCAGATGGAAGTGGATTGGCTCTCCCTGACACCTCCCCTCCCCAGCCACCCACCCCTCACAAACCACAACCGGGGAGCTTGCCTTCCCAGTTCATCTGAGGGCACTAACCGGATGACATTTTCCTCTGGAGAGAGAAGGAAAGAAGAGGCAGATTGTGTGTGTGTGTGTGTGTGCGTGTGTGTGTGTATGTATGTGTACACAGTTCTCCTCACCTACAGGCCACTTTCTGTGCAGTTCCTTTTGGCATGGACCACTTACTGTTTGAAGAGCCCTCTAGTGAGTTTTTGGGGTGGGGGTGAATCATAGGCGATGAGTCTGGCTGCTCTTCCACTAGGAGGAAGCATCTCCCTCCTCTTTGGGGCAGCTCAGCTTACCAGAAGATCTAAGGTAAATGAATAGGAAATCTGCTCGAAAGCATTTAGAAAGCAACCTCTTATGGCTGCGTTATGCAAATTCATAGGCTAGAAACAGGACAGGCACCAAGAGGAAGCACGTGAGCTGAGTGAGCAGAGTGTGTGTGGAGTGAGTTATAATCAAGAAAAGCTTTAGGAGGATATGAAGTTGCTTTTTTTAAAAAAAATTCTCTCCTTTATTATAAAAGAAACATGGATTTATTATACAAAATACATAGTAGCAGAAGACAAAAATAAAATTAGTTCATGAGCCCATCACGGGGCACTGAAAAGAGACTTTGATCTTTCTGTTCCTCTGCCCCCTTTCCCACAGCTTCCCACCTGGCCACAAACAACACTTGGAGAATCTGCCTTCCCAGGTCACTTAACATTTGGCAGTTAATGTTTCCAGTCTTTTCTCTCCACATACATTGTAAAAGCATGGTTGAATACATATTATATGTGCAGATGTTAGACAGTTTTGTATTGTGGTTTTATCTTCTGGTTAGTATTACCAACTTTGTAAATGAGGAGATAAGTCAAGTGAGGTGTGGAAAAGGGTCATGGCCACTGTTTGGTAGAGAGGAAACTGAGAACTGGGGGAAAGGGGCCCTAAAAGACCAGCTGATACCCTGTGGGATGGAGGATCTTTTAAATCAAGCTTGTTCAGCCCGTGGCCCATGGGCTGCATGCGGCCCAGGATGGCTTTGAATGAGGGCCAACACAAATTCATAAAATTTCTTAAAATGTTATGAGATTTTTGCAAGGTTTTATTTTTTTTAAGTTTTCTTTTTCTTTCTTTCTTTTTTTTTTTTTCTCGCTCATCAGCTATCGTTAGTGCTAGTGTATTTTATGTGTGGCCCAAGACAATTCTTCTTCTTCCAGTGTGGCCCAGGGAAGCCAAAAGATTAGACACCCTGTTTTAAATGACAGAAGATGAAGAGCATCTAAACCTCAACCTCCCAGCTCCTATGTGAGTTGGGAGCAGTAACAAAGCCAGCCTCCCCTTTGACCTTGGCTTGGTTTCCCTGGCCACAGATGGAGCTCTGATGCCTTTGTTGGGGTTGGCGTTGGCGTTGGGTGAGCACTGTGGTGAGCACTTCACATACAACTGATTTTCTGTTTTACAGATTTGGAAACTAAAGTTTAGAACAGCTAAGGACCTGGAGTAAGATCCATGTGGCACAGCAGCAGAGCTGCAATTCAAACGCGTTCATCTTTCTCCTAACCACTGTCCTAGGCAGCTTCTAGTTCCATGGAAGAGAATGTCTCCTGATTCCTCACTTTCTGCTAAGCCTTTCTGGATTGACTCACCAAAGAACAAGGGGTGCCCTCCCACCATTTCTGTGGAACTCAAATGCCTGAGCCCTGCTGTATGGAGTGTGTATCAAGGAGATTTGAGGAAATAAGTAACCTCAGCATCTGTTCTCACCACGTGGCTCTTCCTCCAGGAAGTTTTCCAGGTTGAATTCCACTGGATACTCATCCCTCTCCTCCTCCATTCTCTTCAGTATTAGCCTGATTCAATTCAGAGCCACTCAGTCATTGATATTGTGACCAGATGTCACCCGAGGAGCCCTGTCTTTGAGATTCAGAATAAATTAGCTGAATCTCACTGCCACAAACAGAGGGCAGTGGTTCTCAAATTGTGGGACCTTAGACCAGCAGTATCAGAATCACCTGTGAACTTCTTAGAAATGCACATCCCTGGGCTCTGCCCAAGGCTTCTGGATCAAGCTCTAGGGGTGCAGCCCAGCGATTTGTGTCTTATCAAGCTCACGTGGTGATCCTGGTGCACACTGAAGCCTGGGAACTGCTGGTCTGGAGATTCCAAAATAAGTGGTGGTGGCTTATATTTTTCACATCACCTCTGGCTCTGAGTTCCTATTTCCACTGAATTCGTTAAGATTATTAACTACCCCTAGGTGACAAGCATGGTGGCCCAGAAATTAACATGAACTCTGGAGCCAGACTGCTGAGATTTCAATTCTGTCTCTAAGGCTCACTCATTGTATGGGTGTCCCTGAGCAAGTGGCATAAATTCCCTCTGCTGCAGACCTCTTATCCCTAATATGAAATAACCATGGTATTCCCCATAGGGCAGCTGTGAGCCTTCAATGAAACTGTGTCTGTTAAACACAGTTTAACAGTGCCTTACACATAGTAAGCTCACAGGAAACATTAACTCTTATTGGTGTCATGCAAACCACGAACTCTTCTGCACTGTGTTGACCCAGATGTGGAATTACTCCCATACCCCTGGTTTACACACACACACACACACACACACACACACACACCGTTTACACAAGGCTTCATGAATGCGGTGAACTTTATGGAGGTCTGGGGAGACCAAGGGTATTTGTATTACAACAATTCAGAATTGAGCACTGGATAAGCTTATTCTAAAATAGATTGGCCAAAGGTTACACCATTTGGTCTTCCTCCTCTCTCCCTTGGTGCTCACAAGCAACTCACTCAAACAGGTCCCCCTCTTTATTATGTTGAGTAATTCAGCTGTCTTTACTCTCCAGCCCCACTCCTCAACTTTGCTCCTCAGTTCACTTTGCAAATCCAAAGACAACTTCTAAAGAATGGACCTTCTACCCTGATTCTCATGCTGGATTCCTCCCTCATAGGGAGAAGAGTAGCAATGAAGATTTATTTTTCCTACTGACATGAACTGTGCTACCTCTCAGGATGCTTTAGTGATAGTTTTGGTTTTTCTCTATAGGTATATGAATCACACGTTGTATTTTTTCTAGTAAATACTTGAGAAAGAATTTGATCCAGGAGTCTGGGGCAGAGCCCAAGGCTGCGCATTTCTAACATGTTCACAGGTAATGCTGATACTGCTTATCTGAGGTCCCACAGTTTGACTGCAATGTATTTATTTTTGCAATGGGGCATATTGCTCTATAAATGTTCTCCTGCTCTTGTTCTAAACCTTCACACCCTCATAACTAGGGATTTGATCACAGCCACAGGTTCTCAATCTTGATACTAGGCCACATAATTCTTGGTTGTGGGGGGGCTATCTTTTGTATATAGGAGGCTTATTAACACCCCGAGCCTCTACTCAGTAGATCTCAGTAACATTTACTAGTTACGAGAACCACAAAACTTCTCCAGACATTGCCAAATGTCTCTGGGGGCAGGGGGTGTGATGGGTAGCCACCCCCAGTTTTGAGAGCTGCTGGTCTCAGCTAAATAGTTCCTGTAATAGTTCAAGTCCATTATATCTTATTCTACCCCACACTTTACCTCTGTATTTAAGTTCAGGGGCCTGGATTTATTCATTGAGAAGAAAGGTATGGAGGAGTCCCAGCAGCCTCTGGATCACCCTTGATTTCCAAGGAGAATCATCAACACTTTGTGACTGCTTTTTCTCAAAGGCTCCACACTTAACCCATCTGCAGTGGAGCCAAGGACATCCAGGTCTGTTTCCAGTACCGTCTCTAGTCCTGTTAACGCTCCCCGTGTGGCGGGAAACCTCACAGGAACTAGGGAATGGCCTTTGGTTTTTGGCTTATAAATACTCATCATCACATTTCTTTTGCTGAGAAGTTTTTCAAAATCGTGTTTAACATTCTTGTTGCCGTAGTGGAAACTTTTGTTCTTTGGAGGGCTTCCCATCCTAGGCCCAGGTCAGATTCCTCAGCAGAGCTCTGAACATTTTCTAGGGAAGTTTCAGCAGTGAGATCGCACCTTTGATGCACTTACACAACTGTGGCTGGATTCTGGGTTAAGACTCCCAGGATCCCAACATACACAACAGGGAAACTATGCAGCTGGAGGAAGGGCCATGTGCCTGGGAGTCTTTCTGGGAGGCCAGGATCAAAATCCTTTTATGATTCTATTACTTTTCTGGGTTTCTCTCCTTGCCCCCTAATGTCTTAAATCTAAGATAAACAATGAGCACTTCAGTCAGTAAAAGATTATGCGTAATAACACACAATCTCCAAATTTCAGTGACTGAAAACAACAAAGGTGTATTTCTTACTCATGTTATCTGTCGGTAGTGGATCAACAGAGGGTCTCTGCTTGTTTTAGTCCCTCAGGAACTGAGGCTGGCAGAACAGGCCCTGTCTTCAATGTTGGCAGTTGCTGTTCTAAAGGAAAAGGGAGTCTGGTCCTCACAATTAAAAGCTCTAGACCACTAATGATGCTTCTGTTCATCAGTGTTCTATAGTGAAACAGAACCAATAGGATCTCTCTCTACATATATCTGGATTTGTTTTAAGGAATGGGCTCCCATGGTTGTGGGACTGACAAGTCAAAAATCTGCAGGGTAGGCCAGCAGGCTGGAGACCCAGGAAAGAGCTGATGTTGCAGCTCAAGACTGAAGGCAGTCTAGGGGTAGAGTTCCCTTCATTGGGGGACCTCGGTCATTTTCTCTGAAGGCCTCCAACTGATCAAATGAGGCCTACCCACATTATGGAGGGTAATCTGCTTTACTCAGAGTCTACTGATTTAAGTGTTCATCTCATGTTAAAAAAAGAAAAAATTCTGGCTGGGCATGGTGGCTCACGCCTGTAATCCCAGCACTTTGGGAGGCCGAGGTGGGTGGATCACCTGAGGTCAGGAGTTTGAGACGAGTCTGGCCAGCATGGTGAATTCCCAGCTCTACTAAAAATACAAAAATTAGTCGGGCATGGTAGCACACGCCTGTAGTCCTAGCTATTTGGGAGGCTGAGGCAGGAGAATCGCTTGAAGCTGGGAGGTGGAGGCTGCAGCGAGCCGAGGTGGCGTCACTGCACTCCAGCCTGGGTGACAGAGTGAAACTGCATCTCAATTAAAAAAAAAAAAAAAAAAAAAAAACTTCACAGTAACCTTTATACTGGTATTTGACCAAATACCTGGTCCCATGGCCAACTTGACACATAAAATTAACCCTTCATATTTTCAGCGAATGGGCCAAAGTTAGCCACATGACTCCACCCAACACAAGGACCCAGGAAGTACCATCCTCTGTGTGTAATCGGGGGTGGGGACCAACAATATTTGACTAAGCACCAACAACTAGAACAACTATAAATTATTTTATCTGAGGATGAAAGAAAGTATTAATCTGTGGTATTTTGACGTTAATGCATTCTACTAACACAATGCAGAAATAGTGTTAGACTTAGCTCTACCTGCTCAATTCATTCGTAGCAGAGGTCATGGAAGAACATGGGTTGTAGCATGGCCTGGCCTCCAGGGTGACTAAATTTGAACACTGTTACTGAACATCGTCCTGTTATTCTTCTGTATTGTTTTCTTTATAACATGTTTTCTGTGTGTGATGTTGCATTTAAAGCCCATTTGTGTGCTGTGTAATTGAAGTATGCCTTGCAATTAATTTGGCCTTTGTGACCTCCTTTTAGTATAAATTCTTTAGGTTCCTTTTTCTTGCTTGGATCGGAATCATCTGAAAGGGCTCAGGAGCCAGCTGTCGCTCTGTGTTTTTTGCTACTGAGTCACTGTTTCTGACAAGCCTCTCCTGAGTGTGGGCCCTCATTTCCTTGTCTAGAGTGGGGTTGAGCAATGTGATTTCTAAGGTTCCTTCTGGCTCTGACATTCTGTGTGCCTTTGTTCCACACCCTTTTTCAGTGATGCCAGTGCCAGGGGGTACAGCCTCAGGGATGTATAACAGGGTTTTCCTCCACAAAACTGGCAGAATTGTTCTGGGTTCTTATTTGAAAATGTGGCATGTGGCCTCTCATCAGTGCTTTGGCCATTTTGCATGCACTAACTCACAGAGAATGCAGGCTACACCCCAGCTGGTGAGCATCACCATCATCTCTATGCCCACTGGCTTTCTGTTTGGCTGGAGGGAAGCTGAGGACAAGAGGATGTTAGGTTGGAGCACAGGGAGGCCTGTGGAAGGCAGGGACGGTGTAGAGTCTGGCCCAGCTGAAAATGGGCTTGGGGAGCCTGGCCAGTCCTTCAGGTCCATCTGGGCAAACCTAGTCTTCAAAGGGCAGAGTCACAAGGACCTCAAATGCTACTTACCTCCTCCAGTACTAACATTTGACACATCTAATGCCTATTCATTGTTGTGAAGTTCAAATGAGGTAACTCATGAGGAAGTGCCCACAAAACTAAACACTTATGACACACTCTCAAACACACTCTCAAACAATAAGAATTACTATCATGAGCTGCCTGACTCCACAAGATTTTAGTGCTAGGTGCTAGGGACAGAAAAGTGAAAAAAAGATGCTCAGTTAATTAGCATACAATGTGATGCTACCTCTAACAATAGACTTTGGATGATGTCTTAGTTCAAGCTGCTCTAACAAAATACCATAGATTGGGTGACTTACACAGCAAACGCTTATTTCTCACAGTTCTGGAGGCCGGAAAGTCAAGATCCAGGCACTGGCAGATTTGACGTCTGGTGGTTCAGCCTTCTCACTGTGTCCTCACATGGCAGATGGGATGAGACAGCTCTCTGGGGTCTCTTTTATAAGGGCATGAATCCCGTTCAGGGGAGCTCCACCCTCATGACCTAATCATATCCCGAAGGCCCCGCCTACACATAGCATCAGATAGGGAATTCTGCCTCAACCTATGAATTTTGAGAGGACACACACATTCAGTCCATAGCAACGGGCAAAGCTTGTGAGAGCACAGAGGAAGGAGTTTTTAATGTTCAACACTCTGCTCGTGGGGGTGGAAGCCTCCATAGCAGCACTGACAGTTTAACCTGGTCTGGAAAGATGGCAAAGACTGCACAGGTGGAGGGAATGGGCATCCTAGCCTGAGTGAGTGGCAGCGTGCTGGAGAGGCTTATGGAAACCTCTGGTAATCTGGCCTGGTGGCTGGGTGGGGTGGGTGGGACCATGTGGGGGAAGCTGCGGAGGGAGCTGGTGATCAAATTAGGAAAGGTCTTGGATAATCTATGAGGAGCCTGGACTTCGCTGAATTTTTCAGTTACCAGGTTTTAAAAAACTTTTTATTTCAGTTTTTGGCTGAAAGAAGAAGCTATTATTTTAATTTTATTTAAAACCTGCCTGTGGATCTATAATAGGCAAAACTTAACTCAAATAGATTTAATCATAGCCTTGCTGCACTGTCCTGTTAATTTTGCTACTCTCCTTCCTCTTAGAGCTTCCACGTAGAATACATTTATCTTCTCGCTCTAGTCTCGTCTTGATTGAAATATTGGAGTGAGAGATAGAAGGTGGGATCTTTATTTTTTTTTCTCTGTATACAGAATAATGCCTATTTTAGAATGTGGAAAATACTAAAAACTATAAAGATGAAAAAAGAAATTTACCCTCTGGACAAGGTTGGTAGAAGATGAGTGGTTGAGCTCCAGTAGAATCAGTTTTGTTCAAATCCTAATTTTTTCACATATTACCTGTAAGACCTTGGCAATTTACTATCTCCAGGCCTCAGTTTCCTCATCTGTAAAATGGGAATAATAATCACAATACCTACCTCCTAAAGTTCCTATTGGGACTAAATCATTTTCTTCATGCAAAGCACTTAGGAAAGTGCTGTGTACATAGCAAATAATTAATATTTCTTATGGGTTATTGCAACACCCTCTGGGTGAGTTCAGCCCTAGAGGAAAGTAGGTGAGTTCCCTTGGGGAAGGGTCTTTCTGCCTCCATGTTCTACATCAGGAAAGTGGAGAAGCTTGTCATACCACAGGATGAGGCTAGTGCCGAGTCACAGACTGGTGTGTGTTCAGAGTTTTTCCCTGGAGGATGCTAGCTTATCCTCCCTTGCTCCTTCCTTTCTAGCATTTCCACCCACCTCGGGCTCTTGGGGCAGGCTGTCCCTTTAAGAAAGAGAGCCACACATTCTGCTCCTGACAGTGGCCCTGCCTCCCTTGCTAGATACCTTGCTGGGCTGTGGTTGGGACACTCCTGGGCTGGATTTTAGTACTGAAGCCTCCAGAGGAGGGGGCACTGCTTCAAATCAAGCACACCCCACCCCAGGAATCCATGCCCACAGAAGGACTCCCTGTCTGCAGCCCCCTGCTGTGGCCCTGGGCTCCCAGCACCCAGCTCTGGGACATCAGAAGATAATTCTTGAGGACTGAGCTCAGGATTCCTAAAAAGAAAGTTGGAAAATAGCTGGATAAACTTGGTAAGTGAAAGAAAGCCGCGTTACATCCTCTTCCTTGGATTGTGGATTGCAGATTTTGGGTTGAGTTCTGGTGACTCTTGCCAGTGGTATCTGATGGGCAAATGTGAGAAGGAGGAGACAGAGGTGGGGACTGGGATCCCCAGTGGGTAGCGAGTCTTGAACTTGGGGATAGCCCCCCACCTTATCCTGGTGGTTGTCAACCTTGAGGCAGGGAGCTGGGGGTTGACATCTGAACATAGCTGGAGCCTGGCCCAAGGAGTGAAGATCCGGGAGGGGCAGATGTCAGATTTCTCCCTCATTTGGGAAAAACAAAGTGTGGTCAGTGAGTGCTGTTTGTGAAGATGCCAGAGACCAGTGACATTTGCAGCCTGAGGGTGAAATGAGTGACCCTGTGAGTGTATCTCAGGAGGAGACTTGGACCAATTCCTCTTCTTCCTATAGGGTCAGGGGACAGACCAGGCCTGGGCCCCAAGAAATCTGCGTTGTCTCCTTGGATTGAGGCAGCTGCCCATGAGCAGCAGCGGACAGTGTCGTAGTGGGAGGAGGCAGGTCTGCCAAGGGCAGGGAAGAATGGAGGGCCTGTTACTGCTGAAGCCTGGGAACGCTGCCTGGGGGGAGGCCCACGCTCCCCAGAGCTGGAGTGAGAAGGAATGGGAGGAGAAGTCTATGCAGCAGGGGGATGGGCTCAGCCAGCATCCCCACCCTCTGCAGAGCAAATGCCCCCGTCCCATTTCCTGTGGCATGGACACAGGTGAGCTTCCTGGCCTTGAATGCTCAGGTACAGTTTGGAGGGCTGGGGTCTGTTACAAAGAGGTGGCCTCCCATGGAGGAAGCAGGAAATGCTAGAAGCCTCAGCCCCTGGCACTCACCCGAGGGTTTCCAAATCAGAGACACTTTCTGCTAAATTATGCTTCAACAGATGTTTTCTGTGTTCCTACTTGTGCCAGGCTTTGTGCTGGGGATTTACCAAAATATAATATGGCATGGTGGAATTGGGAAGGTGTGCAGAGCTGGAAAGATATTTTGGATGTGAGATTAAAGCCATTTTTGAAAAGTAACAATAATAGTTACCATTTATTCTGTACCTTGAATGCACCAATCACTCTGCTAAAGGCTTTGCATCTCCTTTAATTCTTGCAGTAGTTTATTGACTTGTGACTAATTTTGTAGATTTCAAAGATTAAGAAACTAAGGCTCAGAGATTAAGGACCTTTCCTTAAAGATGCAGGGCTGGTAAATGGCAAAGCCAGGATGAACCTCTTAAGTCGTCTAACCATTTATTCATTTGTGTGTTCAACAAAGTTGAATTGCTGGCCTACTGTGTGACAGCCATTGTAGAGGGCACTCAGGACACAGCTGGGACAGGGAAGGGTCCAGGGCAGCCTAACTCCATAGCCTGGGTCCTCACCCCCAGCCAGAGCCCTTCACACTGGGCCCCAGAGACCCCTGGGAACATTGTGTGATTGTTTTCTCCAAGGTCTGAGACTCTGCTTGAGAATGTGCTTTTCCTTGAGAAATGTTTCTTTGTTTTCATTTTAATAATAATACTGTAAAAATTGGAGGCATTTATTCTGAATCATCTGAATGACCACCATATAACCTACTATTGGCATGCGATTTTAGTCCCCAGGTTTGTGTTTCTGTGCAAGTTGGCACCGAGTGGTTTCCTAAAATGATAGTTTTTAACTTTCAATGCTTTGTTTCTCAAACTGGGCTCTACACTGTGTGCTTCAAAGGCCCAAAGATTAAGAAAGGCTACATCGACAGATTCTACTGCAGGAAGGGAGATGTGCAGTATGGGTGTCCCAAGAGGAAATGGTTCAACATCCTCCTCTCCTGGGGGGTGAAGAAAACTGAGGAGTTCAGGTTGGGGCAAAGCAGCTTGGGGGTTCTGAATCTTCCAACCTGCTGGTCTCCAAGCTCAGGATGGACCTAGGCCAGAGACTCAGAGAGGAACAGGCAAGTCAGGAAAAACGAAGACTCTTGAGTTCAGATTGGTGTGCTCTGCTCTGACATAGCATCTCTGACCTCAAGCAAACTTGCTCCTTTCTGGGCCTTTGCAGATGGGACGACTTGTGCCGGGAAGGGGGAAGTGTGGGGCCTCCCTGGAACACTGTGTGACTTCCTCCCAAAGAGGGATGTTTTGTGGTCATTCAGAACTTCTGACCTTTCCTGAGGCCCAGCTGTTAGGTGAGAAGGCCATCGCATGATCCCTGGTGTACAGAACTGTGCATGTGACTTGTGCCTCACCACCCTGGGGGCATCCAGGGCTGTATCATGCTAGCCTGGTGCTTTGGCCCTTAGATGGGGCTGGGCAATCAGCATCCTTTCTGGATCGGATGTCCTGCCAGTCTTGGAGGCTGGAGGCAGGAGACTGAGGACCCCTGCCTCTCCATCCTCTTCCACCTCCTTTCCCTCCTCCCCCTGCTGGGGTTTTGGGTCTTGCTGTCATCTCTGCTTTTGAATGATGCTCCATTGTATCTCCACTCTCTGGTTACTGTCCCTCAGCTGGGCCCTGGGTGGTCATTCTGGTCGTCTTTTCTCCAGACTCCACTCTACCCTCTTCTGTCTTGTACATTAGGAGTCAGTGAACATTATCTGCAAAGGTCTTGATAGTAAATATTTCAGCTCTGGGGGCCTTCTGTGCTACACATTAGTAATTTGTTCCTAATTTTATCTCCTCAAGCGCAGGAGTCAATAGAACTTGGCTATCTCTGCAGCCTCCCCCGCCCCCAGTTCTGTGCCTGCTGGGCAGTAGGCACTCAGGAAGTATTGCTGGCATAAATCCCAATGACCTCTCCCCATCCCCCTAGAGCCCGTGCCCCAGCAGGGGGCATCTTGGGGTCTAGCTGTACCATTTTGGGAAATCAGGATCTGGTCACCTGTTGGTTGCTGTGGCATCCTGTAGCTAAATCCATCTCTGGCCCTGTAACCTGAACCTGCCCCAGGCCCTGTGCTCCAGGATCAAGTGTCCCTGTTTGTTTTGACATCCCCTGTGGGGCGTTAGAGATCCAGATTTCAAAGCAAGATTTTTTTCTAGCAGCGGTTGAAGGCCAGGCCCCTGCCAGCTCCTGGGCTCCCATGTTAGCATTTTCAGTTAATTAAGAAAACAAACCCCACATCCTTGACAGAGGTGGTTCTGCCAATTCAGGACAGAGAACTTTGCATCAGCATAGCATGCAGGAGAAGCTGGCCAGCTCCTGCAGGCAGGACAAGCTGAGGGAGGCAGATGTTTGAGCTGGAGAGGACCCACTGGTGCCTTCTCGGCAAGAGCAGGTTCCGCGGAAGTCGCATGGTTGGGAAGCCAGCTCCAGGCAAGGTCCAGAGCATGGAATTTCTGTTCCTCTTTCCCCATCCAGGGTGCATTTATCATGGGTGAGGGCCATGGGGAAAGGCCAGCTGGATGAGAATAGCAGGGGGAGACACAAATACTTTCTTGGGACTTGCCAGTCTTCCTCTCCAGAGCCAGGTTATCCCAACTGTCTAACTCCTGGAGGAGAATGATGAGAGGTGACCTGGGGTGGCTTCAGAGGGGCCCAGGTAGCTGACCTGCCAGCTGCCAAGAAGGAGCCTGATCAGAGAGGCTGCTTAGCCATGCAGGGCCTGGATGTGAATTTAAGAAGGGTCTTTGTCAGGCTGGGTGCGGTGGCTCACGCCTGTAATCTCAGCACTTTGGGAGGCCAAGGCAGGAAGATCACCTGAGGTCAGGAGTCTGAAACCAGCCTGGCGGACATGGGGAAACGCTCTCTCTACTAAAAATACAAAAATTAGCCAGGCATGGTGGTGTGCGCCTGTAGTTTCAGCTACTCAGGAGGCTGAGGCAGGATAATGCTTGAACCCGGGAGGTGGAGGTTGCAGCGAACTGAGATTGCGCCACTGCACTCCAGCTGGGTGACAGAGCAAGACTGTTTAAAACAAAACAAAACAAAACAAAACAAAACAAAACAAAACAAAACACAAGGTCGGGGGGTTGGTGGGGGGCCTTTGTTTCTTGAAGGAAACATAGTTAAGCATACTCCTGTAAAGTAGCCCAGCTCTGCCAGTGTGTGTGTGTTGGGGGGCACTTTCCTGAGCCTGGCTGTGCATTCACTCACAGAATCACCCTGTCACCTGATCACACACCCTCTCCATCGTACCAGGGATAAGATATGTCCTTCCCCTGCTCCCACCGTGGCTGTGATTGGGCAGGTGGGAATGGGGGGAGTCAAGGGAGCATAGGTGGGACTGGCTTTCTGCACCCCGATATCTGTACTGAGTGTACTGAGTGTACTCTTTCCCAGGTGTACAAGCCCTGCAGGCAGGGTGGGCTCATGTATCTCCTTGGATGTGGGATTCTCTTGCAGTTCACAGCCTGCACACTACATGCAGTGGTCCTTGTACCTCTTGGGTAGAATGGAATTGGAGGGAGACCCAGTCCTGCTCTATCATTGCTAAATGGCCCAGCACACATTATTTGGGCTTTGTGAATCTCTTAATTTCTAATGGGAAATGGGAATGAGGTTCACATTTTATGTGTCCCCATGGTGCAGGTGTGTTGGCAAATATGAGATAAGGCGTATTTCATGCCTAGTGCAGTGAACCTGGCCTCCTTCCCCATTGGACATGTGTCTTGGTCCAGCTTCTGCCTGCTGGCTTGGGATGTGGCTGCCTTAAAAGATAGTGGGGAGAAATGATAAACACACGGCTGGCATCTTCTCAGCTTAGGAGAAGAGCCCTGGGGAAGAAGCGATTGTGCGGCCTGCTCCTGGTCTCTGGTATAACTAGTTCAAATAACTGCCAGTTAGTAGCAGATTTTTTTTTTATTTTACTTTCGAGGGTCTTCTCCTTACCTGCTGGAACTCTCTGGGCTCCCTGCCATGAGTACTTTGTCATTCACAGCACAATCCCAAAGTGAGGGGCTGGGGCTATTCTAGGAAAGCAAGTCTCTTAAAAGGTGAGCATCCCTGTGGTGTCCTAAAGCTGGGGAGAAGCCACTTAGGGTTTTGGGGGACTCTCGACTCCTTCTCTTTCTCTCTTTTTCATTTCCAGTGGAATCCTCAGGTGATCGGTTGTGTAGCTGATATGCCCAATAGCTCCCCTTTCCTGGAGAACATATCCAATTTGCCTCACGATCCTCCTGAAATTCTTGAATCCCTGGACACCAGGCTAGTTTGTTTGCTTTTCTCCTTTTGCCAGTGATTTTTTTCACTTCATATTAGGACTGTTTGCACACAAAAATTAAGAAAAATGTACATAAAAAATCAGATGTGAAATGTGAAAAAGCATACTAATGGTAGGCAAATAATAATAATTAGTATGCATAGTCACAGGTTTCTGTAACTTCAACTTGGCAAATCCAAATGTCTTGGAATGACTGTCAGGAGCACCTTCTCTTTTTAAAGAGAAGTTTCTAAGTACCCTTCAAGCTTCAAAGAGAAAATCTGAGGTGAGGAAATCAGGAGAAGTTGGGAATCAGTTTCCTGGAGTATTTGAGAATATTTAAAGAGAGAGGCGGTGTAGCTTGGATCCTAGCAGGGCTCACAATATTTAGGGGAAATATTCATGAATGAATCTTGGCTAAGATTTTTGGAATTTTTAATTTTTGTTTTTATATTGCATTTTTGTAGTTGTTGTTTCCACTTAAGTAGAAACTCAGGAGAAACCAGGAAGCAAAGCAGAATTTGTCTGCGACTGTTCTGTAGTGGGAGAGAAGAGTTCTGTGCTGTGAATTCGAAAATTGGGTTCTAGACATGGCTGTGGCATGAGTTTGCTGTGGGTCCTGAGGCAAGTAGCCTGCTTCTTGGGCCTCAGTTTCTCGCCTGTAAAGCGGTCTTTAAATGGTAGTACCTTCATTCTCAACGTCTTGTGCATGCCAGCAGCTGTATGAGGGGCGTCCTGCAGATCATGTCGGAGAAAGGAGGAGTTGAGTCCATTTGCACACAGGTGGGGAGTGTGACATCTCAAGAGGGGAAGGCACAGCTATCCAGGAGCTGAAGTGGGGCGGGGGTAGTCTTTTTCAGAGTCTGATTATTGGGTCTGGGTTTGTGGAATGGTGCTTCACCACCCCAGGGAATGGTGGCCCTCACTCACGCCTTGGCTCTGTGTGTGTGGGCTCATGGAGGTGCCCCCGGGCCTGGTAGGATGCAGGGGCCTGGGCTTCAGAAACAGTGGCTGGAGGATTCTCCCTGACTCTTTTCCTTGGGGTCCTCATGCCTGGATTACTCTTCAGGGTCTCTGTCTTTGTGTGAAGTGTGATACCCCTTGACCCCCTTGGTCTGAGAATGAACTCTCTTAATGGACCAAAGGGGAATCTGGAAAATCACAAACCCAGTTTCAGAATTCAAGGGGTATAGTCCCTTCATGTCTGAGCCCTGGAGTACTTCTTGGGTCATCTTGCCAGCTGCCCAAGCTCTGCCTGCCCTGCCGCTCACACTTCTAACTCCTGCCCTCCCTGCTACCTGAAGGCTCATACCTGGGGAACGCCTCGCTGTCCTTGGAGACTCAGCCCAAAAATCACCACACCTACAAAGTCTCTCTAACGCCTCCTCCTCCCCACCAATTTCAGGTAGTAGGGTTCCCTCTCACCTGTGCTCCCACAGGCCTGTCCCTGATGAAGCACTGAGCACAATGTTTGAAAACCACTGTTCTGTCTGACTCTCGCTAGACTATTAGCTTCCAGAATGCAAAGCCCTGACTGGTTCAGTTTTGCATTTCTAGTATGTCTTAGTCCATTTGTGCCAATATTCCACACACTGGGTAATTTATAAACCAAAACAACATTTCTCATGGTTCTGGACTTTGGGAAGTGCAAGATCAAGGTGCCAGCAGAGTTGTTGTCTGGTGAGGGCTGCCCTCTGCTCCTAAGGTGGTGTTTTGTTGCTTCTTAATGAAAAACTGTAAAGAGCATAGGTACTCCTTGCATTTTTGCTATTCATTCATGCAGCCAATATTTAATAAGGACCTACTATGCATTAGCCCTTGCCAGTGGAACTATGCTATAGTTTGCATGTCTGTGTTCCTTTCCTTCCTCTGGAGGGGAAGAACACTGTGTCCTTACATGACAGAAGGAATGGAAGGGCTAAAAGGGCCTAAGCTAATTCCCTCCACCCCCCTCCGTCTTTTTTTTTTTGAGACGGATTCTTGCTCTGTCGCCAGGCTGGAGTGCAATGGTGCGATCTCAGCTCACTGCAGCCTCTGCCTCCCGGGTTCAAGTGATTCTCCTTCCTCAGCCTCCCGGGTAGCTGGGACTACAGGTGCGTGCCACCATGCCCGGCTAATTTTTGTATTTTTGGTAGAGACGGGGTTTCACCATGTTGGCCTGGATGGTGTTGATCTCCTGACCTTGTGATCTGCCCGCCTCTGCCTCCCGCCTTTTTATAATGCACTAATCCATTCATGAAGGTAGAGCCATCATGACTTAATCACTTCCCAAAAGGCCCCACCCTTAGTATTATTGCAACAAAGATTAAGTTTCAACATATGCATTTTGGAGGGAACACAGACATGCAAACCATAGCACAGTTCCACTAGCAGGGGCTAACGCATAGTAGGTCCTTATTAAATATTGGCTGCATGAATGAATAGCAGAGATGCAAGGAGAATTTATGCTCTCTACAGTTTTTCTTTAAGAAAGAAGCAAGAATGGTTACTGTTTGGATAATTCACCCAGGGACCAGCTTCACGGGATGCTGTTTAAACAGATAAATCCAATTGGCATCTCTTCTTTGTATACTTTTGTTGATGGCAGGGGCCTGGGGAGCGGGCTGTGTGTTCCACACAGGGTGTGTGGATGGGCCTGCACATGCGCCTATGACTGGTTGTGGGTAGCAAGCACAGAATGATCCTGTTTTTCTGTAAATACTGAGCCACAAACATTGGCAGTGACTTTCTGGCCATTATCCTCAGTGGTGTGTGATTCTTGCGGCTTTTCCCAGGGTGTACCAAAGGAGTGTGACTGTGGTGACCATCGATGGGGAGGCTGGCAGCACTCAGGGTGATGGACAGAACCCCATGGTTGGTTCCCTCTTAAGAGGCTTGTGTTGGAGGCTGAGTGATACCTCATTTGGCACCAGTTGGAGAGTTTATAGCCTGTGAGGGTTCTTACACTTACCAAGAGGAAATTGGGCAATAGAAATTTATGTTAATGTCTGTGGGATAACAAAAAAGCAACATGTCCCTGGGTCAGTAGTGATCTTACCTTCAGGGGTTTGTTTATTCATTGGCACACTCAGACATTTCTACTCAGTGCCTGCCATATATGCCTGTCCTCATTCTAGGGATGCAGACTGAACCTGGTCCCTGCCCTCAGAGGGCTTAGTTTCTGGTAAAAGTGCTTGAAGATTGGGAGGATGGGAGTTGAAGCTGGCACCCTCCCCAGAGCCGTTCTGAGCCGGCCCCTTGGTGGGAAATATCATTTCTCCATTTATTAGCTCCTCTGTTCTCCCCCAAGTTGTTGCTGGCCAGAAGCACCTTGGTACCACCCTTCTAGATTTCTCATGCTCCCTCCTTCCCCACGCTGAGTTAGAGACCCTTCATCCATACTCTCATCATTCCCTGTACAGCTCCACCAAGATACTTCTGCCCACTACCCCGGCCTGCTCACATTTGTACCCCCTTTCCGACTGGGAGATTTTTACAATCAGGTCTGTGTTTTATTCACTGCCGCATCCTACAGTGCACAGTGTCTGGCCCAGAGTGGGGGTTCATAGATGGTTGTGGAGTGGATGCCCATGGGGCAATGCTGGACTGCATTTATTTCATCTTCAGCATTCACACTGAAGCCTGTGTCTATCTATTTTCATCTTTTTCTGGGTCCGTCATGGAGAGGCATGACTCTCAGAGAAGTTGCTGAAAAGCTGGGGCATTGCGAGAAATTGGAGAAATCTGGGAAGCCACAGGCTGGAGTCGCTGGGGTCCGGTGAGTCCTCTGTGACTGTCATTCCACGCACTCCCTCCCAGGGAGGGAGGCAGGTGGGCTTCAGGGCTGACAGAGTGGGGCTCTGAGTCCAGACTGTGCTTGTGCTGAGGCCTGCGTCTTCTTCATCGTGAGTGGGGACAAGTGATGCTGACAGACAGACCTACCCCTGTGGCCCTCCGGCTCAGGCAGTGCAGCTGGGCCAGCAGGAGAGAGGGCCGCCTGGGAATAGCTGGGAAGCAAGTCCAGGCCTTGGGCCCACCTCCCCCAAGGCCAGGATGTGGCGTGGGACCCAGGCCTGCGGAGGTTCCCACCACTCTGCTCCTGCACTCCCAAATGCTCCAGGCCCAGGCAGCAGGAGGGGGTGGCGAGGGGCTCCAGCTGCCTGGGTCAAGACTGCATCAGGACCAGGGCAGCTCTGCAGGCACACACCTCTGACATTTAGCCTCCACCTGGATAGCTGCCAGTGGCCCTGCAGTCCGGACCAGCTTTGCATGGGGGAGGAGAGTCAGGGATTAACCATTTCAGGCCCTTCCTCCATCAGGCAGAAACTGGTCCTCTCAGGTCGACCATGTACCAAGGACCGGAGTGGGCATATTTACAAATGTTGCCTCATTTAATCTTCACATCAACGTGAGGGTGTGGGCATCATCTCCATTTCTCAGATGAGTAAACTAAGGCATGTGGGGAGTTATGTAACTTGCCTAAGTCTACACAGTTAGTAAGTTTCATATATTCCTTCTTTATTACAAGGGCCTATTATGTACCAGGTAGTAATTCTAGTCACTGCGGATACAGCAATGAATGATAGACAAAAATGCCCCATGGAATATACATTCTTGTGGGAGGGATAATGAATACATGGGATGTATAGTCTGTCAGGTGGTGGTAAGTCTACGTGGAAAATGAAGGGAAGGGAGATGGGAGGTGCTGGGAGCGGGGCTGCTATTTCAGATGCCCTTGAAAGACCTCACTGAGAGGGTGTGAGTTATTCACACTTAGTGCTGAATAGGTGCCTGGTGCTACCCTAATCACTGTACCTGACTCACTAAATTAATCCCCACAATTAATCCCCACAATCTTTGAGGCAGATTACTATTATTATTCTCATTTTCACATGGGGAAACTGAGGCACAGGGAGGTTAAGTAACTTGCCAAAGATGACACAGCAGATAAGAAGCAGCTCTAGGATTTGCACCCAGGAAGTCTAACTCCTGAGTTCTGGCTCTTAACCTCTGTGTGGCCTCTGCCAGGGCCACAAAGACAGTAAATGGGTGGGAAGGTCAAGAGGCTTGTAAGACCCCACCTGAACAGTCCAGGTCTGTGGCCTGGGGGGTAGGCACGCTGAGGGACAGGTGCACTAGGGGGCAGGTGCACTGTGGGGACAGGAGCACTGGGGAGGCAGGTGTACTGAGGGGGCAGGTGCACTGGGGGGGGGCAGGTGCAGTGCAGGGACCAGAGCACTGGGGGGTAGGTGCACTGGGGAGGCAGGTGTACCGAGGGGGCAGTTGTACTGAGGGGGCAGGTGCACTGGGGGGCAGGTGCACTGAAGGGGCAGATGCAGTGCGAGGGCCGGGGCACTGGAGGGTAGGTGCACTGGGGGGGTAGGTGCACTGGGGGGTAGGTGCACTGGGGAGGCAGGTATACTGGAGGGACAGGTGCACTGGGGGCGCAGGTACACTGCGGGGACAGGTGTACTGAGGGAGTAGGTGCACTGGGGGAACAGGTGTACTGGGGGGACAGGTACGCTAGGGAGGCAGGTGCACTGGTGCTCACTCCTCTGCAGCTCCCTTGGTGAGGAAAGGGTAGAGGGGCCGACAGGTCAGTTGCAGTTAAACCTGGGTGAAAGTGGGGCTTGACTAGTTTGTGTCAAATAAGGAGAGGATGAGCTCCCCAGTGAGGGGGTCCCAGAGGCTCCCCTTCTCCCCTCTCCTCCTATGCCAGCCAGCCTCCCTGAGCCCTCCGAGGACTCAGATCTGAAACAAAAGTGGGACTGTTTTTTGCTCTTGTCCTCTTCTTCCCTTCCTTTTGTCTATCTGGGAATAACCCACTTAGTGGTGGTGATGATGATTGATGACATAATAGCAGCTCATATTTATTGAAGACTTACTAAACTGGGCAGCGAACATGAATAACGACACTCAGCTGTGCAGGAAAAAGTAATTGATTCTTATAATGGATAATTTTCAATGAAAAACTTAGTGTGAAAAATAAAGGTACTTTAGTCTCTGATTTAAATGAGTTGCTTTGGAGCGAGGTCCCATCAAGTCAAAATTCAAACTTCCTGTGAGGGCAGCTCCCAGTGCCCCTCCCCTGAATGGTCTGGCTTCCTGGGGAAGCTCCAGTATTTTCCTGGTGACCAGGGAAGGGCCTGGGGGCTGCAGGGTTTCTGCAGTTCTCCACGGAGCTGTACCTTGCTCTCTCTGCTGCTTGGGCCTCTGTGCTGAACTCCATTGAAGGGGCCAGGTCTGGTCCGGTCCCCAGGGCTTCTGAGGGTAGACTTGGCACCCACTGCTGAAGCTTAGGTCTTCCTCAGGCTCCTGGCTCTGCCAGGACGTCCACCCACTCCTGGAGGGCCCAGGTGTCCAGTGGCTGGTCTGGGATGTGAGGGTTCTAAATGGGTGGGCCCGAGGGCAGCCCCCAGGTAACTTCCTCAGCTGTTGCCAGCCATGTTTGCTCAGAGCTGGGTTTAGGCAGGGTTTATCCACGTGACCTTTCCCCAACCCTGCACCCTATTCTGAAATTCTCCAAGTCATTGAGTTATTTCTAATGACACTGCAAACCACCCCCTCCTCTCTTCTCTGGAGGTGGGGAAGGAAGTGGAATCCAGGGCATTTACTTTCTTTTCCTCCTAGTACTAGAAAGATTTTCTTTTTCTTTTCTTTTCTCTTTTCCTTTCTTTTCTTTTCCTTTTCTTCTGCTTTGCTTTGCTCCCTCCCTTCCTTCCCTTCCTTCCTGATGGGAGTCTCGCTCTGTCGCCCAGGCTGGAATGCAGTGGTGTGATCTCAGCTCACTGCAACCTCTGCCTCCCAGGTTCAAGTGATTCTTCTGCCTCAGCCTCCCAAGTGGCTGAGATTATGAGTGTGCACCACCACACCTGGCTAAGTTTTTTCATATTTTTATTAGAGACAGAGTTTCACCATGTTGGCCAGGCTGGTCTCGAACTCATGACCTCAAGTGATCCACCTGCTTCAGCCTCCCAAAGTGCTGAGATTACAGGCTTGAGCTACCACGCACAGCCTATAAAGGTTTTCTATTGCCCTGTCCTGTCTAGAGGAGACATCATTACCTTGTATCAACTGTTCCTCCCTCTATGCACCATTTTGTTCTGGAAGCTATCAGTCTTCTTTTCCCAGGGAAAACAAGGTCCTGGCTTAGCTCTGATATTAGAAGTGTACAAGAAAAGAAAGAAAAGGAAAAAAAAGGAAACACTGGCATTTTCCAGAGGTAAATATGTTGGGAAATATTTTAAATATTTTCCTTGTGAAATCCTCTGTATCTGGCAAGCAGGGCTATGCCTGAATTCTCACTCAGTCCTCACCACTACCTTGGGGTTAGGTCCTGTCATAGTCTCTACAGATGAAGGAGGTAAGGCTTAGAGAAGTCAAGCAACTTTCCCAAAGTCTTGCAGCTTGTTAGTGGCAGAGCCAAGTTTAGAATCTAAAAATTCTGGATTCTTGACCCCGTCGTATGCCTGAGGCTTTTGCTGCTTCTCAGAAATGAGTCTTGGGGTAATGGCTCTTTAGCACTCAGTGACGTGTGATGTAGCGCCTTGAATAACGTACAATATCCCCCAGAGAAATGGGGATGGGTTTCAGTTGGCTCCACCAGGGGTAAATATAAGAGCATACCTCTTATATTGTCATAGGATATCTCATTTCAGATTTAGAGAGGGGCTTGTTGGTTTTCAAATTCCCCCATTTGTATGCATGTGACTACCTACATCCTTCTTTTTTCACTCATTTTAACTATGACTTTTCACTAACTGTTTGGGTGACTGCACTGGAGAAAAAGTGTGATGTGGACATCCTTCAACTCCACTCTGCTTCCCTAGTGAAAGAGGCCTTTGATTTGCAGCAGTAGCTCCTGTTCGCCGAGCCTGGTACAGCCCTGACTCTCAGTGCTCAAGTTGGCTAAAGCCCTGCCCTTTTCTGTCTGCTAGTAGCTGTTGAGGATCATGTGCGACATTTGAAAACTCAGCTCTGGCTTCACTTGCACTGGAGTTGAAAGGCGAAGGGGGTATCTGGGCACCACCTAAAAATAGGGGGAGATTAACTCTCACTTTATGTTTTAAGCTTTTATTACATAATCAGCATCATGCTATTGGTGTTATATTAACTCTATATAAGAGGAAGGAGAAAATCCAGCCATAATCACACCACATGCATTTGGATTCACATTTCCAAAAGCTCCAATGCCCCGGGAATTCTGAGATGGAGGGCAGGGCAGGGAAGGGAGCAAAATCAATGAGAGGTGATTAAGGTGACCTGAGGTGGCAGGAGTCAAGCCAACGCACGGGCTCAGTTTCAGACTCATTTTCCCTTAAGACTGAGCTCTGGCATTGCCTTCTCCAGAAAGCCTTCCCTGGTGTCCTCCTTGTCAATAGCCAGCGGTATTAGGTGCCTCTCTCCACCCACACCACAATGCCTTACTTGGGTCACTGTGCGCTTCCCGCATTATGTCATGACTGTCTATTTATGTGCATGACTCTCCCACTGGACTGTGAGCTCCAGGTGCTCAGGAATGTATTTTGTTCATCTCTTTATCTCTGGTGCCTGGCACATCTGAACAGGCCAAGAAATGCTGGTTGACATAGTCATTAAGCTAAGATGCTGGACATAGGGGTCCAGGTAGTGACTGAAGATGGCATGCATTGAGACTCAGACAAATTTCTAAAGTCTGCAGGGTGGAGAACAGCACGGAGTCATGAAGTGTGTTTTCCATGTCTGATACAATATGTTTTATTTTATGTATTTTCTGTGTGCAAGAGAGAGAGCAGGAAGATTTGACTGTGTCTTACCAGTGGCTGGGAGATCTCTTCTCACGTTAGAAGAGACTTGAGGAACATGAGCTGGGGCTCTATTTTTTCCTTATGACAATGTGAGCTCCCAACTCTGGACTCCAAATCTAGTGCTCTCTTCTTTAGCCTGCAGGAGGGCAGGGACTGTGTCTTTTTTCGTATTGGTGCCAGGTCACAGAGTTGGTGCTCAGAGAACATTTGTGGAATGAGTGGCTGAATGAATGAACAAACATATGGAGGAAGGAACTCTTGCCATCCAGTGAGATTCATCAGGGAAGGCTTGAGGGGATGCGCATTGAGCGTAGCTATGAAAGAGACAGGGGCATGGGTTGGCGAAGATGCCGAGAGGACTCTGTGGTTGAGTGGTTGGAAGAAGGCTGTTGGTGCCCCTCTTGGTGCCTACCCTAATGAGATGGCCAGGCTGATGCTGACTTGGAAGGGCCCTGTCTTGGGAGAAGGGAGGGTGGGGAACTGAGGGAAGTCATACAAAGACACAGGCCCAGAGAGGGCTTCCCCCTTATATTCTGCTTCCTTTCCTCCAGAACTTGGAGACATTACTAAGATTCCTTGAATCCCTAGGGCAGGGTTGGGGGTGGGGTGGTAGTGGGGGCAGTTCTAACAAATGAGTCTGGACAGAGGCATGTGGAGTGTGGCCCAGAGAAAAGGGGAGGAGGGGAAACATATATTGCAAGCTTGGAGAGAAGGAAGTTCTATTTTGGGTGACTTTAAATCCCAGCCCCTCTGCCGGCCAGATTCACAGCAGACCTCCCCCCTGTGCAGAAGATTCCCTCATTCTCAGTTCTGTGCACTGGCTTTGGCTCCATTTTGGCTCACATCGCTGCATCCTTTAAGACTTAGTTCATTCATACTTTGGTGTTCTATCTCTTGGTATGCTTGCCTGCATCTAAAACCTCCCCCCAGCCTTCCAGCCTTCTTAAAGAAGGCATCCCTAAATAACAGCAGCAAAAATGACATCTACAGTTTATCCACATTTCTGCTATGGCCCTGCACCACCCTGGGTGCCTTATGTGTCCTTCAACTCACAAGAAAAACGCGAGGTCATTATTACTGTGATCTCTAGTTGACAAATGAAGACACTGAGCCCATGACAGGTCAAGTAAACCAGGCAAGGTCATATTGTTAGTTGGTGGCAAAGCTGTACCTAGAACCCAGGTATGCCTAACTCCAAAGCTCCATTGTCATCTCTTCTCACAGCTACAGAGCCTTCTCTCTAAATCAGAAACTCTGGGGTGGGGCCCAGCAATCTGCATTTTAACAAGCCCTCCAGGAAATTCTGATGCAGGATAAAGCTTGAGAACGGCTGGTTTGGCTGATCTGGCTCCGACCTGGCTGCAAATCTCCACGTCCACCCTAGATTTGGGGGAAAGCCCATTTGTTAACTGCCATTACTCATCCTTACTATTCTATTTACTAGCTCCGGATAGAGGGCAAGATACTCAAGTTTCCTGAGCACTTGTTTCCCTAGCTGTAAAATAGGAACAATTCCAGCTCTTCTAGAGGCACTGCCCTGGTTTCTGGTTTCCAAGAGAAGATCTTCTGTGAGTGGCTGTCAATACTCAGCACCTTAGCATCACCTGGGGGAACTTTTACAAAATATTAATGCCCACTCCCTCCCTTCCCAGACTAAGTCAACATCTCTGGGAGTGGGCCTGGGGCATGAGTAGCTCTGATGTGCATGTAGGTAGAGAAACCTGCTGCCCACTCTCAGGCTTCTCCCTTCCTATCACTTCCTCAAAGGAAGAGCCAAGGCATCTCCAACTGGTGACTCTCGAAGAAGTATGAGCTGGGCCTGTCAACTGCCTCCCCCGTCTCTCTTGGATCTGCCACCTGCAGGGTGGGTGCATCTTGGCAGTGGGGTCAGGAGCTTGCTCCTATGGGGAGGTCCATAGTCCCCATCCTATGCCAGTGATTGGATGTGTGAATTGGCGTCATTCATGGGTGGAATATTAGGAGTGCATTTGGCCAGTAAACCCACATCCTTCCAACAGCTCTATCATAAACATAGCTGCTATTCTCGAACTCCTGACCTCAGGTGATCTGCCCACCTCAGCCTCCCAAAGTGCTGACCAATATGATGAAACCCCGTCTCTACTAAAAATACAAAAATTAGCCAGGCATGGTGGCATGCGCCTGTAATCCCAGCTACTTGGGAGGCTGAGACAGGAGAATGGCTTGAACCCGGGAGGCAGAGGTTGTGGTGAGCCGAGATCGCACCATTGCACTCCAGCCTGGGCAACAAGAGCGAAACTCCATCTCAAAAAAAAAAAAAAAAAAAAAAAGAAAAGAAAAAAAGAAATGGCTGCTATTTTGACCTTTATCAGGGGCTTCATGTGTCTGTTTCTCAACTGGTCCTGAACTTGAGCATGAAGGGGAAATTTTTATGTATGGCCCCTACAAAACCCCAATGCCATATATTTTACAGAGTTATTGCTGAATTTAATGAGATGGCATATTCAAGCCAGCTAGTTAGTTGGTGGTCAGTAAATGTTTGCTGCACCAGAATCAAAACAGGCCCCCTCTGATATCAGCCTTACACTCTCCCTGTGGGATGGACCTCCCAGCCTCAAACCACCTGTACCACCAGCCCATGGCTGACAGATAATTCCCTAATCACCACTTCACTCAAGTCAGTCCACACGGATGCTTCTGGTAGGGATTTGCAGAAGATCTGCAGGTGAGAGAGTAGAATGGGGCTGTTTGGTTAAGCATGTCTGGGCTCTAGGCACAGTGTTGCCAGCAACTAGCAATCTGACCTCACCTGGTTGCCTCAGCCTCTCTGGGGCCCAATGTCTTCATTTGTCAACTAGAGATCACAGTAATAATGACCTCACATTTTTCTTGTGAGTTGAAGGAGGACACATAAGGCACCCAAGGAGGTGCATGGCCCATAGAAGAAACGTGGATAAATTGTAGATGTGGATTATTATTGCTATTATTATTGAAGATGGCACCACCTTTTCAAACAAATTCCCGGGTGATGCTGATGCTGCTGGCCCAGTGACAAATTTTAAGATAACCAGCGCTCAATGAAAACAAAACGCAGGTGAGCTCTGACTTTTGGGAATTGTAGGGAGAGTGGGCTGGTTGGTCGAGGCCTTGCCTGACCTGGATGCAGTCCAGTGTTTGGTAAACTTGCCTACAAATTAGTGTCACCTGGAGAGATTTTACAACTGTCAGAGCCCAGAAGAGTGACCAACCATCCCAGTTTGCCTGAGACTGAGAAGGTTCCTGTGATTTGGGACTTTCTTTTTTCTTTTTCTTTTTTGAGATGGAGTCTTGCTCTGTCACCCAGGCTGGATGGAGTGCAGTGGTGTAATCTCGGCTCACTACAACCTCCACCTCCTGTGTTCAAGTGATTCTCCTGTCTCTGCCTCCTGAGTAGCTGAGATTACAGGCACACACTACCACACCTAGCTAATTTTTGTATTTTTAGTAGAGACAGGGTTTCACCATGTTGGCCAGGCTGGTCTCAAACTCCTGACCGCAAGTGACCCACCCACCTCGGCCTCCCAAAGTGCTGGGATTACAGGCGTGAGCCACCGTGCCTGGCCAGGACTTTCAGTTTTAAAACTAGGGTGATCTTGGACAAACCACGATGAACTGCTCACCCTAGTGGTCCCCCCTCTCTCTCCTCCCACAGAGATTGTTTTAATTGGTTCAGGTTGGGTCTAGGCTAGGCATTGTTTTTTTTTTGTTTTTTTGTTTTTATTTTTTTTAAATGCCCCGTGATTCTACTTTGCAGCCAGGCAGGAAAACCTGAGGGATCCGCTCATAACTTTGGATAGAAAGTGTGAATTGTTAAAAGGTTTGTAAAAATTCTGGCGAAAAAAGAGGAAAGAGAAACGGCAGTAAATTAAACTGCCTGCATCCAAATCTCCTGGGGAACTTGTTAAAATGCAGATTCGTAGGTCTTCCCCCCAGATCTGTTTACTTAGAAACTCTGAGGGCAGGGCCCTGGAATCTTCATCTTTCGTAAATGCACTAGGTAGACTCAAAATGTGCACTTAGTTTGAGATGTTCTGTTGAAAGTGGAAAAAACAGGAATTAAATTGAGAGAAGAGAGCTGGGAAACTCAGGATATTGTTTAAGCAGGTAGTCTGTTCAGTGGTTCTGACCTGAGAACCAGGCTTAGGACCTGAAGCCAAAAGGAAGAATGAGAAGGGTGCAGATGGAGTCCAGAAGAAAGGGGTCAGCCTCAGCCTGGGCTGGAGGTCAGCCAAGCTGGCAAGAAAGGACAATGCCTGAGAGAAATGATTCCAAGCTTAGAGCATGTGCAGGCTCACAGAGCAAGTGTGAGGTGAGTCCACACTGCCAGCAAATCGCAGGAGGCTCTGCACAGCCAGCCTCCCAGAGGCCAGTGAGGGGAGCCCAGTGTTCACACAGGTGAGCACAGACTTGATGCAGGAAGCATTTCTAAGTAGAACCCAGTAGACTGGATATGAAGACTGGATAATCTATAAAATAGAGAACTGTGTGTGGGTGCGGGAGTACCTGTGTGTTGGGGGAGAAGAATGGGAGTTTAAGACAGCTGGGTCATGGCCAGGCGCAGTAGCTCACACTCATAATCCCAGCACTTTGGGAGGCTGAGGCAGGCAGATCACTGGAGGCCAGGAGTTTGATACCAGCCTGGGCAACATGGTGAAACCCTGTCTCTACACAAAATCCAAACATTAGCCAGGTGTGATGGTGCATGGCTATAGTCCCAGCTACTCGGGAGGCTGAGGCAGGAGGATCGCTTGAGTCTGGGAGGTGGAGGTTGCAGTGAGCGAAGATCGCACCACAGCACTCCAGCCTGGGCAATAGAGTGAGACAATGTCTCAAAAAACAAACAAACAAACAAACAAACAGGCAGCTAGGTCAGAACCT
The DNA here is from genome assembly GCF_000001405.40 of Homo sapiens. Classification (NCBI taxonomy): domain Eukaryota; kingdom Metazoa; phylum Chordata; class Mammalia; order Primates; family Hominidae; genus Homo; species Homo sapiens. Next base: position 39,840,274 of record NC_000006.12, read on the forward strand.
GCCTCTAATCCTGGCTCAGTCAGTTTTGTGCTTGTGACCTTGGGAAGGTTGCTTCACTTCACTGAACATTGGTTTCCTTAAAATTGGGATGCTAATACCCACATTTCGGAGTTTCTTGTGAGAATTAAGTGAGATAGTACATATAAAATACCTGGCATATAGCAGTATTTAAGACAAAGGAAGAGTTAAAGATGCTTCTCTGTCTTTGAAGTTCGGGGTGGTCCGAAGGGGGAAGGAAAGGAGAGGTTAGTTGTAGGGGAAGTTGGTGGCACCAGCATTGGCACATCTGAATAGAAATGTAGATCGTTGGAAATATGGAGCTGGAGATGAGGGAAAGGAGAATTTTGGAGTGACCATTGCTGAATTAGTCTGAAGGAAGGAGATGGAGGGGAGTTTTGGAGGGGAGAGGATACAGGAGAAGGCCAGACATCCAGGGTCTGCACCTTGGCAAAGCCCTGGTCTATCTACTATGTGCCAGGCTCTGTGCTGAGCACCAGGGTTCCCATTACACTGTGCGACACTGTCCCTGACCTAAGAAGATCACAACCCAGGGAGAGTGGCTGTAATTCAGGAAACAATAGATCTGCCTGATGTTTGATTATGGGAGAAACACAGGATGCTAAGGAGGAGGAAGGGTGGCCGGGATGGCTTCCAACAGGAAGTGAGGCTTGCTAGGTGTTCCGGCTGAGGTTCCAGGGGAGGGGCTCCAGGAGGAGGGGATCTGGGGGGTAGGGGTCCCACGGGGAGGGTTCCATGGGGGGAAGCTCCAGGGGCAGGGTTCCAGGGGGAGGGGCGCTGGGAAGAGGGGCTCCAGGGGGAGGGGTTCCAGGGTAGAGGGAACTCCTTGGGGAAGGGTTGGGGAGGGGCTTCTAGGGCGAGGGTTCCAGGGGGAGAGGCTCCAGGGGGAGGGAGTCCCAGGGGGAGGGTTCCATGGGGAGGAGCTCCAGGGGCAGCAGGGTTCCAGGGGGAGGGGCGCTGGGAAGAGGGGCTCCGGGGGGAGGGGTTCCAGGGTAGAGGGAACTCCTTGGGGAAGGGTTGGGGAGGGGCTTCTAGGGCGAGGGTTCCAGGGGGAGAGGCTCCAGGGGGAGGGAGTCCCAGGGGGAGGGTTCCAGGGGGGAGGGAACTCCTTGGGGAAAGGTGGGGGAGGGCCTCCAGAGGGAGGGCCTCTACATGGAGGGATTCCTGGGAGGAGCTCTGACCTGAGTGGCTTCGGCTGAATCAGAGAGGCTAGAGAGAGCTTGGAGTTCTCAGGGCAGGTGGATCAGATTTCACATCGTTCACAACTTGAGGAGGGAGAACTGAGAAAAGGCTTCTGAAGGGGTGACAGGATGGAAAAAGGTGACACACAGCAGGCACTTTCCAGGATGAGGTGGGTAAGTGGCTTCAACACTGGGCACTGAGGAGGGAGATCCCTTCAGTGGCAATAATCGGGGTAGAGCTTGCAAGGATGTCTGGGTTGAAAAAAGGCAATTTAGAAATGGGGAGTCCATTCAAGGACTGTTCTCAGGGCTTGAGGATTGGCCTGTGTTCTCAGAGGAAATCTCAGCTTCTGTAGCCTGAAGTCCTGGAGCCAGAGTCTCGTTTCCGTCAGAGAAAGCATCCCTCAAAGCACAGAGACGAAAAATATCTCATACCTTTTACATGCAAGATGCCTTTTGTTGACAGAGAGGAGGGGGAAATTAAAAACAGAAATGAAACAAACAAATGAAAACATCCTGCATTTATCTGAGAATTCCAAGACCTGATTTAACCATGCAGGTTTATAAAGAAGCATTCCTTTGCCACTTGCTGAGGGTCACTTGAGAAACCTATTGAGGGTGCCTGGCCAAGGCCTGGATGCCTTCATGGATTGAAGGACCTGAGTCATTGGCTGGGCCATGAAGGTTCATTCCTGGGGTGTTAACCACTTTCTCCACTCTGCCTCTCCCCACACGCTGCTGTTAGATGTCGTTCCTTTAGGAAGAGCTCACGGAGGACTGAGGACCTGCTGCACACATTCCACTGCGCCAGGAGCTATTCTCATGGACTCAGAGTCTAGATGGGGGAGAAGTTAATTGGTATAAAAAACATACACGTGGCCAGGTGAGATGGCTCATGCGTGTAATCCCAGCACTTTGGGAGGCCAAGGCAGGAAGATCTCTTGAGGTCAGGAGTTGGAGACCAGCCTGGCCAACATGGTGAAATCCCGTCTCTACTAAAAATATAAAAAATTTGCCGGGCGTGGTGGTGCATGCCTGTAAACCCAGCTACTTGGGAGGCTGAGGCAGGAGAATCGCTTGAACCCGGGAGGCGGAGGTTGCAGTGAGCCGAGACTGTGCCACTGTACTCCAGCCGGGGCAACAGACAGAGACTCCGTCTCAAAATAAATAAATAAATAAAAATAAAATCAATGAATACAAGATATTAAATAACGTATGTAATGAAGTATATAATGAAGTGTCCTATAAACAGCAGACAAAAAGTGCTTTGAGTTTATTTAGGAGAATGCAGGTAGGTTGGAGTGGTTAGGGAGGCTGCTTGGGGAAGGTGGCATCTGCAGTGGGGATGGATGAGAGAAGAGGGGGAGGAAGCAGGGGAGGTGGGCATGAGATTGGGGTGAGGGGTAATGTTGAGAATCCGCATGTGGAACGAGCAAGTCTATTCTTTACTATGTTTCAAAGCTAAAATAGTCTCCTGCTTTTATTATTTAATTTCAGAAGGATGTAGAAGCTTCGTGTATGCTTAATGTCATGTCATCACATTGATGATATGTCTTATAATTGATAGGGTCAAGAATTCAGGAAATATAGCAATTTATTTTTTATCATACCAATTTTTAAAAACTTTATTTTTTAAATTGACAGATAACAGTGTAGCAATTCATTTAATCCTTTAGCTCTTATCAAGTTCCTGCTGTGTGTATGGAAAGAGCACTGCGGGGGGAGTTGGAGATAAAAATGTCCCTGCCCTCTAGGAATTTCAGTCCCTTGAGCAATGGTGCATTTAAGGAGGAATGAGTGGGACAACATGGTCGGAAAGCAGGGAGTGTGGAGTGGAGGAGTGGGGTGCGATGGGGAAGAAAGATCAGGGTGGGGAGTAGTCCAGCAGTTACTGAGATGTAGATCAACGCCGCTTGAACAGGAAGCCACCCCAGATTAAAGTAACTTGTCTCTGTTCAGTCTTGACCATTCAGGGACTGTGGGTGACATTTTTGGAAACACACAAGGAGTGGCCAGCCAGGCCGCTCTTCCTGGGAAAGGCTGCCTGCGCTGGCTGCTGGAGAAGATGGGCAGGGCCAGCTGCATGATTTGCGGGCCCAGCACAAAATGAAAATGCAGGACTCCTTGTTCAAAAATTATTAAAAGTTTCAAGATGGCAATAGCAGAGCTTTAAACCAAGCGCAGGGCCCTTCTGAGTGTGCCCAGCTCGCATGCCCAAGAGGCCGATCCTGAAGGTGGGACAGCCTGGACCTTTCTGTGACTAAGTGTGTGGTGAGACGATGGGGCCCAATTGCTGCCTGTGAGTAGGTACAGGGTTTGGTCATGCAAGCACTGAGTTCTTTCCTGTGAGCTGGGATGGGGAGATGGGGAAGAGATGGGAAGTGCACCATAGGAGGTGCTGTGGCTGTGGGGATGCGTGTGGTGTACAGTGATGCTGCCATTTACGAGCTGTGTTCTGCTTGCAGTGGGAAGGCTGTATCTGAATGTTGGAATCAGTCAGACTGAGGTCACATGTTTTATCAACTTTACTAACTTGGGCAAGTTACTGATTTTCTCTGAGCCTTAATTTCCTTATATGTAAAAATGGAGATCATATTACTGCTTTTGCAGGATGCTAGCATACTTAAATAATAGTTGTAAAATTTTGAGCCTAGCCTAGCTTTTAATAAATACTAGTATTCTCTTTTCTAGAAATGTGTGAAATATTTATGTTTTAAAGCATGGAGCATGGAATAGTTTGGAATATATTATTGTCAGCAACTTTCTTTTTCTATTTCAAGCTCAATGGGGATGCAGCTAAAACCTACCACCCTGATTTCAAATAGCAGAGGTGGGGGGTTGAGGGGAGGTATGCCCCATTGTAATATACACCCAAGGGAAACCCAGTTACATCTGCTGGACACACACACACACACACACACCCCACCCAGAGCTAAATCGAAGCTGGGTTGGAATGTGATACTGTGTTACAGGAAGAGCCCTAGTTTGGGCATCGTCTCCTGGTTTTGAACCTCAGGGTCCTCATCGGTCAAAAATTCTGACCTCTCTGGGTTGTTGTAAGATTAAATGAGATGCATGTGTGGATACTCAGTCTCCGGTCTATGGCGGATGTAAGCGTCCTTTGAATGAGTCTGTGCTCCCAGGCCATAGTGTGGTTCATGGGAAAAAGAAGAAAAGACATTGCCTTCTCAACAGTAACATTTCCTAAATATTATGCTTGGGCAACTCCTTTATAAACGAAGAGCGGGCTGATCAGAAATTGGCACGGGGGCTGATTTCCAGCGATCTTACTGTTTCCTCTGCTCATATACTTTGGGGAGTTGCCTGGGAGTTCTTTCTACTTAGATTTGGAAGTCGGTACAAGCATGTGTGTTTGCTTTTTGGAGATGGACACATATATGCATACCATACATGCACACATACATCACCTACACCCCTCCACCACACATACATACACCACACACACCACACATATACACCATACACATACCACATGTACACAAACCCCATCACACACACTACACACACCACACATACACACCCCCCCACACATATACATACACCACACATGCACATATACATCAACTACACCCTTACCACACATACATATACAACACATATATACCATACACACATACCACATGTACCCAAACCCCATCTACACACACATTACACACATATACACCACACATACACACACCACACACATACACATACACCAGACATGCACATAAACCATCTACACACACATCCACACATGCTCATACATTACACACATATCGCACATACACACCACACATACACAAACCCCATCTATACACACATCACACAGATACCACGTGTATACACCACACATACACATCCCATACACATCCCATACACATCACACATGCACAAACATACACATATACACACACCACACATACACATTCCCTACCTACACACACCACACACTCACCACACACACCGCACACATACCACAAATATATGTACCACACCACATACACATATACCACACATGCGCATACACCAAGTACACATACCACACATATGCTACCTACACATACATAAACATACACCATACCACATACACACATAAATACATACCACACACACATACCACTCCCCACCGCTTCACCCAGAGAGTCAAAGATATGCATTCATGTCTTCTCTCTCCTCCTCCCTCTCTCTTCCTGTCTTTAGTGAGCATCTCCTATACTTGCTTGTCCAGTGCACAAGGACTCAGGGTCCTCCTGGACCCCACTCAATCCACATCCCTCCCGATGCTTTGTCCTGAAAACTCCGTTTCACAGCTCCCATTCCTAGTCCTCTTTGCCATCTCGTCTGCCTCTAATAAATTTCTGGAGTGTGACCTAGGCTGTGAGTGCCCTGTTCTTATCCACCCAGGGCCCTAGGCTGCTGTCAATTCAGCTGAACTCAGGAATGCAGAATAACTCGAGAAGCACATCATTCAGAGAGCTGTTTGCAGGGTGGCTAGGAAAGGGGGAAATGAGAGAGGTTGGCCCTGGTCTCAGCACGGGATCACGTGGGGCTGGTTTGGAGCCTGGTATTTGGGAATAAAACAAATGCATCCAAGGCGTTTTAGAAAAAGGTGCTGAGAATCATTCACAGGATGGGGCATTAGGGATTGAAGACAAAGGACAAAAGGGACTCTGAGCTTGGGAGACTATAGCTCTGTAAGGGCAGGAGCTGTGTCTGATGAGTTTACCTGCACGTACCCAGCCCCAAGAGCAGTGCCGGGCATACAGTAGGTGCTAAAAATCAATGGTGGTTGGATGAATAAATGAGCAAATGAGTGAATGATGAACTAAAGGGAGTTCATGGGATAGGATTCAATTCAAACAGCATCATTTAACGCCTCATATACTGTCTGACACAGATTCTAGTGATGGGGTAGAAGAAACTACTAGACAATATGTAGTTTGACTGGCTCATTTACAGACAGGGCCCAAAGTACTTATGTTCTCTTGCCCAAGGTGTTTTCAATCTCCTATGGCATCAATAACCCTATGTTGGACTTCTGTTCTTGATCTTTGGTAGCATCTCTGAGTATTCCCAGCTCTCATTCTACTCTACGACGCCTCCTCTAAACCATGTTTATGAGCAGAAGGTTTAGGGTGGACTAGAACCCCCGCTGGGCTACAGTTCTGCAGACATTCCGCAGATTCAAACCTTTGTACTTCCCTTATCATAACCACATCCACGCTTTTTTTTTTTTTTTGAGACGGGGTCTCGCTCTGTTGCCCCACATCCACACTTTATTATATTTATTTGTCTCTCTTCCCAACCAAACTGAACTCATGCTTATTTTACATTTTTACAGCTCTTAGCATGGTACTTAGGGGCCCAACAAATATTTGTTTGAAAGAACGAATGAAGTGGTGAAATTGTACACACAACATTTAGGAGGAGGAAAGGAGTCACCCTGGATCTACATTTTCAACCACATTTGCCTTTCAGGGGCCAGCTCAGCTCCCATCCTACCCCCTAGTTACTGCCCCATCCCAGTCTGCCCTCCCTGAGGAGATGGACTGTGCCTGTGGGTCCTGAGGCAGGAGCAGGGGCCTTTCTGGTAGAAAGGCAGGAAGGTCACCTTGTACTGCAGAAGGCACAGCCCCGGGGGCCAGGTGGGGCCATGTGCACAGGCCCTGCTGTGTTTCTAGGGCAGAGTTGGCCTGACAGAACCTCAAGGTCCTTCCCTCAAGAGTGACAGAATGCTTTTTGTGCTGGGACCCTGGGAGAGAGGATCAGGAATAGTAGCCAGTGGGGGCTTCTCCCAGTCCTGGGCTGTGGAACGGTGCTGAGGCCTCAGCGATGGGTTGCTCTGGTGGGAGAGCTGGGAGTGGAGCACAGAAGAAAGCTGGAGGCTCCTTTCCCTGCGCCTTTCAGTAACAGCAACCCCGTCTGTGTGAGCCGGAGGAGGGGCTTGGCTTCTGGAAGCAGAGGGGGCGAGGCCTCGGGTTCTCCTGTGTAGGGTGATTTCCCTTTGGCCAGGAGCCCCAGACTTACGGCGCTAATGGGTAGCAGAGACATGGGCGCTAAAATTCCTTCTCTTTCACTTCATAGCTGTTGCCCAGAGAGCTCTCCATGCTCCCCAGGTTCATAGTCAGCCCAGGTCCTTGCTCTGTGTGTCCAGCCCCTCATCCTCTCACTCACGTGCCGGCACCCCTCCGTGGCACCACCAGCATCCACCCCTTCCTCTCTATTCTTGGCGGTTCAGGGTCTCATTCCCTTCTACCCAGACACACAGACTTGCCTCCCAACTCTTCCACTCTTCCACTTCTCCCTCTTGTCTTCCCACCCCATACAGTGCCACCAGAAATGTCTCTTCTAATCTCAGACCTCACAAACTCTCTCCTCTACCATAAGTCAAGGAACTAATCAACAGCAAGCCACACACTCTCCAATGGCTTCTTCCTTCTTCCCCTGGCACTCAAGGCCCTCCTTTTTCTGGCTGTAGTTTTGGTTCCCACTGCACCTTTTTGAGCCCTGAGAGGTGCAGTGGAACCACCCTAGTAGAGCTTCTCATTCATCTGGGCTGTCGTTGTGCCAGGTTCTCACTCTGGCATGCCACTTGTTGAGAATGCTTTCCTGGACACCCCTGAGCCCCTGGCATGTGCTGACGCCCTCTCTTCTTCTGAGGCCCAGCTTCATTGACACTTCTTCTGGTGAATGTTCCAGATCCTTCCAGCCAGAAGTCACTCTTCCCCACCTACAGTCCCAGGGCCTGGAGCCGCACCTCCTTGCCTCCCTTACATCCTAGGATCTGATGTCAGGCTCATCTAAGATACCCAGAACATTGCTTTATACATGGCATTTACTCGGTGGGTGGGTGGATGAATGGATAAATGAATGAATGAATATTTGACCATGACCTTGGAGAACTATCATCTGCTTGTTTAGTGCCCTAGTGAGTCAAAGAAACCTTTATTCTCTTTATCATTTCTCAAAATGAGAAAAACAGTTGGAAAATCCTCAACTCCCACCCTCACCCCCAAGTTTGAGAAATGCCACTCTGAGGGATTTTCAGTTTCACTTTTCTGGAAAGACGTTCCTTTCTCTCCTTCCTCTTCTCGGGTCTCAGCGATGCCCCCTGTGTCTCCCACCCCTAGGCCTGCACAGAGGGGACTCAGAGGCCGAGATAATTTACTTTTGCTTTCTTTGCCTTTTCCAGAGCATAGGGGGAAACCGTAATTTAGGCGGCTGCTAAGAATAGCTCCCCCAATCCTGGAAAGAGCGTGTGCTTATTTTTGAAAGTGCTCCTTGTCTCTCCCCCAGCCCTGCCTGAGGCTCACAGTACAAGTCAGTCAAATTGTTCAGGGCAGCAGTGGTGTCTGGAGACCTGGTTTGAGTTCCTAGGTTCATACCTAGCGTCCTTCTGAGCCTCAAGTTTCTTCGTCTGTAAAAAGAGAAGATGAAAGTTTGAGATAAACCTCGAACATGGTAGGTGCTCAATAAATAATTACATCTTTATTATGGTTGGAATCACTAGATTTAGAGGGCAACGCTCTCAATGGGTCAGATAGTACAAGTGAGGAGCCAGTACGATATATTAAGTGGAATCATATGAAATCGGTGTTTCTGTGGACTAAAAATAATTGGATATTGTCAGTTGCGTAGGAATCAATCCAGTAATCCAGGAGTTGGCAGTCTTTCTATAATGGGCCAGATAGTAAGTGTTTTTGGCTTTGTGGGCCATACGGTCTCTGTTGCATGGTAGTAGCCGTAGACAATACTTAAATGAATGTGCATGACTGTTCCAGTAAAACTGTATTTGGGAAAACAGTCCGTGGGCTGAACATGGCCCCTGTAATATCTGCCAAGCCCTATAGTAATATGTAAAACTAATGAAATTACAGAAAGAAAACTCTCTGTAATACCGTCAACATTCAGGTATCTTCGCAAGTAGAACAGCAGCTTATCTGTGTAGCTATTAATAGTCTTTACTTTTACTAGGCTCTATTCCAAATGCTTTACAAATATTAACTACTTTAATCCTCCTGACAACCCTATGAATTATGTACTATTATATTTCCCCTGTTTTATGGCTGAAGAAACTGAGGCTCAGAGAGGCCAAGTAACTTGTTTGAAGTCACCTGGTTAGAGTTGATGGCAACTGAACAGAATTCAACTGAGTGTGTAGGGTAGAGTTGGGTGATGGTAATTCAACAGCTTCAGGGAGGAAGTGGATGGATTAGAGCTAAGAGGAATCCCCAGGTCTGCTTGCTGTCCACCAGCTTGAGGAGATGGTCTGCAGAGGCTTGGGGTGGAAGCAGGTGTGGTGTAGGTGGGCAGTGGGGAGATGTGTGGGCAGAGAGTCTGGTAGTGTCTCTTGGGACACGAGATGGAAAAGCATAGATTCTTCCTTTGGGAGCCAGGCCCCAAGCTGAGCCTGGGGCCATTTCCTGGGTGACTCCCAGCAGCACGTGGCACGTGGAGGGTCAGCATATAGGGAGCAATGTCCGCCTGTGGAGCAGGAAATTGTTTACATTCCTTATGTTCCATGCAGCAGCTCTGGGAAGCTCTGAGCCCCATTCCCAGCCCCAGCCCCAGGGGACCTGGTGGGGAGAGGAGGGCAAAGGAATAGGCTCCCCAGGATGCCCGCAGCTCTGCCATCAAACCAGGGTACTCGCATACCCTTTCCATTTGCTTTGCCTGTTGATTTAGCCACCAAAGGATGAAGCCACTGGTCAGGACTCTGGGCTCACACATGCTGTGCTCTTCCTTCTGTGCCTCTGCTTATGCCGTTTTCCTTGCCTGGATTGCCTTTTCCCTCCCCTTGCACCCTTCCTTGATTTTCTCCTCTCTTTCAAGGCTGGCTCAATGTCTGCTCCTCCTGGAAGCCTGCCCTGACTTCCCCTTTACCCCCCACCTCCCAGGCTGGACCCGGTCCTCCTTCTCAGGGCTGCCCAAACACCTCGTTCTCTAACTCTCCTTGTTGTCACTGCCTGGACTCTCCTTGCTTTCCCACTAGAAGGAGACTTTTAGGAAAGGGATCACACCTTGTTTACTCCTGGGTCCTCATCACAGGTCAGTGTTCAACACATGGCTAGAAGCTGGTCAAAAGCACATTTGTTTGAATGAGACACTACTGTCCTCAAACGTAGCCCTTTCACTTCTAAAACTTGGTCTTTGGGCAACTTGCCTGACCTCTGAGACTCTTAATGTCATCATCAGTAAGAAGGGATCGTGGTATCATTGTAGGGTTGGGGGAATAAATGAGATAATGCAGAAAATTATCAGTATAATACCTGGTTCTCAGTAGGTACCTTGGAAGTGACCAGGGACAGATAGTCAATACCATGTCCTTGTCCTGTTACCCCTGTGTCTGAAGGTAGGAAAGGAGGCAGTTTGATAGGAGGCAATTTGAATGTCCCAAAGCAATAGCATTTTCCGCAAGAGCTAGAGGAGGGGCTCATGAGTCAGCTTTGGTTCTGTGACAAGACCACTAGGCTTAGAGTAAGAATACTTACTTGTGAGTCCTAGCTCTATCTCTTAGCAGCTGGGTGTCATAGAGCAAGCCATGTAACAGCTCCTGAAGCCTCAATATTTTTATCTGTAAGAGGGTATAATAATAACCACCTTATAAGGTCATTGTGAAGCTGAAATGAGATTGCCCAGCTGTGAGAACACCTGGCCCAGCTCACAGGAAATGCAGAATCATGAATTATTAATATGAATCTGTGTAACACTTGAGAAAACTCTGAGCAGATCTCAGCTTAGGATACTTTCTGGACGTGTGCCTTATGGCTTAGTGGCTTACTGCTTTAGAGTCAGACAGTCCTGGGTTTGAATCCTAGCTATGTCCCTAACTAGCTATGTGACCTTAGGCAAGCTACTTAACCACTCTGAACCACAGTTTTTGTGGCTTTTGTTTTTGTTGTTGCATTTTTGGTTTTTTCTCCATAAGTTCTATAAAATGAAGCCAGTTATCTCAGAGAGTTGTCGAGGGAATAAAATGTCGACATAGCCAGTGTCTGGCATGTAGGAAAGTCTCAAGTGTTAGTATTATTCTGCTTCTATGTAAGACTGAGGGATAAACACTGATGATATGGGGCTTTTGAAGTCCTGAAATGTAAAAGCTGGTGTGTGCAGTGGCTAGGGGTTAGGGTTTGAGGGTAAGGGCTAGGATTGCATCTTTACCAACCAAATGGAAGGAATCAGCTCAAGTGGTAGGAAGTCCTTCCTGGCTCGGAGAGCAATGTGGGGGAAGCGCTCAGTACAGGCAGAGGACAGCCCCTTGGGAAGCCTTTGGGAATAGGATCGCGCAGGCAGTATGAAAGGTCAGAGCTGGGAAAGTCCTTGGAGGTCTTTAGTCAAACCCTGCCATTGCACAGAAAGGAAACTGAGGCCCAGAGAGACTAACACCATGGCCTGCTGAACTCCCGCTGGTGAGTGACAGAACTGGGACAGGCAATGTGCTTTCACTACAATGTAGAGGGACTGTGATGGTGATGGGTGCAGTCAGGCTGGAGCCACGAGAAGCGTTGCTTAACTGGCTGTGACCTATGGTTTGGTGTCTTAGGCCAGTTGGTCTGTGCTTGGGGACTAACAGTCTTGAGGAGACCTTGTCCCCACAGGAAGAGGGGAGGGAGCAAGGAGACAGGATGTGGAGGGCAGGGAGCTGCTGGCGCTGGGGAAGTTTTCATGGAGAGAAAAGTGGGTGGAGGTGGGGGCAGTTGAAATCTCTCTGGCCTGAGTTCAAGTCCACTTGGTTTCCTTGTGTCTTTGCATCCCCTTTTCTCCAAATTGCTTCTCAATTCTCCTCCGAGGTGGAAAACTCATTGTTCCTCTTCTAAAGAGGTTTTGCAGAAATGAATTCCTGTGGCCACTTCACCTTCTCCTCTCCCTGTCCAGGGCCAGTGATGAAGATTTGCTTATCTTTCTACCCAGAGATAGCTCAGAGCCCAGGGAAAAGCACAGCTCCCCTGGCCTAGAGGAAGGCAGAGCTGGGTGACTTCATAAATCTGGCCAGGCACATTCCCAGAATGCCAGGCCTCGGTCACCCCATCATTGCCTGGAGAAGCGCTGAGGCTTGCAGGCTCTGGGCAGGGCGAGTCTTACCTTGCTGGCGATGATGGGAATGGAGGCCCGCTGCAGGGTGGCGCTTCCTCTAGTGTCGCCCAGTGTGCTCCAAGCATTTCACTTCTATTACTTCCTGTACTCCTCACTGAAACCCAGCGAGGAAGACCCTGTGATCAGGGTGTCACGGATGAGGAAGCTGGGGCTTCAGAGGTGAAGAGTACTCATGGGCACTAGCTGAGAACACAAAGGTGGGGGAATCCCAGTCTCCTGACTTCAAAGCCTCTGCTCCCTACCCCACCCTGCTACTAGGAAGCTGGAGTGAAAGAGGTGTCAGAGCAGGAGCGGGTGAGGAATTAGGGTTCAGATGATGGAAGCAGCTCCTACTGATGAGGAGAAGGAGGCAGCATTTGGAGCCTCTATAAACCTCTCCTGCTCTCTAGAGGGATTTCTAAACTAAGCTATAGAGATTGATCTGCTCTAGCGGAGGGAGGCTATGGCTATGGGGGAGCTGAAGGCAAGGTAAGAAAAGCCCATTGACAGGGAAGACAAGGTCTGCTGGGGCAGTGACCGGACCACAGCCTGGCTGCTGGAATCCTGGGTTTTAATCTCAGCTCTGTTCCTAGGCCTGTGACCTCAGATAAGACAGTTCCTCTTTGGACCTCCATTTTCGGATCTCTACCATGAAGTGACCTGATTTCTAAGGCATCTTTTGGCAGAGAACCTGTGATTTTAGTCTTGGATGTTCAGATGGGGCCTTAAGAAAGGGAGGCAAGGAAAGACTTAGGGTTTGGTTGGGAGGGCATTGTCCTCAGGAGCATAAACATACTTGGGAGCTGTCATACATGCAGCCCCTCAAAAAGACACATATGCAGCAGCCCCCTGTATGCACGAGGTCCTTCTCTTGGGGGATGGTACTTCCTGTTCGCAGGGTCTGTGTCTACTTCTCCTCTCCTGAGGGCCACTGTGCCTCACTCCCCGTACTCAGGGGAGATGCTCTAATATTTAACAACAGGTATGGCACAGGCCCTGGCCAGTCAGAGCAATCATGGCTGTAAACAGCCGGTGTAAGACTGTGCCAAGGTGCACCAGCTATATGCCACCCCTGCTGCCATGTCTGATTCCTCTAGTAGAGCCAAGAAAGGTAAGAGGGAGACTAGGGAACAAGAGGCTGGGGAAGTAAAGGCAGAAAGAGGGGTCACAGGTTCTCCTTGTCCCTCCCTCATGGTGCTGTCATCCCAGCCTCCCCGCTGCCTCTCGGAGCTCCCTTCCCATGCCTTGTGCCCTGAACAAAGCAGTCTTGCTTGCCAGCTGCAGCTGCGTTCTGGAGGCTGATGGAACCAAGGGGATCTGGTCTGTATTCCATGTGATCATCCCACACTTGACAATGGGCAGGGGACCCCAGGGATTCCACCCCTACCTGCCTGAAGAGTTGGTGCTTTACTAACCCTAATGGTCAGAAACCAGGGCTTTGTCTTACTCACTCTCTGCCATTGGCTATCAAGTCCCAGGGGAACCCCAAAGTCCCCCTTCCACTCTGTTTTACTCTAATGCTAACCTACTCCAGGTCTTTGCTGCCATGTCCCTGGATTGCTGTGCTAGCCTGCTGGCTGCTTCTCCTACCCTCAGCCTCTAGGATGGTTCTCTTTTTCCTTACAAAGGTTCTTGATTGCTTATTAATTGCTAGTAGTCAAGATTTCCATCAGTATTTTTTGACTGATTAATAAGGACCCCTCTTTCCTCCTTTTCCATGAGAATAGGTCATTTCCCAAATGGTCAAGAAATATTTATTGAACCCCCATGAAGCACAAGGCTTTTATTGGCTATAGAAATGGGGATGGCTGTCAAAGAAGCAGGAGACACAGCTCCTGCCCTCCAGGAGCCCTCACGATATTTATGAGAGCCAGCAGCAAAAAGATAACCAGTAGTACAACGGCAATCTTCCATAATGTGTTATTTGAGGCTTTTCTGGGCCTATTAAAAATTCTGTCACAAAGTTTATAAAGAAAGAGAAAATGGAGCTGGTAAAAAATTCTAGAATGACAGTTAAAATAGAGCATGATGTATGAGAGGCCAGATGAGATTATACTAAATTATTAGCTAGGACTTAGGAAATAAAGCAGTGTTCTCTAGAAGTTACCCTGAGTTCACTAGGAACAAATTATGCCACATTTATATTGTTCTCTCTTTTGATAAGATTCTAGAGCTTGGTTCAAAGGAGTGTCATAGATTTAGCATATCTTGAGTTCTACAGGGCTTTAGGGGAAATCTCTCATGTTGACTTTATAGAAAAGAGGGCTAGATGAGAGCATAGTTACATAGATTTAGAGCTGGTTGAAGGACTGTCCCCTGAGAGTATTGATGAAACTTCCCTGGCATTCCTAGATCAGATTTTTGTGTCATTAGGGTCTGTGTCCTTGATGTGGTCAACATTTTTAGCAAAGATGTGCGTGATGACCACAGAGGCATTCTAATCTGTTAATAATCTGAGTCCAGGAGAAATAGCTAAGAATCAGAATTCTAAAATATCTTGACTGCAAACCGATGATACTCAACAGGGATAAAAACAGAATTCCATATTTATGGCCAAAAAATTAAGATCTATAAGTATGGGATGGGGAGAATCTTGGCTGGGTAGCAGTTTGGTGCATAAGCTATGGTCTCTCTACTGAACCCCCCTAGGTTGTCAGGAACGAGTGGTTGAGGATGATTCTGCCTCTCAGGAGGCATGTGTACTGGTTGTTGGATTGAATTGATCTAGAGGCCATGTGGCACCAATGACAGGGGTAGCGTTCTTTCTCAAGCTGGTCATCATTGACCTAGGCTTTCCTAGTGGCGAGCCAAAGCCTTGACCCTTTCTGTCCAATGACTACTCAGCTGTTAAACGTCCATCAGTTCTGGTCTCTAGACAGAACAGTGTTCTCTGTAGTTGCCTGGTATGAAAAGAAAATCTGAGCAGATTTCTTCTGAAAATCTGAGCAAATGTCAAATACCATTCCAATGATCAGTCCTATTTCTGTACCCAGGCTTCGCTCTGACTCCCCTGGGTAACTCTCTGAGGACAACTGGCCGCCTCCTTCTAGAAGGATCAGTGAACCACTGCCTGTTGCTATTTCACATTCATCCAAACATGCCTGTACAGAAAACTGAGCACAAAACTGTACAAGCCTCTGTAGTCTTCCGTCTTCCTCCTGCTCTGGAGACCCAGGCTGCAGGAGCTATGCCACATCATTAGCTCAGTGTTTCCTCTGCCAGCCTTCTTCAACTCTTTCCTCCCCATTGGTCCATGCCTTTAAATCAGTTATCCCCAGACCCGGAAATGAATCAAGTGAGTAAGTGAGCCTTGCTGGAAGCTGATCTTACGGAAGACAGGGAATAGGAGCCCGTCCACACATTTATGGAAAGTCAGCTCTGGTCACATGGAAGTCACATTCAGTGACCCCAGCCTTTGTCCTTCTCTGAGGGCAAGGAAGGGGAATATGAAAGTGTCTTGGCAGATAACACTCAGAGGACATGGTGGGGAGGATATGTAAATGCCTCCAGGTGGGAAGAGCTGGAGGGAACAGAGGGATGCTGTGGGAGGAGGGGCGACAGCGGGGTGGGTGGGGCTTTGCTATTGGGTTGAGGGCTCCCAGCAACCTGTGGGACAGAGGTTATGAAGGCAGAGTGACCTCTGCCCTGGCCTATCTGACTGTATGCCTGACCACCCTGTGTTCTCTCCTCTTGTCCAGATCACAATGAGGACCTAGGGCATCTGTCTGCTGACGCCCCCTGGCCTGCAGTGACCATGGCCCCCCGCAAGAGGAGCCACCATGGCCTGGGCTTCCTGTGCTGCTTCGGGGGCAGTGACATCCCCGAAATCAACCTCCGGGACAACCACCCTCTGCAGTTCATGGAGTTCTCCAGCCCCATCCCGAACGCAGAGGAGCTCAACATCCGCTTTGCAGAGCTGGTGGTCAGTGAGAGGGTGGGGAGAGACAGTGACAATGGGGAGGAGGGTGGATGGAGAGGCAGAGCTGGACAGAGGGCAGGGCCCCTGTGCTGGGGTCTCCATCTCTCAAAACTCCTCTTGGGAGGAGATAGGCCCCCAGGACACCTCAGCTATGTTGGGGAACCAGAGTCTCTCACTGGGATGGACAGCATAAAGTGTGTCCCCAGAAGAATGGTCCTACCTCCTCTCTGCATTGGATTGTAGACCACATGGTGCAGTAATTAGGTTATCATAGGAAGGGGCAGCTCTGGGTTTTGCAAAATAAGATGGTGAGACATCTCAAAGAACATCAGAACATTTGACGCCTTTCTCTCTTCTGCTCCTTGGAGTTTCCCTGGGATCTTTTAATGTCCGAGGCACAAAGAAGGGACAGAGTGGGATTCTGTGGGCAGACACTGGGCACCTCGGAACAGGGGATGATTGGCTAGGAACCTGGAGGTGGAAATGCCTATGTCATGCCTGGGGTCCCAGTTCAGGCCTGGGATGATTATGTGCTGTGCTTAGCAAGGGGCAGGCGGAAGCTCTGCCATTCACACCCGGACCAGCCTGTGCTGATTCCGCAATGCCCGCCCAGACCAGCTTTCAGACTGCCCTTGTGAGAAGCCCGTGTGTGTGCAGCTTTATACCCTGGCCACAAATAGACAGGCTAGGAAAGAAGCATGATTCCTTCTCTCTTTGGAGGTCTGGTGGTGAGACAAAGTCTGCACACCAAGGGAGGTCCCAGGCCTGGTAAAGAGCCATAAGTACATGTTCATCTACCATTAGCTCTTGGTCACTCATTCTGTGGTGGGCCATTAGTAAGCCAGTAAAGAAACAAGGCCATGTGGTTGGAATGTGGTTTTATACTTGTATTTGCTAATAGATATACCTGGTTAAGCCAATCCAGCTCTTTAAATAACAGGGTCCCTGAAAGATGAGATTATGCAGGTTATATGAGAAAGGTGTCCAGCTTCCTTGTCACATCAGGTTTAGGAAAACTCACTGTTTCCTGATTTTTTAGCTTTCCTCTGGATGGGGCAAGTGGTGGGGGCAAAGCGTTTGCTAGTGTAGAATAATATCTGGAGCCTGATTAGTGTTAGGGATATTTTCTTGAGTAGAGTGAGTTTTGAAAGAAGGACATGATAGGCAGTGTTCCTTTCTTTGGCTCTTTTATTCAACAGATATTTACTGAGCATCTTCAGGACAGGGACCCTTGCATGGCACTTTAGCAAAAACAAGGGTGAGTCAGACAAGTCTTGCCTGCAAGAAGAATAGCATCAGGTATCTCTCAAACAAGTGAACAATATTTCTTGGAGAGACTGCTGGGTGCTGGGCTGTATGAGGGTCCTAGGGATGTAGAGATGAGCCACCAGAGACCTCCCCTGCCTCCAAGAATGTGAAAGCCTAGTAGGGAAGACTGATTTTGAGGAGCAGTGACAAGTGTGATGAGTGCTAGGACAGGGAGCATTCTGGGGGTGGGGGCATGGGAGTGTCTAGCAGGGAGCTGTATTCTAGACTGGGAGAAGTCACAGTGGCCTCTGTGAGCAGTGACATTTCCACCGAGATGATTAGATCAGTGAATGAGGTTCAGGACAATGACAGAGGGTCTCCTGCAGAAGAAACGGCATATGTGAGTCTCAAGTCAGAAAGGAGCTGGGTCCTTTTGGGGTACACAATGAAGACCAGAAGAACTAAAGTTTTTGGATTAAACCCTAAGGGCAGTGGAAAGCCATGGAAGATTTTAAGTAGGGATTTGAGGTGATCTGATCTGCTTTTCTAAAAGACCACGCAAGGTGCTCTGCTAAAGAAGGGTTCTGGGTTGACCATTTGGAGGCTTTTGCCTCCTAATCCTACAGGTTAGAGAGAAGGGTGCCTTAGACTAAAGTATTAGCAGTGAGGATGGAGAGAAGTGGACAGATTCAAGAGCTGTTTAGGAGGAAAGATAATAGGACTTGGTAGGATCAAAGAGTGAGTAGGAATCAAAGAATACCCTGGTTTCTGACATGAAGTGTTGGATGGATATTGGGGCCCTGGGCAGGATAGGATATACTGGAGGAGATTCAAGTTGAGGGGGCTGGGATGATGAACTCAATCCACACATTCTTTCTGTACATCAGTTTCCTTATCTGTAAAATGAGTTGTTATAAGTTGTTATTTATTTATGAATAAACATTACATACTTAGAACAGTGCCTGGTACATAGTAACTCTACATAAGTACATCATAGTAGAGACGTACTGGAGACAGTGGGGCCCTAGGGTCTGGAGCTCAGGAAACTGTTGGCCTAGGGGTACAAGTTTGAGAGAGTTTGAGATAATAACTGAGTCCTGGGGAACAGGTGAGGGAGGATGGTGCCCTGAGGGACTTCTACATTTAAAGGTAGGATAGAAGAGGAGAAGTCATCAAGGAAGCCCACGCAGGAACATAGGGTGAAGCAGGAGAGACTGCTCAGGAGGGTAGTTGCTAAAGAAACCAGGGAAGTGAGGTTTAATAAGGACCGAGCAGTCAGCAGTCAGTCATGTGCTGCCTAGGCTGAGCAAAACCACCATTGATTTAGGGGTATAGAGACCACTGGCTGGAAAAGACAAGTGCATCAATAATCTGAATACAAGCTCACATGGAACTGCTCTGTAGTTCAGGAAGGGAGAGATTCTTCTTACCTGGGAAGGTCTACTGAAGACTTGCGGGAGGAGGCTGACACTGTGCCCTAGGAATTAGACCAGGTCCTTAGTGTGAGTGGGTGCAGATGCCTGTCCAGGTAGGACTCACTGTGTAAACAAAGGCACAGAAGTTGAAGAGGTGCAGAGTTTGTATTGGGAAATGTAAGGTGCATATAACTCTCCTTTTCCTTTTATTTCTGATTTTGATCGTGGGAAAGAAACCTCAAACAGGGTTCTGGGAATTTTGAGAAAGAACTTCCTGGGATATATAGAGAGCAGTTCTAGGGAAGAAATTTTGTTTGGGATTAAATCTGCAAGAGTCTTTAGTTCCAGAGGCAGGTGAACTGATGGGTATTATTTCAAATAATCCTTGTCTGTGCTGTCTGAATGGCAGTCCCTGGCCACGTGGGACTACTGGCTCATCTGAATTGAGATGAACTGTAACTGTAAAATGCACACCAGATTTTGAAGACTTAGTGTGAAAAAAGGAATGTAAAATATCTCATTATTAATTTTCTACATGATTTTATGTTTAAATGATTATATTTTAGATTTACTGGTTTAAAATATACTATGAAAATTGACTTCACCTATTTCTTTTAAATTTTTTAATGTGACTAGAAAAAATTGAAAATATATGTCGCCCATGTTATCTTTCTATTAGGCAGTTCTGATCTAGGTGAGAGAATAAAGTCTTAATATTCTCCCTTGAATAAAAGTATAGGGAAAAGATTACAGATATCAAAATTTAAGACTATTATACTTCCTTAGATATTGTTTTCACTGTTTATTGTATTTGAAAATATAAAGAGTCATAATATTATGCTTTGTTATGCTTAATTTATGCTTAATGCAAGTTTTGCTTTTGATTTTAAAAAAAGCACACTATGGTCTCCATGGCCCATTAACTAGTCCTTTGATTAGCCCTGGCATTGCTCATGAATGACAGGAGAGGCAGCTTCAAAAATAGAGCTTTTCAGGGGCCGTCTAGCACAGCAAAACCTTCAAATTCACCCTAAAATACCTATGGAGTTACCCCAAATATGACCTCATAAAGTTCCAGTTAGCTCCTTGGAAAGTTTGGACTAGCCTGATGGAGCCCCGTGCCTTCTCTTGCTGGTCCTGCAGTGGGAGGGGCTGCCTCCAGCAGGCACTACCTCCCTCGGAAGCAGATCAATGCCTCCCGGGGCATGGCTCGCCCATCCTACTCTGAGCAGCCCCTTGTCCTCACCAGCTCTCTCCAGCCTGTGCTAGGGCCTATGCTGAGTGTGGGGGAGCCAGAGAATGTCTAGGGCAGAGATTCGAAGGGCAGGTAGATGTGAAGGATGGGGCAAGAATCTGAGAGAGGCAGAACGAGATCTGCAGACAATTCCCTTCTTTGTTAGGCTTTGTATTATGGTGTCCACAAGCTTAAGAATGACAAGGGATGGAAGACAAGAGACCCCAGGGCGAGAGGATCAGGAGCTAGCAAAGCAATGCAGGCGATGGGCAGGGAACAGGGTGACCTGAAGCAGGAGGGTGGATTTGCAGAGACAAGGCTGGGGGTGGACAGGAAGTAAAGGGAGTGCAATAGAAGTCACATAGGGTTGGTTGAGGCAAGGGGATGGGGCTGTATCTCTGATAGAAAAAGAAATGCCCTATCATATCTTTGATGCTCTTCGGGAGGAAGATAGTAGTAGCCTGAGGAACTGATTTGGGGGAATTGTAATTTCCTGCAGGGCTGACTATTCTAATCTCAACCATCCCTAGTGTCAGACGTATTTTTTCTTATTGTCTTTGCAGGATGAATTGGATCTCACTGACAAAAACCGAGAGGCTATGTTTGCACTGCCCCCTGAGAAGAAATGGCAGATCTACTGCAGCAAGAAGAAGGTGCCCTCTCTGACCCCTCTGGCCACATCTCAGGGTTCATGGCATGGGGTGGCTCTTGCTGCCTTGGCATGCTCATGCATTCACCTGATGTTTATTACATGCCAGCCCTGTTCTAGGTGTTGGAGGAACAACAGTGAATAAAATAGAAAAAGGAAATTCTGCTGTCCTGGAGCTTACACTCAAAGAAATAGGATTCTCTTTTTCAAAAACGCTTAAAGCAGGACCTGCTGCATCCCAGGACTGGGGCTTGCTGGGAGACAGACAAAGAAGCAGAGTCTGGACTCTCTCGTGCCTGCTCCCAGGCATGGAGGGTGGGCATCATGGACCATACCTGGAGCAGCTTTGCTATAAGAAATCAGTTTGGGGGGCAGGGATGTCCTCTTTTGGATCTTTAGTCTCCACTCTGTCCCAGGCTAGGGCTCACACATCTGTCCATGTTCTCCTCAGCATATCCTCCCTCTCTTCTTGCTCATTAAAAGATGCTGTTAGCCTCCTGCTATGGCCCTCCCTAGAAAGGGGTATGCTGAGCTCCAGTGGGGCTTAATTGGACTTGATCTCCTCCCTTCTGCTTTCCCAGCGGCTGTGCATTCTTCTCTCTGCTGTCTCCATCTCCGTGTTTCTTCAGCTTGCCTCTGTCTCTACGTCTCTCTCTTGCCCCCTTTCTATTTTAGTCTGTTTCTTTTGCTCCTGAATTTTCTTTTCATGGCCTACTTTCCTCCTCTCCCCTCCACCCTCCCAGTTTTCAGACTTGAGTCCCAAGTCTAAAACTTGTTATTCTGCCCTCCTACATTGCTTTGGTGTTTGGGGACCAGAGCCTGGCTATTCCCACGCCTGAGGCTTAGGCTCCCTCCCTCCTGGGAGGAGACAGGAAGGTCTGGGCGGAGTCTGAGCCATGTATCCTTTGTGCTCCTGTGCCCCCTCATAGCTCTTCTCTTACTCTTCCTGCTGAAGACTTTATCCCATTCCGAGGTCTCCACACTGAGCCAGACTGACCTTGTAACATTGGAGGATTCAAATATACACCATTTCAGAGTTGCAGGAACCTGGAAAACCACACAGTGTCGATGCAGTCTCATTCTTTATTCTACAAATGAGGCCAAGAAGGCCTAGAGAGGCAAAACTCACCCACAGCCCACCCAGTCCGTTATGGCAACTGGCTGCCCATTGCTAGAACCTGAGACTGCTGGGGAAAATAGTGCTAGAGGCTGAGGACCTGTGACAAGAGGCATGGGCTGCACACGCTATGAGCCATTGTCTAGTATACTCAATGCATGCTTATTAAGCACCTGCAGAATATAACACTCTGTGTTTATGCATCTCATTGTGAGAAAAGCAGGTCTTTAAAAAGCTCAAATCATGGAAAGAAGGAAGGAAGGAAAGAAATTTCAGGCGTAATTAATCATATCTCATGATTCTCCATTTTCCAAATTGATTTACTATGGAGTTCCCTTAAGTTGGTCTCTTCTACAGCTGCTAAAACAAACAAACAAACAAACAAAAAAATGGCCAGGCATGGTGGCTCATGCCTGTAATCCCAGCACTTTGGGAGGCCGAGGTGGGCAGATCATCTGAGGTTGGGAGTTCGAGACCAGCCTGACCAACATGGAGAAACCCCATCTCTACTAAAAAAATACAAAACTAGCCAGGTGTGGTGGCACATGCCTGTAATCCCAGCTACTCGGGAGGCTGAGGCAGGAAAATCACTTGAACCTGGGAGGTGGAGATTGTGGTTAGCCGAGATCATGCCATTGCACTCCAGCCTGGGCAACAAGAGCGAAACTCCATCTCAAAAAAAAAAAAAAAAAAAAAAAAAAAAAAAGATTTATTAAAATAGAAGGCATCTCTCACTGCCTTCCAAACCAAATTGTAATTTCCCCACACACTTTCACAACCTTCCACCTTCCCACATGGCACTTCCTCTGTCTATAACACCCTCCCCACCTGTCTTAGCTGTAATGCTCTTTAATAGCCCAGTGTTCTTAGACCACTCACGCCAACCCCCTACAAGCCTTCTGTGTTGGATGGATCACCCCCCAAGGTCTGCTATGGGTGGCTCTACCATAGAACATTTACCACCCTTTCTCTGGCACTGGACTGTTACATGGAAGGCAGAGACCATGACTCTTTACTCCGTACTTTCAGAGCTCAGCACAGTGATTGGCATCTAGTAGGTCCCCATTCAGTGCATATGGCATGGGTAAATGACGAGCCAGCAAGTTTAGGAAAGGATGTGTTTGCCGACACAATTGTTTTTGGTGCTGATTCCCCTCCCCAAGGCAGAAGGCAGAATGTTTGGCCTTCAGTCATGGAGAATTTAACATGTATAACCATGATTAAATTTAACATTTAACCATGTGAAGTCATAAAGACCCAAACAAAGCAGCTTTTCTACTGGTCTAAGATTTGTATTTTGTGAAACAAAATAGAAAACATTGAGTGGATGGAGCTGAGAGCTGCAGGGCCCGCTGGCAGCTGGCAGAGAGGTGTTTTGTCAGGGAGGGTCTGGAGGAAGTTAAGTTTTCATGCCGATTTGGAAGCAGGAGAGTGGAGAAAGCAGATGGGGAGGAGCCTCCAAAGTGACCTGGGGCACAGGAACAGGAATGAGCAGGATGGGTGTGAGGCCCAGAAGCAGATCCATTTGGCTGGAGAAGGCTGGATTTTCAGTCAACATTAATATTTCTTTAACTCCCATCATTCTTGCCCATACTTGGGGAAGAGTCGAGCCTGTCTCTTGAGGGCTGAGCACTGGGCCAGAGGTCCTCGGATCTGGGCTCTGCCTCCCCGCTGCACATCCCCCTCATTCAGGAGTTTGCCAGGAATTAAATCACAGGCCTAAGGGGGTCTCCTGAGTCTTTTCAAAGCCCAAAGCCTTGGAAATTTCTCTATTTTTCTAAAGTTACTATTTAGTGAGTGCCTACTATGTGCCAAGTGTTTTCTATTAGTGTTCTAGAAATACCTGAAAGACTTAAGTTTTTAAATTTCCAAACTGTCACAGACCAATACTTTTGTAAAATATGAGAATGAGATTATCAGAAAAAGTAAAAAGATGTATAAAAATAAACAGGAATCTGAATTAGATTCAACAGCCAGGAAATTATATTTCATTAAATACAAGCTGAGCAAACAGAACAAGAGAAAAGAATTTTTAAAAAATGGTGCACGTTGCTCACTGAAAGTACACACACCTGCATAGTTTCTGCCCGCGTCGTTGTCTGGCCATGAGAGTCAATGTTCATCATCTGTATTTCACCAAGGGAGAAATGGAAGCCTGGGGGAGAGTGTAATTTCCTCCAACCCACCCGACATGGGCAGAGCTGAGAAATGAATCCCTCTGCTGACACGGAATGAAGCTCAGGATCTCAGGCCACGGGCCTGTCTTGCCTGTTGGTCCATGCTGTCCTTTTTCTTGTTTCAGGAGCAGGAGGACCCCAACAAGCTGGCAACCAGCTGGCCTGACTATTACATCGACCGCATCAATTCCATGGCTGCGGTGAGTGGCTGCCCCTCTCCTGCCCTGCCCCCACCTGGAAAGGCTACGGCAGGGAGTGATTCCCCCAGCCCCCACCCCCCACACACCAAACTGCCTTTTACTGCTCCTCAGCGCCCCACTGCCCACTCACTGGAGTTCAGCAGCTTTCCAGTTATTCATGAAATTTTAAGGTAATCCACCCCTCCTCTGGGCAATCTCAGAGTCCCCCAACCATTTAAACATTTTAAAATCCATTTGGGCATCACACAAACTTGGGAAATAAACCGGGCCAGTACTTCTCTCCATTTCACAGATGAGGAAAGTGAAGTCCCAGCCCAGAACCTAGGTCTTCCCAGGGGCCGACACTCGGTCTCAGTAAACCATTCCCTGAGGCCTCACCCTTTCTGAGGCAAGCATGGCCCCTGGGTCACACCTGAGCTGTAGTGCAGAGGGTTGGGAGACAGGCAGCCCCTTTCTACCTGCTGGCCCTCAGATGCAGAGTCTGTACGCGTTTGATGAGGAGGAGACGGAGATGAGGAACCAAGTCGTGGAAGACCTGAAGACAGCCCTCCGGACACAGCCTATGAGGTAATTCAGTTTCCCCCTCTTGCTTCCTGCTGAGTCCCTTCACAGTTGGTCTCCTTGCCTTCCCGAAGCCCTGTGCAGTGCTCTGCTCCCATGCCGGTCCTCCTGGCCAACTCTGCCTCACCTGACTTCACTTCCCAGCCCCTACTCCTCTCCTGGGAGGCTGCCAGGGCTTGGGAGGAGGGGAGAGAAACCTGGGAAAGTGGGATAAACCTCAGGTCCTGAGGAGCTCTCTAAAGAGGAATCGAGGGCAAGTGCTTTTTAAAAATTTATTGATTTATTTTTGGTAAGGGGATAGAATAGGAGCGTGACCAAATGGACAAGGTACAAAAGAAAGAGCCTTGTGAGGATGAGGGGGCAGGGTGAGTGCCCCATCCAGGAAAAGAGGGACGCACGGGTAGAGAAGTACTCCAACCACTAGGGGGCGGTGTGGTGTCTCTGGATGGGATTTGCCATCTAGAATGGGAGCAACGCAGGCATGGAAAATGGGGTAGAAGTCCTGGAGCCATAGGAGGACACCTTTCCCTTCCCAGGCCACAACGTGTGGGGCCCAAAGTGGGGCTCCTTGTGTCTGGGTCTGCCCCGTGGTGTGCTGGAACTGGCTAGTAACAGCTGGCGAATGCTGAGTGTCAAATTTTCAGCAATTTTGTAAGCTGGTTGTTAAACGTAGCTATGATTAAAATTTCAATTGTATAAATTTAAGATTCAGTAAGTTATATCAAAACAAAGGTAATAAATACTTGAAACTCTTCATTCCCAAATTACCTAATTATTTTTCTACATTTTACTATAAGGTATACTTTTGAGTTTACATGCATTGTATGTGCATGGAAACACTATGAAATATGCATCTCTTCCCAACTCTGCATTCAATGACATCATATCTGTAGCTTGAAATTGGCTATGCTGGGAGCATTTACACCATGGAAATGAGCAAACAATCAGGAGCCACCCTTCACCCTTCCCCTGGCGAAAAGCTAGCCATCCATTGCATGGGGATGTGTATGTTGTCTGAGCTGAGCTCTCTCCCCAGGAGACTAGAAACAGCCTCAAGAAGAATGGGAGCATCCCAATTGTCTCTTGTCATTCTGGTAGTGGTGGGGCTCTGGAATGGGAAGGGGATAGAGGAAAGGATGAGGTAGTCAGGAAATAAAGGGGTTGAGAGGAAGTTGCCAGGTTTGTCTCCTACCCCAATTTATTGTAATTTCCCTTAATAATATTCTGCTAACAAAAGTTACATATTGTCATTGTGGAAATTTTATGGAATGCAGACAAGCATAAAATAGAAAAAAGTAAAAAAATAGCTATTGTTAACAACTTAGTTTGAGAGCACATTCTTTTATTTTCTAGGCGTATTTGTACAATAACATAAACACAAATACGCTTGGGATAAGTAATGTTATTTATAATAATTTTCTTAGATCATTAATTATTTTACTAAATCAAGGGTACCTGTGTGTGTGGGCATGCCATGGACATCCGGCGCCTAGGTGAAACTTATGGACTGCTTCGCAGAAATGATGTTTTAAATAATAGATAAAAAGATAGGCATAACAAATCAATGAAAATACAGCTACAAATAATAAAAATGAGATAGCAATGAATTCTGCTTCTTTACACCTTAAATAGCAAGAGCTAGCTGCGAGTCTTGATAACCATCATAATTTTGAAGTACTGAGGAGTGTAAATGGTATTTTGAGATACCTGGTACAACTGTAATTTGGTATGAAAATAGCTGTGATTTCTTGGGGTGACAAAGTCACAGATTATGCTAATACTACTGTCATTTATTGCTGACATTCATCATTGAGGAAAATACTAAATTTTAATTAGAAGTTACCAAAAATAAAAATGTAATTTTCTTTTCCCACCCAAGTCCTTGGATCTGTGAATGCTATCCATAGATTCTTCAGCAGAACACAGACTCCAAATTAAGAACCCCTGAACTAAATGGGTTTTAATGTTTTTTTGCTAACATTCAAGATAGATAACTCTGCTATTTTCTTTAGGATCCCTTGAAATGTAGCTTCCCTAGGCTTAACGCCATGACTTGATGATTCTGATGGCTTTCCTATCTGGAAGCCCTCTTTGTTATCCGACTGTAATTCTCTTAATCTCCATCCTCACTGGAGAGGAGTGTTCAGGTTTAACAGCTCTGATAATTATCATGATCATGTGAAGAGGACTTCACATTCATACCATTTTAGCTATGCAACTGACAATGATATGCAAATACAGAGTATTTAAAATGCAAATAAGACACAAGTCTTTTGTGAAGATGATAGGATTTCACTGCTTTAGATAAACTACGAATAAACCAAGTGGCTACTGTAGGTGGGACAAGGTGCATGGTGGTACACAGGTAAGGGGGTAACTATTTGCAAAGTGTACACAGAATCATATGCAAATATATGTTTGTTAATGGCTCTGATTTGTAGGTTTGTGACCCGCTTCATTGAGCTGGAGGGCTTGACCTGTCTGCTAAATTTCCTCCGGAGCATGGACCACGCCACCTGTGAGAGCCGCATCCACACCTCACTCATTGGCTGCATCAAAGCATTGATGAACAACTCCCAGGGGCGGGCACATGTGCTGGCACAGCCTGAGGCCATTAGTACCATAGCCCAGAGCCTACGCACAGAGAACAGCAAGACCAAGGTGGCTGTGCTGGAGATCCTGGGTGCTGTGTGCCTCGTGCCTGGTGGCCACAAGAAGGTGCTGCAGGCCATGCTGCACTACCAGGTGTATGCAGCAGAGCGAACCCGCTTCCAGGTGAGGGGCCAGGCTGGAGGTGGGATGCCAGCTGGGTGGGGCAGAGGATGTCACATGTGAGTGAGAGCCTGAAGATTCTTTGCAGCAGAAACTGGGGGAAAAGGAAAGTAATGTGGTCTGCATGCCTGCTCCTGGAAGGTAACAGGTGAAGAGTACTGGGACCTGGAAGGCTTGCATAAAAACACATGCAGGGCCTTAAGAGTTATGAGTTTGGCTGGGAAATGGACTTGTCTTCCTTATTAGTCAGTGGGTTCCTGGAAGCCGGAATATTGGCCTGCATTATTTTTGTGGCTCTGCATCTCCAACCTCAACACCTGGCTCATGATAGGGGCTCAGTCAAGAATTACTGAATTGAGTGCAATTGCTGAGATTGAGATTTTAGGTGCTATACTTGGGCCAGTACCTAATGTGGGACACTGGGACCATCCCTGGGAGCTTCAGCCATGCTATTCTCTTTTCTTTCCCTGACCTGCCCAGAGAAGTATCAGTGAGATGAACAGTAAATATGAAGTGTCTTAGCACAGTGCCTGGCACAGAGTAAGTCCATAGAGACATGAACTGATGTTACAAACCCCATGGTTTATTGCCAAAAACTGGGTCCTGACTCTGCAGAAGACGGAAAAGGGATAAAAGCAGTGTCCATACCATAAATGAGCTAGGCAGGGAATACATATGAGCTGTAAACAGCTGGAGCACGATGATAAAGCAGCACTGAAGCACTGCTCAACCATGTAGACCAAGCCCCAAAGGCTGAGTGGAGAGGAAGTGAGGCAGCACTGCCACTGAGGTGAGAGGCAAGGGAATTTTCCAGGCAGAGGTGAGGTTTGGGGCAGCCCAGAGTAAATTGGACAGACCTGATTGGGTGGAGAGAGCAGATGGGGCATTCTAGGTAGTGGAGGCGACAGGAGTAAAGATGCAAAGGCCACACCTGTTGGGAACTCAGCCCTCTCCTCCTGCTCTGTCCTGCATTTCCACCTAGACCCTGCTGAACGAGCTAGACCGAAGTCTGGGCCGGTACCGGGATGAAGTGAATCTGAAAACAGCCATCATGTCCTTCATCAATGCTGTCCTCAATGCTGGAGCTGGAGAGGTGGGGTGCCTTCTCCTTGCCCTTGCTGTTCCCTGACTTTCTGGACCTGGGGTAGAGTGTGTGAGTGTGTTGCTTCCCCAATAATTGTTTTTGCTATTAAACCTGGGAGGGCTCCTGGGGAGTTGCCTACATAGGTAGCATCATGCACGGTGGACAGACCCAGAGCTGAGCTGGCTGATGATGGCTCAGGGTGGCAGAGAATCATTGGTGGGAGGAGGGCGAGTTTGGGCCCTTGTTTATGGAGAGCTGTTTCTGGACTGTTTTCTCGTTGGCTGGTCATGTTCTTCTAGTGCCTTCTGTTAGGTGTGCCTTCTGGTTTCCCTTCCTTTGGGGTCAGAATGGGATTCTTGAAGTATAAAAATAGCAACAGGCTGGGCGTGGTGGCTCATGCCTGTAATCCCAGCACTTTGAGAGGCCTAGGTGGGTGGATTACCTGAGGTCAGGAGTTTGAGACCAGTCTGGTCAACAGGGTGAAGCCCCGTCTCCACTAAAAAAATATAAAAATTAGCCAAGTGTGGTGGTGGGCACCTGTAATCCCAGCTACTTGGGAGGCTGAGGCAGGAGAATCACTTGAACCTGGGAGGCGGAGGTTGCAGTGAGCCAAGATTGCACCATCATTGCACTCTAGCCTAGGGGACAAGAGCAAAACTCCATCTCAAAGAAACAACAAAAAAAGCAACAATAGAAGAACTTGAAGAGCAGGTGAACGTTCCAAATTCTAAGGCAATCAGATGCCCTGGTCAAGGTTAACTTGAAGGACAGAGGGGGCAAAGGGAGCAATTTAATGATCTTTACTTTCCCCTCTTTTCCGCCAGCATACTTTTTTTTTTTTTTTTTTTTTTTTTTTAAAAACAATTTATCTTTATGCCCTGGGTTAGGGAAGGCCGGTTGGGGGAATAATCTGCCCCTAAGATGCTAACATCACCTTTGTTGGTACCACCTTTTCATGGCTGGCATGTGCTCTGATTAGCTGGTAACCACACCTCATCAGGTAATTATAACAAGTGTCATCCCTGTAGATTAGTTATGCTATGATCATTTCACAAATGGGGAAACTAAAAGTTTTCCCAAGGTCACAAAACCAGATCCAAGATCTGTCTGATTCCAAAGCTTGTGCTCCATGTCACTCTACAACACTGCTCTTTGGTGCTGAAGGCTAGAACTGGCAAGGGGCTTGAAGGAAGTGGGGCAGGAGACCTAAAAGAAGCTGGGCAGTGGGTTTGCTTTAAACTAAGAAATAAGGTCTCCATTCTTTCTTGGAACTCTGGGATTGGAAGCAGCTCCAGGTGAGTTAGCTGTGGGAGATGTGTTGGGTCTGTGGCTAGGGTGGTGATGAGGGCTCCACTGGGGATGTTGTGGAAACTGAGATCTGCCAATGAGTCTGGCCCTCCCTTGGTGACCCCCAGGATAATCTGGAGTTCCGCCTACATCTACGGTATGAATTCCTGATGCTGGGTATACAGCCTGTGATTGACAAGCTCCGGCAACATGAAAATGCCATCCTGGACAAGTAAGTTCCAAGCACCCGTCTCCATTGCAAACCTGTGGGGACAGTGCCTCAGATGGGGATAGTTGGGACCTTTGTGAAGGCTGCCCTTCCCTCTGGAGACCAGCTGCCATTCCCAGCGCAGATTCAGAATCAGCTCTGTGGGGGGAAGGGGTGCCCTTGCCTGTCCTCTTTGCTGACCTGCTTGTCTCATCTCTGATGTTATAGACAGGTGAACCCAGTAGCCCTCAACCATTGCAGTACTTCCCCCTGGGGGGCATGTGGAAATATATGAGGGTACTCTTTGGTTTTCAAACTGGTTGATGGTGGGCAATACTGGTATTGGTTGTTGGGGGCCAGGAATGCTAAATGTCCCGCAGTACCTTCCTGCTCAACAAAGAAATGTCCCACCCAAAATGCTTGCTATAACGCCCTTGTTGATCCAAGGGCACAATTATGTTCCCATGTGATACCAGTGAGGCCCCTCTGGTTCTGTCCCATTAGTTTAGGCTATTTTATTACACTAGGTTTTAAGGGACAGAGGATGGATCCTTTTGAGGTGGAACAAGTGGATGTGTGCATGAGGATAGAAAATGAGGGAGAGATTAGTTTTGAGGGTTGACTTGGAGACCCTATGAAAGTACTGGGGAAAATAGACCAGGGCTGATGTCCTCAACTGAGAGACATTGGGCGATGCCTGCAGACATTACATTCTTGGTTGTCACACTAGGGGGTGCTGCTGGCATCTAGTGGGTGGAGGCTGGGGATGCTGCTAAACATCCTCACAGATCAGCCTCCCACAACCAAAGATAAGCGAGCCCAAAATGTCAGTAGTGCCGAAGTATAGAAGCCCATTCTAAGGTGAAGGGACCCTGGATTGGCCTCCCTGAAGGAAGGTCATGGGATCTTATAAAGGGCAGACAATGGGTGTCCTACAAACAGCGGCTTCTTTCCCATTTTGCCTTCATTTTGCTTGAATGAAGCTTTCAGATTTAGCCAGTGGGGGGCTCGAAGGGGCTGTAACCCTCAACCAAGGGTGTGTCCTGGCTGTAATGTCTACTCTCTCTGTCTCCCCATTCTGTCTAGACATTTAGACTTCTTCGAGATGGTGCGGAATGAGGATGACCTGGAGCTAGCCAGGAGGTTTGACATGGTGAGGAGCCAGCAGGGTGGAGCGATTGCAATGGGGTAGTAGGGTTCTTGGTGGCCCCACAGCCACTTTTCTAGACCCCGTGTTGTGGCAGGGCTGGTGTGGGCTGGTTCCCTGGTGGGCACCCCCATGGCCAGGTCCTGTGATCAGTCATAGTTCTTCATAGAAACACAACCAATAGGATACATATATAGAGATAGACAGATGAGAGGGCATTTATTAGGCGAATTGGCTCACGCAACTATGGAGACTGAGAAGTCCCATGACAGGTCGGAGTTATTGCATGGAGAAACAGGGAAGCCAGTAGCATGGCTCAGTCCAAGGCCAAGGGCCTGAGAACATAAGGGGCCACTGGAGCAAGTTCTGGAATCCAAAAGCTGGAGAGCCTGCTGTTCTGATGTCCAAGGGCAGGAAAAGAAGGATGTCCTGGCTCCAAAAGAGGTAGACAGAAAATTCACCTTTCCTTGGCCTTTTTGTTCTCTCCAGACCCTAAGCTGATTGGATGGTGAGGAGCCCACAGGGTGGAGTGATCGTAGTATGGTAGTAGGGTTCTAGGTGGCCCCACAGCCATTTCTCCAGGCCCTGTGCTGTGGTGGAGCTGGTGTGGGATCTTCCTTACCCAGTCCTCTGATTCAAATGCCAGTCTCTTTGGGAAACACCCTCACAGACATACCCAGAAAGAATTCTTTACCAGCTATCTGAGTATCCCTTGATCCAGTCAAGTTGACACCTAAAACGAACCATCACATCTCACTTCCAGAGCCTTGGTAGTATGCAGGCTGTGGAAGCCTCCCCCGGGAAGGCATCGGCCTAGGAGGAGACTGAAACCCCCAAAGGAAAGGGAGCAAGTTATTGCATGTGATTAGTCTCAAATACCTTTCCTGGGCTGACTTTCCCCTGCCTTCCAGCAACTTCCTGAGTCCCCTCTCCCCATCCCTAACCAGATCATGCTTAGCAAACTAAATTGTATTTTCATTTTAACCTCGGCAACCCTGAAAGCACACAACTCTGCTTTATTGTGTTATAAAATCCCCATCCAAATAGAAAGCTACTTTTGGGTGGTGCTTTACAGTCACTGAGTGCATCCATTATATTTTCACAAAAGCCCTGGATTTATAGATACAGAAACAGAGGTTAGAGGGGATAAGCAGCTTGCCTGTCATCACACAACTAAAGCGTAGATCTGGGGTTTGAACCCAGGTGGTGGACCTGCGCCACATTCCACCTGCTACTTTGAATCCTCTATGCCCCTGCTCCCTTCCCTAGTTTGGATCAGTAGCTCTCAAGCAGGGATGATTTTGCTCTCCTCTCCCCCTGGGGACATTTGCAATGTCTGGGGACATTTTGACTTGTGTGAGGGGGTGCCACTGGCATCTGCTAAGGAGAGGCTGGGGTGCTGATACACAACCTACAAAGCACAGGGCAGCCCCCACAATGAGTAATTATCTGACCCAAGATGCCAATAGTGCTGAGACTGAGAAACTCTAGTTTATAAAATTGACTATCTCCCTGTTCCTTTTGTCTTTCTCTTTTTAAGCCTGGGCCAGAGGCAGGGGAAGAAAACCTTTCCTATGAGACAGGGCATAGTGGATGGAAGCAGGGTCTTCTCTCTCCTGCTGACTTCCTCTGCTGCCTACCCACTGATCACTGTGCCCTCTTCTCTCCCAGGTCCACATCGACACCAAGAGTGCTTCCCAGATGTTTGAGTTGATCCACAAGAAGCTGAAGTACACGGAGGCCTACCCCTGCCTGCTCTCTGTGCTGCACCACTGCCTGCAGATGCCCTGTAAGTACCCTGCACTTGCTGCTTCCCTCGACTGGCCTGAACCTTGACTTGGGGCAGGTTTAGACAAGACTTTGGGACCTCCCTGGTTTGGGGAGTCTGACCATGTCTCCCTGTGCACTTGCTTTTGGGAGGGCAGGCCCCATGACGGAGGCCCCTGCTTTTCCTTCCCTCCTTGGGGTCAGGTCTTCACTGTCATCTGGGGAAGGAGCTGGGGACTTGGCCCTGAGCAACTCCAACATCCTAGTCCAAAAACGGTAGCTTGATCATTGCAAAATTAAATAGCTCAGCTTTCAGCTCATGACGGGGGAGAGATCAGTCATGCTGGGGAGTTCCAAAAAGTTTTGTGCTTGGGGGAGTAGCACAGATGTGGAATGAACATGGTTGTTTTTTTCCTTAAGGTTTTATCAACTCCTTCATCTAGTCCTTGTTGGCTTCCACTCTTGCACTCTTGCCCCTGCTTCTGCCTACAAATACCAAATGTCAGCATCTATGGGAGCAGATGGCTAAGTTCTTAAGATCCAGGTGTGCACAGTGATTGAATAAATTGTACATAATTGCTAATAGCCACTCCAGAATGCAATTTGAAATGAGCTTTAACTGTACCCCTTGGTACTTAAGCTCTTCACAAAAGAGAATATTTTGAAAACCAGTGTGGCCCACCATAATGGTTGATGTTGGCGGTGTCAGCAATCATAGTGACAGTGATGACAACTGTGACTTATTGTGTGCCAACTCTGGGCCAGGCGTGATGTGAGGTCCTTTAGCACATCATCTCTGAACCTTAGAATGACCTAAGGAATACACATTATTATGTCCATTTGAATAGTGAGTGAACCTGAGGCTCAGCGAGATATTTACATATAGAAAGAATTTTGGTTTCTGCGGGGTCAAGGGTTGAGATAAAACATGTTCTGCCTCTTTGAGCTAGTGACCTGGCTTTACACGATTTTGCTGGGTGAAAAGTAGATGGTAAATGATACAACTTTGCAATGCATGTGTCAGTAGACTTGTGGACAGGATAGATGCAGTGACCTGAATTAAGAAGCTATCAGTTCTCCAAAGCTCATTGCAGCAGGTCTTCATGAAGGGCATAGAAATCTCTGGGAAACCTGACTTCTTGTGCTCCCAGGGATTCCTGTGTTTCCTGTTCCATGGGCAATGTGAATGGGTTCTTCTACTCTGCCCCAAAATGGGGCTTTGCAGACTCGATATTCTACCTTGTAGGCATTGTGGTTTGCTTTGATGTCAGGATTGAACTTGTTGGCTTTTTATGATGGTCAATAAAGTGCTAGGGATCAAGGACCAAGGAAAGAGAGTTTGTGGTTATTACATAAAAAGGAAGTCCATGTCCAGCCAGATGACTATCATTAGAGGGGATGAGAGTGAGACTCTATGAGATCACACACAACACACTATGCCTTTACCTTCATAGTTCAAGGTCACTTCCACAAGAAATTTTCTCGAGTTCCATTAAGCACTTCTCTAACCCATTTTGACTCTCAGTGCACACCTGCAATCAGTTTCCCTTCATCTTTCTCTGTAGAGTAATAATGTGGATAATCCTAAAATCTTTTTTAAAAAAAACTTCCCTGGAGACTTCATTATTCAGCATGTAATATTTTGGAGCAGGTGGTTTTTATAGATAATGTAAAAAGCAATCTGCACTTCCTGGGCATAGTATGCCCAGGGTCCAAACAAGGAAGAAAGGCAGCCAGAAAGTATTTCAGGGAGTAGAGAAATATGTTGGGGAGGTGGTTGACACATCCGTAGAAGTCTAGTTGCCGATAATCAAGAGATGACTGAATCAGTGAGTTGCCATTATCAGCAATGGCATTGCCTCTTCTTCTAGACTGGGAGCTTACCATAGGTGGAGAAGGGCATGCCTCACCAGCCAGACCCCAGGCAGCAACTCTAGGGTGGGGCCCAAGGGGGACTTCAGGACTCAGGAAAGATATGATACCTGTCATCCCTCAGACAAACGGAACGGTGGCTACTTCCAGCAGTGGCAGCTCCTGGACCGCATCCTCCAGCAGATTGTCCTCCAGGATGAGCGGGGTGTGGACCCTGACCTGGCTCCCTTGGAGAACTTCAATGTCAAGAACATCGTCAACATGTGAGCAGTGGCCAGCCTTTGCCCTGTCTTCCTCCACCTTCCTCATCACTCTCCCACTCTGGTCTCACCAGCGAAACCTCAGCTCCCTTTCGCAACCCAGTCATCCCGAAATGAGTCTTGGGCAGCATGGTCCAACAGAACTCTCTAAGCTAATGAAAAAAGTGCATTTCTCTACTGTTCAACATGGCAGCCAAATGTGGCTATGGAGTACTTGACACACGGCTAGTATGACCAAGGAACTGAATCTTAAAGGTTGTTTCATTTAAATTTCAATAGCCACATGACACGTGGCTAGTGATTACTCTCTTGGACAGCCAACACAGGTGTATTGGGCATGTTCTCAACTCTCCACGATCCACTGCATGGCTTGGATAGATGGGGAATTTAAACACATTAACGTAGAACAAGGGTCAGCAAACTATGGGTGCATGGGCTGACTCCAGTCCTCCAGCTTATTGTGTATGGCCCATGAACTAATAATTTTTACATTTCAAACAACACACACACACAAGTATAAGTGACAGAGACTATGCATGGTATGTAAAACCTAAAATATTTACTCTGGCCCTTTATAGAAAGTTTGCTGACCACTGACATAGAGCCTGACCATTTGATCATGAGGTTGCTGGATAAGGTTATCAGAGCCTAAGGCCTTCTGGTTTACCATATTTTATTGATCTTGGATAGAGAAACACAGAGAAACATTTAAATCTACATCAATTAATAATAAGGCCTTACATTAACATACTAATTTTTAATTTTAAGCTTTTACTTAACTTTCAGTATGAGTTTGAGCCACTTGCCCTTAAGGAGATAAATTGGCTGTCAATGATTCATTATGTTGCATTCCAAAGCCAAGTACACAATTATTTTCCAGCTATTCTTGCTACTGTTTTCATTTGCATAGTCAGATATTGATGTAGTTAAAATCCTAATTGGTATGTTGGACAAGTGCAACTGGGAAAGTGATCAAAAGGTGACTTTAGTTTTATTTCCTACCAATTCATTACACTATTTAGTAGGCAATCTTTTCCACTGCCAGAGGATAAAAACTCCTGAGGTCCAATGAAGTTTTTAACCCTTCTTGGGTAACAGGAGTCCTAAGATCACTTTCAAGTGCAACATAGTCTGAAATCTACAACTAGGAGGACTAAAATCATGACATGACATTCTAGACATGATTTAGCCTTAAATCTTTCTCCTCCACCAGCTGGGGCCAGGAAACTGGAATGGGAAGGGTGTGTGTGTGTGTGTGTGTGTGCGTGTGTGTATGTGCATATGTGTGCACATATGTCTGTGTGTGATATTTGCCTTCTTTTCTCTGTTCTATTTACCCTGTAACCCCTTCTATCTCCCACCCCTCCTTTCTACAAACCAGTCCGACCCTCTGAAGAGGCAGCCTGGGGACAGGAAGGAAAGAGGGAAAAGGTCTTACTTGATAAGATAATTTAGTAAACAGGCTCCCTGCTCTCTTGCCTTTTTGGCATATGGGTAAAGACGTCAGTGTGTTCCTGGAATCTTCAGAAGTTCCTTGCTGGGTGCCTCTCACTACAAAACCCAGCTCACTGGCCATGCAAGATTTTTGTTCCAGCTGGCTGGCTGCTTCCAGCTCTTCCATCTGTCCCTGGTTCCCTGGCAGTCCACTGCCTGTAGACTTATGGTGTGGATGTTCCCACTTTTCGCTCAGGTGGAAACAGCTCCCCTTGCACAGGACTGTGAAAACTGCACCCCAGTTCCTCCATGAGGCTTATATCTGACCCATGGGCAACCCTCATGCCATCTCTTGTGCCAACGAACTCTAGGAGTGCTGGCAGGGCCCCACACAGCAGTGTTCTTCTTTTGCTCCCAGGGCTTTGCTTGGTTCCAAGTAGGGCCCCAGTCTACCCTACCTCCCTCCCAACTTCAGGGAACATGAGTCAAAACTCTTGGGGAAGGCCCAAAGAAACCCCTTCCTTGGATGGTGGTGAAGGAGGTAGCATCTTGGGGATAACAGCAGTGGCCCTCTTCAAAGAAATGTCTTCATGAAATACTCTCCCTCTCCATACTCTGTTCTCTATGTCCTTGATGTGGCTGAAGAGGCCAAAAGTCATGGGTCTAACTCTTCCACATTCTCAGATTTATAAAGGAAAGGATTCTTGGGATCTCGCTTTGGGATTTCACCTCTGTTAGGCCTTGGTGTCAAGGTAAAAGCTAAATTTGAACACAGTTTCAAGAGCTTGGCATGAACAAGGCTGTCCTCTGTGTCACTCTGAACACATTCAGTCTGTATTGCTGGTGTGGGTGATGTCTCTTGCTCTTACGCATTGGTCTTTGGAAACCTGGACCATGGTAGGGCCAATATTTTGATCTCTTTTAAAGGTAAAACCTATTTTACAAGGAGGTGCAAGTCATGATATAATTCTTGGGAGCCTGAGGTTCAGTCCTAGTTCTACCATTAATTAGCTCTTGCCCTATCCCCATTCTCTGAGCCTCAGTGGCTCCGGCTGTATCACAAAGGGGCCGGGTTATAGGGTATCTAAAGGTCTTTTCTCTCACGGTCTCCACAGACACATAATGTGAACGGGGCAGGGGACCTGGAGAGACACCTGGGAAGTCTAAATCCTAGCCCCCTTGATGTGGCTGGACAGATTGGAGACCAGGGTCCCCACCTGGAGGGTAGAAAGATGATGTCTCCTGGGAAGCTGTGAATCAATGGTCAACAATCACATTGCCCCTTCCCTCTATGCCCTGCCAGGCTCATCAACGAGAATGAAGTGAAACAGTGGCGAGACCAGGCAGAGAAGTTCCGGAAAGGTGAGGGGCTCTGCTTAAGCCTGCTGTCCACTCCACATGCCCTTCCCCTGCCCAGCCCATAACTCCATGCCCTTCCAGGCAGGGAGTCACATTACTCACATTCTCTCCTTCTGTTTCCTCTCCCGTCCCACCCCCATTCCAGAACACATGGAGCTTGTGAGCCGTCTGGAGAGGAAGGAGCGGGAATGCGAGACAAAGACATTGGAGAAGGAAGAGATGATGCGGACGCTGAACAAAATGAAGGACAAGCTGGCCCGGGAGTCCCAGGAGCTGCGCCAGGCTCGGGGACAAGTGGCAGAGCTGGTAGCCCAGCTCAGTGAACTCTCAGTATGCAAGCATCTCCCCCTTTACATAGTTGAGCCAAGACCCTGGGCTTCAGGACTGGGTGGGCAGAGCAGGTGTCGGAGAGGCCAAGGACCCCAGCATGAGGGAGAAGGGAGATGGAGACCTTGGGCCAGGATAGAAGAGACCCTTGAGGCTGTACAGGTGGCATCTTTGTGTTAGAAAAATAATGTCCCTTCCTCTGGGTGACACTGTGCCAGGAAGCACACCTTGGACAGCAGAGTGCAGCTGGAATTGGATCCACTTCCCTCTCTCAGCTGGAGATCTTGTGCAGTCAGTAACCTACACAACTGCATAGATCAGTCCTGCTGTTGCATTGTGATGGCTATGACTCTGATTGTCCAGTGTCCGTGTGCGTGACGTGTGTGTGTCTGTGGTGGTGGTGTGTGTGTGTTTGCGTGTGTTAGATGTTTGGATGCAGAGAGAGAAAATGGGGCCAAATGTGTGTAGAAGATAAGGGTAGGATTTGGGGCCTAGTATAGAAAGAAACTAGAAGGAGAGGAATCATGGTGGGAGACCTGAATGGCAACGGTGCTGATGGCTTTGTCCTTGCAATTTTTCTGTTTCCTCACAGACAGGCCCTGTATCTTCCCCACCACCCCCTGGGGGCCCACTCACCTTGTCTTCCTCAATGACAACCAATGACCTGCCTCCACCCCCTCCTCCTCTGCCCTTTGCCTGTTGTCCCCCTCCCCCACCACCACCCCTTCCTCCCGGGGGACCCCCGACTCCCCCAGGTGCCCCACCTTGCCTCGGCATGGGCCTGCCCCTCCCTCAGGACCCCTACCCCAGCAGTGACGTCCCACTCAGGAAAAAGCGTGTCCCCCAGCCTTCTCACCCACTGAAGTCCTTCAACTGGGTGAAGCTGAATGAGGTGAGCATCTGGGAAGGGGCTGGAGGGCCCATTCTTCTACAGCAGGGCAGTCAGCCTCAGGGACCACCCGCCCCTTGTTTACAGATCTCCACTCTGGGTCCTTTCTTTGGTGGGGGGTAAGGGCAGTCATGTGGATGTACAAAGTGGGTTTGCTGTGCCAGGCAGCTCACGGTCAGAACACCTACCCTGGGAGAGATGCTTGACATTGGGCAATGCTGACGTTGACAAAGTCATCTACAAATGGAATTTGTGTTTGCCCAGGGTTAATGGAGTCACAGCCAAGACAAACACTGAGTAGAATTCAAGGACAGGGTCCAGTTGAAGGAAAGGATGGAAAAATAAGCAAAGAGCTTGGGCCAGCATCTAGGTTTTGGTAAAGATCAGGACAATGTATACAAAGGACTAAAGAGTTTGATGGCAAGACATAGCTATTTTGGCATCTTCCTGGGGGAAGCTGCACACACTGGCCTCATGTCTGGACCAGCAGTGAGAGATCCTCATGAGTATTATCCACTAATAATCACCAATCCCAGAACCACAGGTAGGGCTTGATTCCTCTATGGGACTCCCATGAGCATAGAGTAGAGACGCCCTTGGTTGCATTAGACCTCTAGCAATCGAAGGCCAGTTCCAGCCTGGACCAAGGCCTGCCTCTGGTTCTGCACAATGGCAAGTCCTATTAGGAGGACTAGGAGCTTTGTCCTTGAAGTAAAGACCTGCATGGTAACTGGTTTCAGTTAGGTTGGCTCACTGGGATTTGAAGCTGGGATGAATGGATTCCACACTGACCTTTATCCCATGGGCCTGTTGGACTGGCTCTTGGGGAACTCATAACTGTACCATGTGTTTGAGCTTCAGTGAGCTCAAATGCAGAGTCAAGTGGGAAGAGATGCAAGATTGCTAAGTAGGTGGTCAGCTATCTGCCAGGGGTCTTCTCCTAATGGTAGACCAGCTAGCCTGTCAATCTGAAGTCTGCTTTTGTAAAGCTTTGTGCTGGGGGCTATGATGGATAGTAATAAAATGACATTGTCCTCTCAGAGCTTAGGATCTGCCAAATTAGGAAGCATGTTCAAAGAAACCCCTAGAGAGCCTGAGATGAGTTAAGGGTGAGGTTCTAACCAAACCAGGTGTAGCTTTAGCGGTACAACCTCTGTAAATCACTCAACTTGTCTGTAAGTCAGTTTGCTCATGTGTGAAATGATCTCAAAAATTCCCTCTGCCTCTGGCTTTATAATCTAGGTGGAAAGATGAAGCATAAACACAGTCCATTTGTAGTTTCCCGGGCCTCTGATAACATCTCCAATCTGAGTTACTTAAGCTTTAGAGCCACCTGTTAGCAGCATTCAAAGCAAGATTGTTGAGGTTGGTGACAGGTGCACTGCACAGTTGTGCCCTGTGGGTGCTCTGTGGCCATGAGGTGAGCCAGAAAGACAAACTGCACATGAGTAGGCCAACCGCTCTGCAGAACGTGCAGAAAGGTTCATTGTTCATGGTCAGAAAATAACATTTTGTATTGTGGTAAAAAGAGAAATAACATTCTGTCTCCTATTGTCACAATTTATAATGTAAGATTTTAAAGATGTAATAAAAAGTTATGCACATCAATAATGAAGGAAGACAGCTAAAGCAAGCAATATTTGTGCAACATTTTCATCATATGAAGCTGTGTGCTCAGGAGTTTCTCTGGGTCCAGTAATAGTAAGGTCTATACAGATTGCCCAGGGGCCCAGAGCAGGCCAGAGTTTCATTTCTAGACTGGAGAGTGTGGGTTTGTTGGAATAGACAGTGGGGGATATTTGGAGAAGTAGAGCAAGGTGAACGGTCTTTGAATAACATTTGAGAACTTATCACCCCAATGCCAAGCTTTTAATTGTGTGACGGGCAGGTTATGGAATCATTTGGACTTCAGGTTCCTTATCTGTAAGTGGGGCAATAATAATGTCCATCTCAAGAGATTGTAGCCGGGTGCGGTGGCTCACGCCTGTAATCCCAGCACTTGGGGAGGCCAAGGCGGGCAGATCACAAGGTCAGGAGTTTGAGACCAGCCTGGCCAACATGGTGAAACCCCATCTTTACTAAAAATACAAAAATTAGCAGGGTGTGGTGGCGCACGCCTGTAATCCCAGCTACTCTGGAGGCTGAGGCAGGAGAATTAAACCTGGGGGGCGGAGGTTGTAATGAACCAAGATTGCACCGCTACATGCTGCACTCCAACCTGGGCAACAGAGCAAGACTCCGTCTCGAAAAAAAAAGAGATTGCTGTGAGGATTAGTTGATTTCCTACATACAAAGTACTTGGAACAGTGACTGACACATAGAAAGTCTTCATATAATAAATAGATTATTATTAGTGGCCCTACCATGTATGTTTGAAGTATGTTATCTCACTTCTCACGTCATCTCGGTGAGGTAAAAAAAATCATGGAGACTCAGTTTCCTTTTATGTGACATGGGAGAAAAATCTCATCCCTCCATCTTCCCACAGTCCCACAGGATGGCAGGGCTGGGAGCGTCAGCCAGCTAGGCCCGCCTGACCCCAAAGGCAGTGCACCACGGGGGAAACATAATGAAACATGCTTTTGAGAAAGCTTTCCCTGGCATGTGAAGGATATCTCCAGCGGGCAGAAGTCCCAGGAGTCTAGACTAGAGATGATGGGCTCTTGGCCAGAGTGGTGGGAAAATTAAATTTGAAAATTATGCAAGGTGGGCACATCAGGGCGACGCGGTGAGTGTCAACATGTAGGGAATATTAGGAACAGACTTACCGCTCTCTGGCTCCAGACCTCAGTTATACCTCCTCGAAGAGCCTCAAGTCCTTCTGGCAGATGCTGGAAGCTGGGGGTGGGCTGGGCAATGTTTGGGAAGAAGTGAGAGAGAGAGAAAGAGCCCGAGCTTAGTCAGCTGTCTCATGGGAAATTCTTCCCGTGTGAAGCAGCCAGCTCTCTCGCTGCAGCCCGTTTCTTCTCACCCCAGCCTCACCAAGAATAGAGAAGGATGGGAAGCTTTACCTCTGCAGGCTTCTCTCTTCCCTACCTCCACGTTGGTCCTAGCTGCAGAGGGAGGCCTCCCTGCAGATCAGACTGTGGCTGCACACTGCTTCAGCCAGCGCCGTCCCTGCCTTCCCTGATTCCATTCCCTTCTCATCTCTCTGCCTCCCACACCCCTTTCCAGAAGCCCGACGCCTCTCCTAGTCCCTTCCCCTATCCCACGTGTGCTTCTGTGAGCGCACACACACACACACGCACACACACACACATACACACACTCATACACAGTG
Organism: Homo sapiens; assembly: GCF_000001405.40. Taxonomy (NCBI): domain Eukaryota; kingdom Metazoa; phylum Chordata; class Mammalia; order Primates; family Hominidae; genus Homo; species Homo sapiens. The sequence goes on from NC_000006.12 coordinate 39,882,755, forward strand.
GTTGTTTCTGCCATGAAAAGAATGCATCTGTGTTGGGGTTGGCCAGCTGCCTGTATCCCTTGCTGCTCCAAGCTTCCCAGCCGGCATTCCACAAGAGGGTCCCTGGCCTTCAGAAGGCCACAGGAATGTCCCCACCCCCTGACTCTGGCCTAGCCTCCCCTTTCCAGAGTTTAAGAAAATAACAGTGAGTGAAAGGTATGTTTCTCTCTCCAAGTCTTTCTGAGGGGGGTTGTAGGGAGGAAGAGGAGGCATTAAACAAGGTTCCCCAGCTGCGCTCTAGGTAGAGGAAGGCAGAGAGATTCTATGCTGAAGGACAGCAAAGCTCTAGATGAGGTGGGGATTCCTGAGAGGGGAGGGTTGGAACACCCTGTCAGGAGCTTGGCTGGCTGTGCTCTGGACCATCAGCAGGGTGCTACGAGACTGCCAGGGCTTTTTTTTTTTTTTTTGGCTTGACTAACAGCCAGGATCCAGACCCTAGTGCAAGGGTCCTACACAGAGATGGGGCAAGGCCTAAATGGAGAGACCTTGGAATGTAAAACCCTGGACATATCCCAGTTGTAAAGGATGGTAACACCTTCCCTGGCTCTGACCAAAGGGAAATTGTGGCAGAGTCTTGCTGGTCTCAGCAGTGTCACTACAGGTGCCAGGTCCCAAACTTTGGTATTTGTCCACTTTCTGAGAATCTGGGAAAGTGGGAGGAAGACCCTTGGGAAAGAAAACAACCATCTGAGATACATAAATACAGTCCGTGCTGCAGCTTTGAGGATCCAAAATATGTATGGCTTTAATCTTCCAATGATGGCTGCCAAGGACAGGGGTGACTCCAGGCAACCTGCCCTTTAGGGGGAGTGGGCCTGTGTGAAGTACCCTGAGTGCAGCTTCTGACTTTGCTTTTGGAAAAAGTGAAGTGGACCCCCTTTCCTACTGCCTACCCATCCCCCCAGCACCCCCCATGATTTCTAGAACATGTTTACATGTGGCTCCATGCACAAGGGAGGAAAAGGGGGTTGTCTCTGGCCTCTACCCTGGAGCAGAGTATTCAAGAGAGTTGGAGGTTGAGGGGAGCAACCGACTACCTTCTGAAGGTCTGAAATCCTGGTCATCTTAGTATGTGCAGTTGGGAGATAAGTGGGGTTAGGGAGGCATGGAGCATCTTCATGATGGAGTTGGGCCAACCATGGGATCTTCTCCCTACCCTGAATTTTAGGAGCGTGTCCCTGGCACCGTATGGAATGAGATTGATGACATGCAGGTATTTCGGATCCTGGACCTAGAGGATTTTGAAAAGATGTTTTCAGCCTACCAGAGGCACCAGGTAAGACCCTATACCCTCTGGCCTCTTGGACCATACCCTTGAATCCAAACCTCAGCTTCTCCTTTTCTTTCTGCCTGCCTGCCTTCCTTTCCTTTCCTTTCCTTCCTTCCCTTCCTCCATCTTCCCCTTCCCTTCCTTCTTTCCTTCCTTCCTCACATGTATACTGAATGATTTTATTCTTTATGAGGTGATGATTTTATTCTTGCTGAGGATGTAGGTATGAAGTAGAGGTGCACAGACCATAGGGGGAAATATGCTTGTATTATGGTTCATATTTATACACCAAGTATTGAAATGGTGTTTTGTCCATTTCTCTCTTCCATCCTGGAGCATCGGAGGTAGAGTCGCAAGGCCTGACCACTGTGGACCCTTGCTGTCTTTGGCCCAGGATTTAGGGACTAGGCTTAGAAGGCATAATAACTTCTCAAACCACTTTTCCACCACATTTTGTCTGTCAACACCTCTATGAGACCGAGCAGGGGATGTTGCCTTGCAAGGAAGGCAGAAGGTGCTGCTCCATGTCACTCAGGGGGCTGAGGCTGAGGCTGAGGCTGGGGCTGGGCCTGGGCCTGGGCCTGGGAAGGCCCGGGGAAGCCTTGGATATTGCTCTCAAGGCTCTATGTGCAGGTGGCTGCCAGCAGTCTGGTCTTCCAGTCACAGAGAAAGTAGGGGGTGAGTTGGTGGCAGAGCGCAGGGTGTTCCTGAGGTGGGAATCTGAAACTGTGCCGAGTATCTGTGGGGACTGCCAAAAGGGTTGCTTCTCAGACCTCATCCTGGAATGTGATTCGGGAGATGAGTTGGGGCCCAGGAATCCGCCTGGTAACTAGCAGCTAGGGGCCTTCCCTCTAAGTCCATTTGGGGAATGACCAGCTTAGAAGCCTCAGGGAATTGCTTTATCTCTGGCCCGCCCCAGAGGGACTTCTCCCTCTTGGGGCTGGGCTACCATCTTCCTTGTTTTCTTTACTTAGCCTGGGATCTCAGTCTTGAGGGTTTCCCTGGGTGCCAATGAGTGGGTCCTGGCAATGGCTGGCTGTTGTGGCCTGGCTCCCCACTGAGCTGGAGAGGTTGCCCTAGCTCACTTTCTGCCCAGCCCTGATCTGTGGATGACTGAGGACACATGCAGCCGCTCCTAGGGCTCTGGCCAGATGATTGCTTATTTAATTTAAATGTGGGTGCCCACAGCATCGGATTCTCTACTCCTAATTCCAGGAGGCATTTTTAACCCCATGCCCATGTCAGGCTGGCAGCTAAGGCTGCTGGAGCTGAAAGGAACTCTTTGAGCACTGGCTCCTGGGAGCCAATTCTCCACGAGTGGGGTTGAGGACAGAGGAGTGTGTGGCAAGCATACCAGGCTTGGTGATCGCAGGCCACCTCCTCATTTGAGAGTCTTTCTGCAGGACAGGACTCTGGCCCAGCCTACTCAGGCTCCAGGGCCCTGAGGTGAGGCTGGGATGGGGCCAGTCAGGAAAGAAGGTTATGGATTTTGTACAAACTGGGTCTGGGGCCTCCCAGCTTGGTGAGTTGAGAAGAGTTAAGACTGAAAGACCCCCTGTCCTGTCCCCCTCACCTCTCTGAGCCCACACAGTCCAATCACCTGCCTCCCCTCACTCAGTGGGCCGTCTAGTCTCTGGGACTGAAATCCCAGCAGCAGGACTGGAGAGATCCCGGAGGCCGTATTAACCTTGTTGCCTCTTCTCTCAGTTGGTTGTGGGGCAGGGGAGGTCCTGGGAGTCATGGTCTTCTCTGTGCCCCATGCGAGTTTTGAGTCAGTAGCTTCCACTCCATCGGCGTCAGGGAGAACAGAGGTGCGTGCTGTGCCTCTTCAGTTCCCCTTGCACATCAAAGGACAGATGAGGGGCAGTGAGCAAATTCAAGGGCACTTGCTTTTCTCTGCCTCAGTAAACACAACTTTCTGGAGCTTCCAGATCGAGTTCATTTGTGACTCCTCCTCTATTTAGAAAGGTGAACTCATCCCAGGATGGAGGAATGTCCTCCACCCTCTCTGCAGGTTTTCAGCAGAGGAAAAGGAAGAACAGGCAGCAAAGCCTGGGGTGGGAGAACTCAGGGGTTTGGTCTGCCCTAACTGGGGAGTGGTGGTCGCACTAGGCAGATGGGAGGAGCTGCCTGATCTCCGCTTCGTTTGGCTTCTCCGTGAGTGCATGTCTGCTAGAAGCAGCTCCTGTCTAGTGCCACTTATGGGTGCCTGTCTACAACCATGGGTCTCACTGGGATGAAGTGGACAGTGTAGATGCTGAGGGATCCCTGTGTCTGTCATGCTATTTCTGGGTCCCCAAATGTCTTGGCTAATGTTGTGCATGTTTAATTCTCTGTTGGCTGTGGCTGCTGCCTAGGAGCTGATAACTAATCCTTCTCAGCAGGTGAGTTACTCTCGGGGCTCTGACCACTCCAACTTTTAACTGCTGTCCCGGGCTGCTGCTCTGTACTGGGCCTGACAGAGAGGACTTGTCCATTCCACTTTCTACCTTATTCCCCATTCATACAGGGTGGTATGGGAGAGGGCCCCCAAAGAGAAAGAAGAAATGTAGCAGAGGGAGGTAATCAAATAGACCCCTGGCAGCAGTGGAGGTCAATGTCTCCTGGAATGAGGAGAAGGCTTCTAGGTCTACTGTCTTACCCACCAGGCCAAAGGAGAGCCTTTCCTGTAAGGACACACAGGGTAGGCACGACACAATTCACAAAGATAACCATGCAAGGCGGCCCCTGAAGTTGTGCAAGAGGGACCTCCCAGAGGAAGAACAGCACACTAGACAGCCTCCTGTCTACCTCGCCAGGGGCCCAAGAGAAGGAGTGGGGCGGGATCAATGATTTCTCCAGAATCTGCCTGCTGGGACTCAGAGGAGAGAGTTCTGCTTCAGTTTCCATACCTCTGAACTTGTGGATGCTCTCTACCCTGGGCATCTTGGGCTGTGCCTGAAGTCCCTAGGAGTCAGCAACTGTTCCCTAGGGGGGTTTGCAACCAGGTTCTCAGCATAAGCCTGAGGAGGGCCTCTGGGTTGGGCAGTGGGAATGGGAGTTGATTCTGTTGGAGTCATGGGAGGTTATGTCACATTGCCCAAAGCCACAGAGATCAGTCATACCCTGACCCACTGGCACAGCCCCTTCCCTCATTGCCCAGAGTGGATAATTTCTAAAAAAAATCTCTAAAAAAATAAAAAAAATAGGAAGGGGGGCTTCTCGGTGTCCTTCCCCAACCCATTGGAGCCTATGGAAAAGTCCCAGATACCGTCTCTTAAAGTTAGCTATTATCCACCCTCCTCTCTCTCCTGTCTTTTTCTTCCCCCTTCCCCTCACACCAGGAGCATTCCTGGATTGGTAGGAGGTGGCTCTTGCGGGGCGGGTAAGAGGAGGATTAGGGAACCCACACCTCAACTGTCCACTTGACTTGTTGGTTGCAGAAAGAGCTGGGCTCCACTGAAGACATCTACCTGGCTTCCCGCAAGGTCAAAGAGCTGTCGGTCATTGATGGCCGGAGGGCCCAAAACTGCATCATCCTTCTTTCCAAGTATGTGCAAAAGAAGGTGGTTGAGTTGGATGCCTGGGGGACAAAGGGGGTGGAGGAACGGAGTGGTGGCAGTCTCGGGCCTCTCCCTCTCTGCTGTCCCCTGGGAGGGGCAGGCATTGATCTGGAACTGTCTCTCGGGAACCTGCCTTGAGCAGCAGTTTGGGGCTCTGCAGGCAGGAAACTGCCCAGTCACGAGGCCCTTGCCCAGCCTGGTCAGCGTCTGGCAGCTGAGTTGCTCTAAGCCCACGGAGGGCCTCGCTTGGCTCAGGCCATGGAGCAGCATGATCTCAGCCCCTAAGCATTTCCCGCGGCTGCAGAACAAACAGGGCAGTATCTGCGCTAACAGCACAGCTTCTGTACGGGGGGGCCTCCTGCCTGAGCAGGGTCAGAGGGCACCACCTCCCATACTATTCTTAGTGCTGCCCCAGCCGCCTCTGAGACATCCTCCTCCCTTTCTTCTCACAAGCCCCCAGGCCTCAGTTTCCCCCACTTGATGGTGGAAAGAGTTCTGAATCCCCAGGGTTCCTAATGGGGGTGCATGTGGAGGGGATAGGGAAGGGCTATGGGGGTGTGTGGCTTCTCCCTCTCCCAGACAGCAAGACTGATTGGGACAGCTGTGTGGGAGCTGAGGCGCTGTCAGAAGACTGAGAGCGATTCTGTGTTCTGAGAATGAAGGCAGCAGGAAATTGCCCTCTTAGTGGCTTGCCGATAATCCTGTCCTCCCGTGGAGATGCTGTGCATTTTTTAAGCATGAGGAGGAGGAGAAGGATCAGGAACCCTTTGCCCTGTCCCTTTGGTCTACATTGAAGACATCTCTTTTACTCCCAAATGCCCCTATCAGCTCTGATGGATTATCAAGAGAACAGAGACCCTCACGTCTCTATTTTGACACTAAAATGCTCATTATCAAGTTTGTGGACTGAATCATACTAGTCTAATCTAAGAAGGCTTTGTAGAGGAGGTGAGGGGGGAATACTATTAAATATATTCCCAAGTCCTGTTAGGGAATGAGGGAAGGCGGAGGTGGTACCTTTTGGAGAAGAAGGTTTGAGGGCTGTCCTGGATTGAGGTGGGGTTTTGCCTTAGGTTGAAGCTTTCTAACGAGGAGATCCGGCAGGCCATCTTGAAGATGGATGAGCAGGAGGACCTTGCTAAGGACATGCTGGAGCAGGTGAGGACCCTCGTGGGAAGGAAGGGGAACTGAACCCAGCGGGCAGCCACGCCCCTTCCCAACAGCCCCCAGGAGGCTGCGATTCTTGGGTCAAGGAGAAATCAGGCTGGAAGAGTTAGGGAGAAGGTTTATAGAAGCCTCCCTGGGCCAGCCTTTCTTGGGGAAAGCTGGAAAAGGCTAAGTGTTCTCCAGGAGTCATTCTCCCATCTGACTCCAAGGCAAAGTCAGATGAGGAAAAGTGACATCTTCCCCAAATCTCTTCCCTCTCAGTTTTTTGGATCCTTTGGGAAACCTAGAAAACACACAAAGAAACATCATCAATTGGACTTCATTACAGTTAAGAACTTCTGTTCATCAAGGGCATGGTTACTGAGTGAAAAGAAGACAAACCTTAGAAGAAGATATTTGCTATACATACATATAACAAAGATCATATTCAGAACAAAGAACTCTACAAATCAATGAGAAAATGATGAAATCAACTTAAAAATGAGCAGAAGACTTGAAGGGGTGCTTCATGAAAGAGGATTTCCAAATAGACAATAAGAATATGAAAAGGTGTTCAATATGATTAGTTATCAGAGAAATACAGTCAACCACAATAAGGGGGCACCACACACCCACTAGAGTAGCTAAAATTAAAAAGACTGACAATGCCATGTGCTGACGAGGATGTGAAGCAATTGGAATTCTCATTTGGCACAATTATTTTGGAAAACTACTTGGAAGTACACTCTACAGCTAAACATATACCCGCCCTATTGCCTAGTAATCCCACTCTTAGGTATAACTCCAGGGAAATGAGTACAAATACTGACTAAAATAAATACACAAGAATAAAGTTGACCCTTAATAATGTGGGGGCTGGAGGCATTGACCCTCCATGCAGTCAAAAATCCACATATAACTTTTGACTTCCCAACAACTTAGCCGCTAATTGCCTACTGTTGACCAGAAGCCTTACTGATAAGATAAACAACCAATTAACACATATTTTTATGTTACATGTATTATATGCTGTATTTTTATAACACAGTAAGCTAAAGAAAAGAAAACGTTATTAAGAAAATTATTAGAAGGAAGTCCGGGCACAGTGGCTCATGCCTGTAATCCCAGCACTTTGGGAGGCTGAGGTGGACAAATTACTTGAGGTCAGGAGTTCAAGCCCAGCCTGGCCAGTATGGTGAGACCCCATCTTTACTAAAAATACAAAAATTAGCCAGGTGTGATGGTGCATGCCTGTAGTCCCAGCTACTTGGGAGGCTGAGGCAGGAGAATCACTTGAACCCAGGAGGCGGAGGTTGCAGTGAGGTGAGATGGTGCCATTGCACTCCAGCCTGGGCAACAGAGTGAGACTCCATCAAAAAAAAAGAAAAAAAATCATTAAAAGACACTGTTCATTGAGTGGAGGTGGATCATCATAAAGGTCTTCATCCTCATTGTCTTCACGCTGAGGAGGAGGAAGAGGAATGGTTGGTCTTGCTGTCTCAGGGATGGCAGAGGCAGAAGAAAATCCACATACAAGTGGTCCTGCACAGTTCAACCCTGTGTTACTCAGGGGCCAACTCTATTTATAGCAACTTTATTTATAAATTCCCCGAACTGTGAACAACCCAACTGTCCATCAATAGGAAAGTGAATAAGTAGACTGTGGTATATTCATACAGTAGAATCCTACTCAGCAATAAATAAACTACCATGACATGGATGAACCTTAGACATTATGCTGGGGAGAAGTCAGACATAAAAGAGAGCATACAGCATGAGTTCAAGGACAGGCAAATCTGGCTAAGGTCCTAGAATTCAGTTGAGAGCCTATATTCACTTGAATGGCTTACTGAAGTGATGAAAAATAACTTTCCTGGGGGATGGAAATGTTCTCTATCTTAATCTGAATGATGATTCAATGGATGGAGATTTGACAAAAATCACTGAACTGCACATTTAAAATGGGTGCATTTTATTTTATGTAGACTATACCTCAAGTTTGTTTAAAAGAAAAGAAAAATCACTGAGCTGTACATTGAAGAATAGTGTACTTTAGGCTAGACGTGGTGGCTCCCACCTATAATCTCAGCACTTTTGGAGGCTGAAGTGAGAGGACTGCTTGAGCTCGGGAGGTAAAGACCAGCCAGGGCTACGTAGTGAGGTCCAGTCTTACAAAATAAAAAAATAAAAAAAATTAACCCAGTATGTGCTACATGCCTATATTCCCAGCTACTCAGGACCTGAGGTGGGAGTATTGCTTCAGCCCAGGAGGTCACGGCTGCAGTGAGCTATGATCATACCACTGCATTCTAGCCTGATTGACAGAGTGAGACCCTATTAAAAAAAAAAAAAAAGAAAGAAATACTGTATATCAGTTACATCTCAATTTTAAAAAAGAAAAAAGAATTTCAGAGCTGTGTGCCCTGTCATCCCCTTCAGGCAGATGAAAGAAATCTGTCCACATGAGGGTGCCTCCCTCTTTCAAGGCACCCTCCCCATCTTGACCCAAGTCAGTACAGCTTCTCACACCCTGTACCCCATGTCTGCTGCTCACCAGTTGCTTGTGTGACTTGCGCCTGCTCTTTGCAGCTCCTCAAGTTCATCCCAGAGAAGAGTGACATTGACCTCCTGGAGGAGCACAAGCATGAAATTGAGCGGATGGCCCGTGCTGACCGCTTCCTCTATGAAATGAGCAGGTTGGGCCATGGGCATGGTGGGGATTCAAGCAGGTGGGGTTCTGGCAGGTGGGGCAGGTGGGGCTCTGCCAAGAGGAAGGGGATGGAGGTGGGCAGGCTTGAGAGGAGACTGGAGCTGGCTCCGGGAGCTGGGGCTGGCCAGGATAGGGGTGGGATACCTCAAGATATGGTTCACCTTGTCTACAGGATTGACCACTACCAGCAGCGACTGCAAGCCCTCTTCTTCAAGAAGAAATTCCAGGAGCGGCTGGCTGAGGCAAAGCCCAAAGTGGAAGGTAGGGCTGAGGGTTGCAGGAGGCTTAGAGTGGAGAGTTATCTGAGAAAGGCAGGGTGGGTGGGAGCCAGTGAATAGGGGCAGAGGGAAACCCCTTTCTTATTCTCAACCCAAAAACAAAAACAAAAAGTCAAAGACAAAATCTAAAATGATGATTATTATAAAAATATGCACTTGCTTATATTAGCACATGCGCCAACCTTGTGACATGTTCCTTATGCCTCAGCATGCAAGCTCTCCAAGGTGGGGCGTCTGTTGACATCTGCCCCAGCATGGGATGGAAAGGTAGAAAAGATAATAATAGCCACACCTACAACAGTGCCTGGCTGGGACTGAGCTCATCAGTCTTTACTCTACTTAAGAGGTACTAGGCTCATAGAAGACTTCTGGGCACGTTAGTTTAAGTGTGAGCCATTCAGAAAGTAGGAAATTGCACAAGCTGATTTCTAAAGGCATCTGATTTTCTGAGTCAGGAACACTTCCAATACAGGCCATTTCCAGATGAGAAATTTGTAGTTCAATGAGAACCATGCGCCAAGCACTGTGTGAAGCACTCTGCTTGGTTGGTCCTCATTTGGTCATCACAGCAATCGCACGGGTGGGTGCTATTATTAATTTCCATGTGGCTCCATTCTCTCCTTTCTAAAGTAGGGCTGTGTTAATGTCCCGAGGCTGTGACACTGGTGAGTGGTGGAACCAGGGTAGGAATGCAGATGCTGATCTTCAAAATCAGTCCCTTCCCTCTTGTCCCCTAGTACTCCCCAGGGGCTGCCTGTGCTGATGGCACAGCAGGGAGGGGCGTGGAGTTGTTGGGAGAGGCAGGAGGTCAGGACGGTGGGCAGAGACATGTGGACCCAGGAGGCAATAAGCAGGAGAGGCTGGGAGGCTCATTTGTGGGGAGGACAGGGTCAGCAGAGTGGAGCAAGAAAGCCTGTTTCCAGGATGTTGAGGTTACCAGGCTGGGGGCAGAACAGAGCATGGGCACCCCCTGCTGGACACCAGGGCCAGTCAGTACTCCCTGAGATGCCCAGTCCAGAGAGCAACCCTTCCTGAAATCCATTGAGATGCTTCAGGGATAGTCTATGGATAGGGTGGAGCATGCAGAGCTAAGGCAGACATTTTCTGTAATCAGATCTTGTTCCCCCTCACACTACACACACACACAGCAAGGGACCTGCAGGTGGTAAGCATAGATAATCAATCAAGAGGGAAAGAGAGCAGCAGTGACTCTCTATTTCTAAGGTCTGGCCATATCTCCTGCCCTGGTGATGGGTGAATCCTTATCTTCTTCACAACTTTCTTTCATCCTGCTGCAGACTGCCTTTGGAGCATGCAGCACAAGTAAGGGGTTCAGCCCAAGACATGTGTGCACAACTATTTGTATGTCTTGGGTCAGTGGAACAAATGTGAGCAATTGCCATTTGGAGATTTGGAACCAGAGTAGCTTAGCCATCAGAAAGGTTTAATCTCAGACAGTTTCCTGCTCCCAGGAGCCTAAGAATTAGTCAGTGGAGGCTGGGTGCGGTGGCTGATGCCTATAATCCCAGCACTTTGGGAGGCCAAGGCGGGCGGATCACAAGGTCAGGAGATTGAGACCACTCTGGCTAACACGGTGAAACCTCGTGTCTACTAAAAAATACAAAAAAATTAGCCGGGCATGGAGGTGGGCACCTGTAGTCCCAGCTATTCAGGAGGCTGAGGCAGGAGAATGGCATGAACCCAGGAGGCGGAGCTGGCAGTGAGCCGACATGGAACCACTGCACTCCAGCCTGGGCAACAGAGCATGACTCCATCTCAAAAAAGAAAAAAAAAAAGAATTAGTCAGTGGATATTCAGGAAAGAGTCTCCATTTGATATCAAGCTAAGCCGAGTAAGATGTGTTTGGGATAGCAAGATCTGCTGGGGAAAGCTACTCTTCTATAGCTCTGCTCTATAATAATTGCTCTGTATAGCAATGGCTGCTGTCCTTGTATAGACCAGACATAAGTCTCTTTCCTCTAAGAGCTAGATAGGAAAGATATGCCTAAAGTTGTGTATTATAGAATCAGATCAGTGTGTGTGACTATAAGTGGAGAAAAGAGGATTGTGCAAAGATGGGATTCTTATTCTTCCTTCCAGTTCTCCCAGGAAGTATTCCTGGAAGAGCTAAGATTTAGCCTATCCCAGCTAGGTGTGATGAGCTGTTGACACCTGCCCTCCTATCCCCAGCAGGGGCTCTGAGTCCATTTGCCAAAAGCTAGTTCACCAAATTTGACAAATTTACCAGTTCTTCTATGAATATATTCATGAACTTACAATTCTTGAATATATTCTTCTTATGAATATATTGCTGAATATACCACATTTACCGATTCTTATTATAAATACATTCACCGAATATAGTCAAGATGAATATGGTTGCAAATGTAATATTCTTATGAATATATTCATGAATATATTATTCTTGTGAATATATCTAAAATGTCAGAACTGCATCTGGGCGTTTTCCCATTTACACTGATTTCCTTTGAACTCTTGTCATTTTCTGTTTTGCCAACATTTTAGCATTTTTAGGAGGATTCCTTTGCAGATTTTCCAAATAGCATATAAACCTTAGAAAAAACATCCCAACCAATATAAATTGCCAGAAACTTTCCCAAGTATTCTTTTTAAATAAACTATTTTTGAAACATAACATGCATATAGAAAAGTACACAAATCATAAGAGTCCTACTTGAAGAATTAAAAAAGGGAACCACATGTGTAATCAACACCCAGGTCAAGAAATACAGCTTCCAACCCCCCAGAGCCTTCTTCATGTCCCCCTCCCAAACTTTACCCCCCTCCCTCCTCTCTAAAGGTCAAACCCATCTTGACTGCTAGTTTAGTTTTATCGGTTTTGAACTTTATTTTTTAAATTTTTACCTATTTTCTTTTTGAGACAGGGTCCTGCCCTGTCACCCAGGCTGGAGTGCAGTGGTGTGATCTTGGCTCACTGCAACCTCTGCCTCCTGGGCTCAAGGTATCCTCCCATCTCAGCCTCCCAAGTAGCTGGCACTACAGGCACATGCCACCAGCCTGGCTAATTTTTGTATTTTTGTAGAGACAGGGTTTCACCATGTTGCCTAGGCTGGTCTCAAACTCCTGGGCCCAAGTGATCTGCCCACCTTGGCCTCCCAAAGTGCTGGGATTGTAGGCATGAGCTACCATGCCTGGCCTGTTTTGAACTTTATATGAAAGGAATGATAGAGTATGAATAATTTTAGGCTGGTGACTTTTGCTCAACATTATGGTTGTGGGTTGTCCCTGCTGTTACATGTAGCAGTGGGGTATTCATTTTCAGTTCTGCATTTTATTCCATTATATGAATACACCATAATTTACCCATTCTATTTGGAATTTAAAAAACCTAGAAACAACCCAAATACCCACCAAGAATAATGTGGCTTTTAGGTTATAGAGTATGTACATGTTCAACTTAAAAGCTACTGACAAACCTTACTATTCATTTTTACAACTTTATTTACTTATTTATTTATTTATTTATTTATTTGAGACGGAGCCTCACTCTGTCGCCCAGGCTGGAGTGCAGTGGTGTGATCTCGGCTCACTGCAACCTCTGTCTCCTGGGTTCAAGCAATTCTCCTGTCTCAGCTTCCCAAGTAACTGGGATTACAGGTGTGCACCACCACGCCTGGCTAATTTTTGTATTTTTAGTAGAGATGGGGTTTCACCGTGTCACCCAGGTTGTTCTCGAATGCCTGACCTCAGGTGATCTGCCTGCCTCAGCCTCCCAAAGTGCTGGTATAGCTTCTTTTTAACAGTTACTTATTTCTAACTGTGTTCGAAGCTTTCTACAAACTTTTAGCAAAGTCGTTTTCATTTTATCTTCCTAGCAGCATCTTAAAGAATGTTCAGTTTGGCATAAGCCACAGATCACAGGATAATCTGGTCTTTTTGTTGCCACACTGAATATTCAAAAATCATATTCCGTAACTAGTAGACAAAATCTCAGTTTAGGATTTGTGTCCCCCTTCTGCACACCCACCATAAAGACATCATAGCTGAGGAAGGGCCAGAGCATACACAGCAGAATGAATTATTGAAGTTTTGGTTACTGTTAGCTTAGTTTGTATTTCTGGCAAAGATAACATTTAGAGCATTGGGGGAAAATGGTTAAGATGCCCAAAGGTTGGAAAAATCTTAAAAATGACATTCAACAGGATGTCAAGTAGCTTATTTCATCAAATCTTAGACACTATCAACTGAAAAGCATGCCATTATTTTATAGAACAAAAATAATAGAATATTATAATTTAGAATATGTTATTTAATTGATTTTTTTTCTTTCCAAAAAACCAATAGAATATAGCATTTCAAGACAGGCAGAAGCAATCCCATAATAGGTAAAATGCTGAAGTTAAGTGCTAGGTTTAGAAAAGTAAAAGTGTCATATTCATGAGTATATTCATGGAAAGAATATCTGAATAATCTTTTTTTCTTTTTTCTTTTTTCTTTTTGATACAGAGTCTCATGCTCTTGCCCAGGCTGGAGTGCAGTGAGGCAATCTTGGCTCACTGCAGCCTCAGCCTCCTGGGTTCAAGGGACTCTTTTGCTTTGGCTTCCCAAGCATCTGGGATTATAGGCATGCACCACCACACCTGACTAATTTTTTGTATTTTTAGTAGAGACAGGGTTTCACCACGTTGGCCAGGCTGGTCTCGAACTCCTGACTCAAGTGATCTCCCTGCCTCGGCCTCCCAAAGTGCTGGGATTACAGGTGTGAGCCACCGCAACCGGCCTTCTTAATAATCTTTAAATACATGTAAGAAAAGATCTTCTGAAATTGTCTTCTTGGGAAGAGCTGGCACGTCCTACAAATGGGGTATCTGGTGAATTGGCCTTGGTGAATGTGTCTGCTTCCCCTGGAGGTGGGTGAATGTGAAATCGATGGGTCTGCTGAGGAGTAGGTATAATCTCTGCCTCACTGAGAGTTGAAGGCATTTGACAGCCCCTTTTCTGAACTTTGCGGTGGCATCTTCCTGGGGTGCAATGAGAACTGCTGCCCTGCCTAGCCCATGCAGGCCTCTGACCTGTGCCTCCTCTCCCAGCCATCCTGTTGGCCTCCCGGGAGCTGGTCCGCAGCAAGCGTCTTAGACAGATGCTAGAGGTCATCCTAGCCATAGGCAACTTCATGAACAAAGGGCAGCGTGGGGGCGCCTACGGGTTCCGGGTGGCCAGCCTCAACAAGATCGCTGACACCAAGTCCAGCATCGACAGGTGAGGACCTCCCTTCCCGGCCACTTCCTTGGCCTCTATCTCACCCTACCCTGGCCTCTCACATCCTCCCTCTATTAGGACGGGAACATCCTAAGACTCATCACCCCTTTCTCTTAACACTCCATCCTCTGACCCTCTGACCCTCGTGCCCAGTTTCCTCTGTCACTTACCACTGACCTGACTTTCATCCACAGAAACATCTCTCTGCTCCATTACCTGATCATGATCCTGGAGAAGCATTTTCCTGATATTCTAAACATGCCTTCAGAGCTGCAACATCTTCCAGAAGCTGCCAAAGTCAAGTGAGGGTTCTCTCCAAGACTTCCTTCTCCCCATGATGACCCTCATTCTTGTCTTACTTTCCTCTTTTGGGGTCTACTCTGGGCTTGATGATGGCTGGTGTGAGACCTCGGTTCTTGTCTTCTGAGTTCAAAAGAATTTAAACAGACACACAGCAAAGGGGGTTTAGCATAGAACAATGTATTGCAAAAGAAGATATCTTGTGAGTTAGGTGCAGAATAGACAGTACACCCTGAGAGAGAGAGGATTCAGGGTGGGCTGCTTGTAAGGATGAGACAGCCAAGACTGGCACCAGGAAGACTCCCAGTATGGGAGACTTACACGATTATTCATAAAGAGGTGGGAAGAGGTATTGGGAAGCAGGCTCTGAGTGGTCCTCTGGGTGCACATGTGTAGTAGCTGTGTGTGCTTTTTCATACATCGCATGTCTCATTAGCACCTTAAATCTCCACCTAGGGGTGTGTTTTTTTACTATTATATGAGCAAAGGGCCAGTCTGAGGATAGGTAAAATCAAAATGCGCATGCTTTCCAGAGGGGAAAGTCCCTACTGCAGATAGCTTTGCTTGAATGAGCTCAATTACAATGCGAATGCTGAGGTTTATTGTGTTGACTGTATGGGCACCACCACAGCTGCTGTGTTCTGAGAAGTGCTCACTTCCTTGACTACCTATCCTGCCTCAGGCTGAGTAGGAATGGGCCATGTCTCAGGGTCTGCTTCTGGGAAAAACCAAACAAAGACAATTTGCTCTTAAATCCTTATTTCAGAGATGCTTCCAGAAAATACCAGTAGAAGAATGGGGAAGTGAGCCAGAGATAGAAAGAATGCCAGTAACAAACATTATTAAGCCAGTTACCAATCACAGGCAATTGGTGCTTAACCCCATGAGGAATTCTGGGAAACAGTGTGGAATAGTTACTTCAGTTTTCCCACCCAAAGGGCAAGGTTGCTGGGGCAATCAGAGAGCATCTCCTCTCAGTAATTGGCTGAGGGGCTCTGCAGGGGCAGGGAATAACTCTCTGGCCACAGGTACAGGTGGAAAGAGCTTGGCCTCAAAAAGAGTGTGCGTACAGTTGGAAGAGTTGGGGCCATGCCCTACAATGGATGGTCCAAGGAAATGTGGGTGGGGCACCAACAGCATCTGCTAGGCAAGATATCAGACACGAACATCTAGGCTGATAGATGTCATCTCCAGGAAAACTAGAAACATAGTGGTAAATGGCTCACTGGTATCGAATGCTATTGCTTGCAGGATCACATAAAGAGCTTATAAGCATTACCTGGTAGTAATAAAAATAAATAGGTCTAAGCCAGAGGCCACAGGTTGGAAATCTTCTGATATTGCAGCATGACATTTCTGACCTGGAAAGATCTATAGAATGCAGGCTTCACCTTGTTAATTTATTGATGCACAGACAGAGGCATGAAGGGGAGGTGCTTTGTCAGGGCCAACATCAATGGCCACACCAGGGCTGGAACCCAGGCTCACCGACTCCCAGGCCACTGTGCTTGGCTCTGCCCTCTCCCTGAACCAGCCTTAGCACCTCAAGGCGGGAGTTGATGGTCCTCATTCCCTTCCCTCTGTGTCTCCTTACAGCCTAGCAGAACTGGAGAAGGAGGTGGGCAACCTCAGGAGGGGCCTGAGAGCGGTGGAGGTGGTGAGTACCTTGTCAGTGCCTACCTGGGTGAGGGCTGCTGTCAGCAAACACTGTTCGTCACTGCACCCTAAGCTCCTACACAGGGGCAAAAAACAATGGGTACAGCCTCTAGCACAGGGTCAGCCCTCCCAAAGGATAACTGGATTACTGGGGCTTAAGTTTGAGCCTTTTAAAAGGGGTTACCTAAGACTATACCCATGTTACTGTCCAACTTGGTATCTATTTGGCAGTGGAGTGGAATGAACCATACATCTGACCCATGCCTACATTGGATTCAAGTGCATGGGAAAAAGAATCCTCATCCCTTGACTGCCAGCTAGGGGCAGGAAGCACGCAATGTGGCAGTGGGACCGATGTACCCAGAAGGTTCTTCCTTATGTCTCTCTGCCTGTTTCCTGGGCCAGTGGAGGACCCAGGTCTTTTGTTCCCACCATTCCCGTTCTGATGGCTTCTCGGCTGATACTATCTCTGGCCCTAGCCTTCCAGAAAACACCAGTAGAGGAGTGGGGAAGTGAGCCAGACTGGCCCAGTATGGGGATGTCTCTAAGTCTTGTCCCCCACACCTAGGAAGAAGGGACCCGTTCCGTCTTCACTGAGGAGAGAGGCAGTGGGTAAGGGAAGAATGGACTTTAGAGACAGATTAAGGATGACAAAGAACGTTTTGTTGCCACTACGGTGGGGGAAGATGATTTCCAAATTTACAATTTTATAGTCCTGTTAAGTGCTACTCAAAGTGCGGTACATGGACCAGCAGCTTCTGAATCAGCTGGGAGCTTTAGAAAAATGTCTCTTTAATTTGTGCATGAGTCACCTGGAGTCTTGTAAAGATGAGTCTTGTTAAAATGCAGCTTCTGATCCTGTGGGTCTGAGAGTCTGTATTTCTCATAATTTCCTAGGTGATGCTGCTGGCCCCAGGTCACATGTTGGGTCTCAGTGCTCTAGAGAAAGAAAGATGGCAGGGTGGGCTGGCTGCTAATGTTAGCTCATAGTCTTTGCCATCCTTAGAACTTTGAGATGCAGGGTGTTCCCTCTTCCAAAGGGCTCAATGTCCTGTGAGTGACGAGGGGAGATGTGGTGACCCCTGCACCCGACTCTCATCTTGGCACCAGTCTAAGCAGCACTTCACCCTCCCTCCTCAGGAGCTGGAGTATCAGAGGCGCCAGGTACGGGAGCCCAGTGACAAGTTTGTCCCTGTCATGAGCGACTTCATCACGGTGTCCAGCTTCAGCTTCTCCGAGCTGGAGGACCAGCTAAATGAGGCCAGGGACAAGGTAAGGGTGCCCCAACCCCCACTGCTTGCCAACCCAGCCTTATCTAAACAAGCTCCTTCACCCATTCCTACCACAGACAGCCCAGGAGGGACAAACCCAGAGTTACAGAGCTTTGAGAGAAAACCGTTTCTTCGCTCTTAACAAGACAAGCAATGATAACCACATACCGCAAAGATCATGGTCCATTTATCAGATATCAGGCACCATGTTAAGTGTTTTAATGATTTGTCACCACCTACCTTATGGGTTTGTTGAAAGGTTATTTCCCACTTGACAGATATGAACGCTAAAATCAGAGATGCTAAGTAACTTGCCCAAGATTGCCCAGCTGTAAGTTATAGAACTGGGTTAGAATCTGACACCACAGCTCAGCAGTGGACATGATTACCATGCCTCTATCTGCTTCTCACACTAACGTGTCCATAGACCTCATGTATGGGGGTCTTATTAAAACATGGATTCTCATTTAGGAGGCCTGGGGTCTGAGATTCTGCATTTCTAACAGGAGGTGAATCTGCTGCTAGTCCATGAAGCACACTTTTGAGTAGTGAGATCTTTCTTAGAGGATACTGAGTGAGTTGAATTAACAATGGTAGCTCTCAGTAACTCAGAACAGTGCCTGGCCTATATAAATATAGCCACTGTTTTATAGCCACCAACTCATCTAACCCCCCAACACCACTATGATGTAGATTCTATTATTCCCATTTGACAGTGGAGGAAGCTGAGGCACAGAGGGGTTATTAACATAACTAGAGGATCTTTGAAGTTCTGAGTTCTGCCAGCCTCTTCCTGACCTCAGGAAGGGCTTCCCAAGGTCTATACCCCTGACCTCATGCCTACCCCTTACAGGCCCAGGGGTGGCTCTAAGGTGGACTGAGTGAGCCCAACTCTTTACCTGCCTCTCCTTAGCCTTGTCTCTGATCCTGATGATGATGGGGGTGTCTTCTCACCTCTTCCAGCCCTGCCCCCTGTGCCAACAGTCCCCAGCCTTGCGCTGGGCTCTGCTCTGGCTAGAACCCAGCTAACCTCAGGGGCTGAGCCCAGCATGCTCCAGGGCACTCTCCACCAATCCTGTTCTGTCCCTTGACAGTTCGCCAAGGCCTTGATGCACTTCGGGGAGCATGACAGCAAGATGCAGCCAGACGAATTCTTTGGCATCTTTGATACCTTCTTGCAGGCCTTCTCAGAGGCCCGGCAGGATCTAGAGGCCATGAGGAGGAGGAAGGAGGAGGAGGAGCGGCGGGCGCGCATGGAAGCCATGGTGAGGGGCAGTGCCAGGCCTGGGACTGAGGGGAGACGGGTGCTACTTGGGGAGAACACCCCCAAACTGGGGTGTGTGGGAGGAGGGCAGAGACTGAGGAACTGAGGAACACCATAGGGGTTGGATGTCAGCCCCAGGAGAGAGAAACTTCTTCCCAGCCTGAGGGAAGAGAGTGGTGTGAAGCTGGGGGCCTGTATGTCCTAGGCAGGAAGAAAGTGGGGCCAACAGATACAGGCAGGCAGCATGACCATGGCCTAGGAGTTAGCCCAGGGTTGGGGGGCTGCCCTGGCCTCAGCGCCTCTCCCTGAGAGGGTTCCTATCTTTGGCCCCCCGCCCGCAGCTGAAGGAGCAGAGGGAACGTGAGCGGTGGCAGCGGCAGCGGAAGGTCCTGGCTGCAGGCAGCTCGCTGGAGGAGGGAGGAGAGTTCGATGACCTGGTGTCGGCCCTGCGCTCTGGGGAGGTCTTCGACAAGGACTTATGCAAGCTCAAGCGCAGCCGCAAGCGATCAGGGAGCCAGGCCCTGGAAGTTACCCGGGAGCGGGCAATAAACCGGCTAAATTATTGACCTGGGGAACTAGCCACACAGGAGGCCGGGAGACAGGGACTGGTGAGAATGGGGCTGAGTGGAGGAGGTGGTGATATTTAAACCATTTGGTGCTTGGTTTAGAGCCTTGGGCTGGGTCCTGGGATGGGGGGCTGTGTGTGGCTGGACCAGGTGTCTCCCCACGCTTACCTTAAGGGGCTCCTCTTATCTCCCCTTCACATGATTCCTTCTGTGCCCTGGCCCCAGGTATTATTCTGAGGCTGCCTTGGATGGCCTCAGGCCAGGTAACCCCAGGCTGAAGGGGCCCTGCTCCCCATCCCCTACCATGGGCACCCATGTGCTGGCACAGAACAGTTCCAGATCTAGACTGGAGAGGTCCACAGCCTTGTCCAGAGTTCCTGTGTAGCACGGGGAGCAATGATGGAGGGAGCCCCTGAGAGGGAATCTGGTGAGGGAATCCAGACTCCCTTCTCTCAAGGGGAGGCTCAACAGAACATTGACCTGGGGGCAAACTTTCCTCTTGAATGGGAACAGAGGAGGCATTATATATTCTAGTTAGATCAGCTCTGGTAGGTTCCAGAGAACAGTCAATGTTGGAAGGATGATGCAGGGACCAAAGCCATCAGGACAGAGTAGCAGTGTCTGTTTCCCATGTCACAAGTCCTCTGGCCTCTCCCTGCATGTCTTAAGTATCTTTCCCTTCCTTCTCTACCCTCACCTCCATCCTGTCTACTAATCCACAGTCCTAGAAGACTCACCTTGGGTTTCCACAGCTATGGCTCACTACCAGGTGCTTGATGAATCTGGCGAGGGGCTCAAGACAGACCTCATGCATCACCACACCTCATGCCTTTTGGGCATCTCCCATGTCCCCATCTCCTGGACACCTGGCCATTGTTGTGAAGCCAGACAGTGACCTCAAATGTTGCCTTGGAGTCCCCTACAGCCCCTCAGCAGAGGGCAGCACTTGAATGCTTAGCTCCATCCCATAGTTCTCTACTTCATATAAATTGCTCAGGCCCTCCCACCCCTTCTCTAACACTAGCTTCAAGGCAGAAGCCACAGCAGCCTCTGTCCAGCCTGCAGGTGGCCACTTGGAACCATGTGTCCACTGGCGTTGGGGAGTTGGTTCCTGAGAGGTCTGAGGGCCAGAGCTGCCCTCTACATTAACATGCTGTCTCTAAGGGTGGCCCCTCCTCTCAGGCGTTCAGATGGTGCGAACAGCAGAGCAGGCAAGGGAAACTGGGGAGATGGGGATGGAGGAGGAAGGCTGATATCCTCTGGGGAGCACATCACCTGAAGGTGCCAAGGAGGAAGGCTGAGAGGGGGGCCACCCCATTTCTGGTACCCAATTTGGTTCTTCAGCCCAACTTGCAAGGGGTTCCTTCTGGTCCTCCCATCCACTGCCACCTTCCATTTTGTCCATCTCATGCTGGCCTTGGTGGATGGGATGGCTGTATCTAGACAAAATTTTTCTAAAACTCCATCAAGGCTCTTATTCAATACCACGTTCCGAGTTGGCCTTTCATCTTCTTTGAGACTGGCCCTGCCTAACCTCTACCATCAATGAGCTCTTGGCCCTTCTGCCCTTCCCTGTGTTTCTCACTTTCCAACCTAATCCCTGGCTCAGGGTTATTGCCAGTGGAGACTGGTGAGCTGGGCCTACTCTCAGCTGCCTATCTTCTGCCTTTCACTTGCATCCAACTCCTGGGGCTGGGACCGTAGTAGCTGCGGGGGGGAAGAAACACAGGGTCGGTGAGCCCAGCATGTGCGTTGGTTTGAGGGGGCGGGCGGTGTGTGTGTGTTCTGGTGGGAGGGATCTGAGCAAGTGCAAGCCTGGCTGACACAGGTGTGAAGAGGCCATCCTGGAACCCAGGTGAGGGCAAGATGAAGGCTTCCAGGCAGAACAGCTGCAGAGAGTTTGGCTATATGCATCTGCAGCCCCAAGAGCTCCCACTGCAAGACAAGTGTTGGGGAAGATGGGAGGTTGTGGGTGAGGCCTCTAAAGGTCCTCTCCCAAACTGACCAGGCTGATGTCAACCTAACCCCCTCAGGGGCAGGGAACAGGGGAGGGCTCCACAAGCGTGTCTGGCATTCCCACCCACCATGGAAGACTGGATACGCACCTGGAAACAAAAGGACTATGGAAGCTGTTCAAGATACATTTGATCTTCAGAAAAGCAGAATTTGGTTCAACTGTTGACAGAGGACACAAATACGTTGTTCCAGAGCTCAGCCTTCTCACTCTAAAAGAAAGATATTTTTCTATTTATTTTCTACATCTGGCCAGTGGCTCTGGTGCTAGATGCCACTGTAGCCAGATCTCCAACAGTGCCTTGGACCATGGACTCATACTCAACTGAGTAAGAAGGGGCTGGTGCCCAGTCGGGGTGGCTGAGCTGGTCCTTAATAGGTTGTTTCTTGGTCTTGCTTTCTTCATGCCCTCCCCACTGCTCCTGCCACCTTTAGATAAGTTTCTCTAGCTAATTTTGTGGCCAATGTAAAATTCGTCATCAACCTAACAAACACAACCTTCTCAGCAGCATTTCTCCCCTGTGATGGAAATAAAGTGTTTAGGGCAGTGGGAGGAGAAAATTCTCCAGGTGAATGGGGAAGGGTCTGTTCCAGCCTCTCCCTACTCCCATCCCATTTCCACCAACTGGGGAACTGTGACTATCTATCTCCCCCGACTTCTACCAGGGATGCCTTCACGCCAAGGCTGTTCTCACCAGCTGCCTCAGATGACAAATGAGGCTAATGGACATAATCTACAGTGTCCTTTTTCACTTGCACCTTTTTTATAAGAATATATTGTAATACTAAAAAATATTAAATTCATACCATCCCTACCCAGTCTGCCTTTAAACTTGTGCCTTCTTCCTATGAGGGGATCTGGGGTGGGCTGAGAGTGTGCTGGAGCCAGCTTGTACCAGCTCTGTGAGAACCAATTGTTTACATTTTCAGAAATTTTGCAAGCCATTTGACATACTGGTAGCTTGAAATTATTCAACATGGGAGTATTTATATCACAAATTGTCTTTTCCAGAGAGCTGGTTGTTTAATATTTGCCAGCACACCTTGGCATAGGGCAGAGGGGAGGCAGGCAGGGGGCACCACTGAGGACTCAAAGACATCCAAGTTAGAGAGCCCAGCAGGCCAGAACTGTGTGTGTTTGGGATGTGAGAACCAGGAGCCTCTAATTAATTGCCCTCTCTGATCTCTCTAATAGCTGGTAATGCAAGCAATGAGCTTTGAACACCCCTGGCCACCACCTGACAAAAGATTTCCCTTAGATGGTGCATTTCTATGCCCCCTACTCCACTTTATTTTCCCATAGCGGGGCTATACAGAGAGTACACCCTTAGGCCTTTCCAGGTCCCTCCTCTTCTTCCCTCAGGGAACTGTGTCTTGGGATAGGATTGATTGATTGATTGATAGGTGCAGCCTTCCCTGTGAAACTGCAGCAGCTCAGTGCCCTACCCACACAGTGTCTTCATTCTTGCATCTGCAAAGTTGGCATCGTAGCTTTATTTGTGCGCTGTGAGGGTGAAGGCAATCTATCATCAACTTTTCTTTCCCTGATATGCTCCAGAATAAAGAGGGGTGGGTGGAACAGCCGTGAACAGGGCCAGGTGTGGGCTGTGTGGTCTGGCAGGAGTCCTTAGGGCTATGGCCCATGTGTGCACATCCTGTTTCAGAAGAGGGGGGCCAGAGGAAAAGGGGCCAGCAGGACCGGGCAACTGTTAAGCTGAAAGGCTGCAAGTCTGATGGGACACAGACTTGGGCAGAAGGAGAGATGAAGTCAGGACAGGACAGGACAGGGCAGGGCTGCGGCTTCACAGACTTAGGGAGGCAGAGCTGCCGGGGAGAAGTTGGGATCCATTCTTCAGGCAAGCTTGTGCTTTGCTCTCCTCAAAGTGGGCTCCTCTGCTTAATGAGCGCTTAATCTCTCCCCAGGAAAGCAGGAGAAGAGAAAACCCAAAATGAGAAGGAAAAGTTCTGGGCTGGACTGTCGGAACCTGGTTGTCTGAAATAGTCCACAAAGAACATGATTTCTCAGTTATCTGGCATTGCTTGTTGCAGTCCCGCTCCCACGACCTTAGTGTCCTGGAAGGCTTAAGGGCCTGCTGGTATCCTCCCTATAGAAAGGAAGCCCCATTGGTCATTAGAGATCATCTAGCAGCAGGCCTGTTTGTTAGTAGTAGAGCAGGCTGACTTCGGGTTTACTGCTCAAGGTAAACAAACAGTGACTGTGATTAAAGGAACCTGACGTCTTTCCCTCAGCCTACATTGCATCCCAGCTCCAGGCCTGGGTGGGCCATGGGTGAGAAGGGCAGGTGCTAAGCCCGATGGAAGTCCCCCCGCTGACCACCAGTCTTGCTAATGAGCTTGATCTCCTCCAACACGATGTCCCTGCTGACAGCCTTGCACATGTCATACAGGGTGAGGGCGGCCACTGCAGCAGAGGTCAGGGCCTCCATCTCCACCCCGGTGGGGCCCCGAGCCCGGCAAGATGCCTGGATCTTCACGGCATGGCGTGTGCTGTCCAGCTCCAGCTGCACCTGGATGTGGCTCAGGGCCACGTGGTGGCACAGAGGGATCAGCTGGCTGGTCACCTTGGCTGCCTGGACTCCAGCCAGCTGGGCCACCACTAGGGCATCTCCTTTCTTGAGCTGGTTCTGCTGGACAAGCTTGAAGGCTACCGGTCCCAGGAGGACCACGGCTGAAGCCACAGCCACCCGCTCTGTGTCTGGCTTCCTGCCCACATCTACCATAGCTGCCCGTCCTTCCGAGTCCACATGAGTTAGTTGTTCTGAGGTTAGCTGGGGTCCTGAGGGGGCAGCAGAAGCCCAGGAACCTGGGCTAAGGCACTTTGAGTTGGCATCTGAGTCTGCACGGGAAGTGTAGTGTCTCTGAAAGGAGCCAGACCCCAGCCGCTGCTGGGCTAGAGGAGGGGTCTGGGGGACCCTGCATCCTTTCCATAAAGTGGCCACCTGGCTGGAGAAACTCATTCTGGGTCTTAGACCCTGAACATGGAGCGGGTCCCAGGAGAAAATGCTTGGATTGGCTGGTGGGGAATTGGGGAACATCAAAAATAACTCTGCAAGGCAAGAAGAAAAGAGAAGAAACACTAAGTCCAAAAGGCAATTCTTTTTCCCACCTCTACTCCCCAACCCTCTCCCTATCCCACCTCAAGTTCTCTTTCATACCGGGGAAAGAGGAATGAAGAACAAAAAGCATAGTGGGACAAGACAAAGTAGAAGATCCACAGATAGATGGCACCCAGAGTCCAAGTTCACAGCCCTTCTCACCCAGTGATGTACAGGGTAACAGCCCTCCTAGAAACTGCTGTGCCACCGTGGCACAGGGTTCCCTCCACATGAAAACCTTCTCAATTCCCAAGTTCTCTCAAGCAGCACCAAGTTGAGGCCTGGATCACATGACCTCTGAATGTCCCTTCATTTTCTTAAAACTAGAGCTAGGTCTCACTCTAAATTACCAATTACACCTATTTTTATCTTCACATTCTCCATGAAGAGTTAATATAACCACTTAGTTTACAGACAAGATAATAAGGGGAATTTGTGATCTACTTAAATGTTTTTCAAGTCCCCTGAAGCACATGAGAAGCACATACAAACTGACGGGCTAATTCAGATGGTGCAGAGGGCCTAGGGAATGGTGCAGGCTCTTGTTACTCAAAGGGTGGTTGGCTTATGGACCAGCAGCACCAGCAGCACCAGCACCACCTGAGAACTCACAAGAGATGCAGAATCCCACCCCAGACCTTCCAAGTCAATCCAAAAGGACAAAATCCCCAGTGATTCACATGCACATGAAATTCTGAGAGGCCCTGTCCTAGGCAACTCTTGGTTGTATAGAAAGCAGACTGGTTACTCAATATCTCTGAAAGTATGAGGCAAATGCTCCCCCAGCTTCCCACTTCGCATCATACTCTAAGCCCCAGACATGTCAATGTCAGAGGGGCAGCCTCCCTTCTGGGGAGATGCCATCAAGGCCATGAAGGTGCCTCAGCATGGGTCAGGGCCCAACAAGAGGACTTGGATGCTGGGGGTGGGAGGAGAGGAGATGAGAGTCTTCTTCCCAGTGGCAAGCTACCTTTGCTTTCCCGGGCAGCCAGTGGGCAAAGATGGTCCTTGGGCTGTCTCTAGCCTGCCTTCCCCTCTGGGCCACTGAGTTCCCTCTGCTCTAACCTCTAAAGAAAGGATCTTTCCTCTCATCTTTTCTCCCCCCTGCTTTTTCTTTCCTAGTGGCACAGTTCAGGGGGCTCAGAACTGACTGCGAGCAAAGGGTCAAGGCCTCACCTGCTATAATCTGGGCACCGTGACAGAGGGGCAACAGCCACCCTACAGCTCCTCAGTGACCAGCCCAGCCCCCAGGGGTAGGAGACCACATAAGGACTTAAAACCAGGGGGCTTTTGTTTGAAGCATCCTACACACACGATGATACATCCTATGCAGATGTTCCTGAGAGTTAAGGAATTGGGAAGTTGAGGTCTTGGCCATCATTACCTCATGTTACATGTGAGTAACATTATTAACTTGCTGCCTCAAGATCTGCCCAGCACAGACGTCTGGCCACACATCCACCCGTGGGGGCTCATGGTCCAGATACACCGTGCATGGATCATTGGGTACTACAGAGGACACCTGTCACATTATCCAAATGGGAGATTTTAGAGCCGAGGAAAAGGCCTCTGTTTTAACCAGGATTTCAATTCTCAGGGAGCCACTAACTTAGTGATCATTAAATCTGGCAGACCATCCCCCTGCTCTGATGTCTGGTGAGACAGAAGGATCATTTCTGTGGCAGGTATAGTAAGGGGGATCATGAACAGTGGGGGAAGAAACAGTAAAACCTTGAAGGTTAAGAAGAGATGAAGGAGGAATAGAAGAAAAACAAGGATGAGAAATCAGCATGAAATGCAGGAGCTGGGGGTGCCTATGGCACGGCTCCCACCCCACGAGATCCCCAAATGACAAGGGTGAGTGGTTACGTACTGATGGGTCACCCACCGATGAGGATCATGGGCCGGTTCTTCATCTGGGAAATACTGAACATGCCTGGGGTGAGGGAAAGATGGGGAGGGAGAGGAAAGCAGGGGAGGGGGAGAGGGAGAGGAAAGCAGGGGAGGGGGAGAGGGAGAGGAAAGCAGGGGAAGGGGAGAGGGAGAGGAAAGCAGGGGAGGGGGAGGGGAGAGGGAGAGGAAAGCAGGGGAGGGGGAGGGGGAGAGGGAGAGGAAAGCAGGGGAGGGGGAGGGGGAGAGGGAGAGGAAAGCAGGGGAAGGGGAGAGGGAGAGGAAAGCAGGGGAGCGGGAGAGGGACAGGGCGGGGAGAGGAGAGTTCACTGAAACAAACGCGCTTGACAGCCCCGAGCACATGCACTCAGCTGTATGACAAAAGGCCCCCACATGTGCACTGCGAGGTCGCTCAAGGCTGAGCCCAAAGAACAGTCTGTGGACATCAGGACCCTGCCCTCCCTAAACAGAAGGCCACGTGTGGGATGAGAAAGAAGCAATGACACCCCCTTCTCCCCACCTAGTAAAACAGCCCAAGAGAATCTGGGGTCCCCTCTCCTGTGCAGCCTCTGCTATGACTTTTCCCCATGGAAGGAGAAGCATCACTGTACCCTGAGTCCAGAGGGCCAACAGCAGTGAGTGGTAGTGGGGATGATGCTGACTCTCGCCAGCTTCCCCCTAGGTGTTCCTTGGTCATCTCACCCCACAACTCCACACCTCCCTCCCAGGGACAAGGCCCACTCACCATCCAGGCCAGCCCTCCCCACCCTGCACTTACCTGCATGCTGCCGCTTCTTCCTGCCCACAGCAGCCCCAATGATTCTCAGCAGCTCCTGCTCAGAGGCCCCAGCTCGCAGGTGATCCCGCAGGGATACCTCAGAGTTTCCAAAGAGGCAGACCTACATGTGGGTGAGGACAATATGCCTTCCTTACCCCTGAGCCTTGGCCTCCTGGCCTCTGAGGAGCTAACTCCTTCCCTGGTTCTCCCTCCGGGAGGAGCACCAGGGCCCAGGCCTCCCATGGCAGGGCCCCTAGCAGTGAGAGACAGAGGTGCTGTAGGGAGGTCAGAGAGGCTAGAAGAGCAAGAGGCAAAATTCGACTTCCCAATACCTATATGTGAGTTACAGTCATACTTCCCTCAGTGTATTTTTAAAAAACTAAGTAGATGCCAACAGAGATAGCATGTAAAAATCCAGATCTCTACCTTCTGAGACACTTGCTGGAATGGCCACTTTATCACCATGAGAATGGCCCCCAACCAGTTGGAGCTGTGTGTGTCCTGGAAGTCTCCTACCCCTGTTGTGGCACACACATCCCATTTCACCTCAGCCCCTCCAAGTCCCTTGTGGACATCACCTGACTGCCCTGTACCTATTTGAGTCTGTGATCACTGCTTGGAAGCTTCAGCTGAGGGCTGCTGGGCATGACAACTTAAGGTCAAACTTCACTCAATGCTTCTCAGCTTCTGTAAGAGGGATGGATGAGACAGCCCCAGAAATCAATATACCTACCATCCTTCCACCAAAACTTATGAAGCATCTACTCTGTGCCAGCTCTGCACAAGGCACTGTGGCCACAGAGAAAGAAGAATGTCTGAGAAGCTTCTGCAGGCAGAGACCACTGGAGAAGATACCAGTGAAATCTAGGATAGGTCTAACTGCTTCAGCGTGCCTGTTATTCCTCATGCCTCGCTCCCCAACCAGCCTCCAGGTTCCCTTCTCTGCAACAAAGAGGTTCCTCCTGTGGACTTCACCTGGTACCACCCTCCCCTCCCGCCCCCCAGCTGGCTCCTGCCTGGGAGATCAATGGGTAAAGGGAAAGAACAATCTTCAGGCATTTCTCCCCTACTTCCTCCCTGCTTTGATGTATCTGGCAGCAGCTGCTTCTCTGCACAGCTCAAGTGCCAATGAGGTGGCCTCTCTTCTAAGGCTCCAGCCCTTCCTGGGCCCCAGTGACATCAGTGCCTCCCCCTTGCCCTTCCTAAGTGGGAACAGCACTTTGCTGCTGCTGGTCCCAAGTACCTCAATATCCTTTATTGGTTCCCTTAATCTTATATGTTATAAATAGCTTCTTCATTACATTCTCTTCAGAATCCCACCTTCCATTTCCTGCCAAGACCTCACAGATACAGATACCACCTCTAGTCCAAGTCAATTCCGTATCTCCAGCCCAGAAAAACCCCCAAGCTTTTCAGCAACCTGCTGGATGGTTCCTTTTGGATTCAAACTGCATGCATCTAAACCCAACCCACCATCATCACCCTCCCACAATTGTAAAAGATCCCAAGGCCTTCCAGCTACCTTGATGCCTTCCTCCTCTCCTTCCGCGAACATTACCAAGCTCTCTGAGTCTTCCTTCCCTTCAATTCACACTCTAACATATTTGGAGAACCACTGAATGGCCACCTAATTGGTCTTCCTGCCATCACACCCAGCCTGTGGCTTATAAAACATACATGGGGGATGTCTCCCCTGTTCAGGAACCTTACGCAGCACACTATTGTCCACAGAACACATTCTGAACCAAAGCCCCCTACAATGTAGTCTTCCCATAGCTGACTTTAATCTGCCCTAGCCCGCCCAACCAGTATGAACCCTATGTATGCACCCTCCCCTCCCCACTTCTGCCCCACCCATTCTTCAAGGCTCGCTGAGGTCTGTAGTGCTCTTGATGCCCTGCACTCTCACAGGCTATCTAGCCACGCGTGTGGCAAGGACTCTCGTGCTGCCACACATTGCCTCTGTTTGGTCTTGCCTGTGAGTCTGCATAGCCCTGACGAGAAGGGGTCCCGACATCCCCCACAGGGACGAATGCACAGGACATGCTTGTTAGATATGAGTAACATCCATTTCTGGTTTCAGAGCTGAGCCCCTGGCCTGGTGGAAGGGGCTAACCATGGCGGGGGCCAGGCAAAATGCACATTGATCCTGCAGCTCCATGAGAGCTGGAAAGGAGCTCCCAATAAACCAGAAGCTACTTCAGGGCCCCACAGAAGGAAGGAAGGAATCAGGGTGACATTTCCAGAGGGGCCATGAGTTCACCCTCACCTGCTGCTCCCATCATGCCCCCAAACCTGACATTATTGCACCAACCACCTCCCCCGACACCGTGCCCTGCCAGCCTCCTCTCCAATCAGGGAGCACAGGTGGGAGGAGACATGAGAACACAGAGGTGGCAAGGGGTCCCTGTGGAGGAGGGGATGCTCACCTTGAGGTTCCCATCAGCTGTGATTCGCAGGCGGTTGCAGGTCCCACAGAAATGCTCAGACATGGATGTGATGAAGCTGATCTGGCCTTGGAAGCCAGGGATTTTAAAGGCCTGGGCAGGGGAGAGTGGGAGCAAAAGGGCAGTGGAGGGGATGGGCTACTGAGCCCAGTTTCTCACTCCATGACATCAGAACCTCCACTCCTCAACCCTCTCCCAGAGGACCCCACGTGAAGCTCCACCCAAGGCCCTCAGGTGATAGAAGACTCTGGTAGGATGGATGACCCATGGGTTGACCTATGCCTGGCTTGCCCTAGATAAAAGCTGCTAAGGCAGGGACCTGTGGGCAGCATGTTTAGAAAAGTCTGCGTGGAAGCGGGATGAGCACCCCTCTCTGCCACTTCCTGGAGTGTGTCCTCTGACATGTTACTGAGCCCCCCACCCTAGCCGAGCCCACATCTTCATCCATGAAACAGGGAGGTGGTTGTGATAGCACTGATGCTTCCTGCTTAAATGGTACCATCCCACATCACAGCATCCCCACCACAGTGCAGCTCCCTGCTAGCTCTCCATCCTAGGGTGGAGGTACGACCTTCCTCCAGGCCTGCCCCACACCCTCCTGCTCCCTAACCTTGGCTGTGCTGGATTCCTCCTCTGGCACCTTCTCCAGCTCTGGCCACTGCTGCCGGACAGTGTCTAGCATCTCCTTATAGCTGACCATCTTCTTGAAGTTCCACTTGTTGCCTGTATTCGGGATGGGGGAAGGCAAGGGGAGCTTCTGAATCACAGTTGAAGGGGCCCCGGGGTCTTTGAGTCCATCCCCTGCCACAGCATAGCAATCAGTTCTCCAGCCTCTTGGAAGGGAGGGACGGGGGCTCTGCCTAAAACTGGTGGATTGAATCACATCCACAGCGGGCTCCGAGAAGCCACCAACAGCCCATCATAATCCTAGACTCACTGCCCCTGAGGTCAGCCATACCCAGTGGGTGAGCCACACTATGCGACCTGCAGGCCCAACCCCTTCTTCCCTCCCTCAACCCATCCCTGGTCACTGACCATCAAAGGGCATATACTCTATGAAGCGCACATCCAGGGGGAGGCCCTCAGTCAAGGCCGCAAAGTCCAGGAGTTCATCCTCGTTAAGGCCTCGCATCACCACACAGTTCACCTGGCCGGGGAACAATGGGACCATGAGGGCTGTGCCCCCTGCATTCTTTTGTGGAGATGACCCTTGGGGGCCTGGCACTCACTGAGGCCTTCCACTCAGGGACCCATTCCTTGCTTCTCCCACTCAGTTCTCTAAGTTACGGGATTCCTTGGGGTCACTGATTTTCTCGTTTCTCTCAAGGGTCGGCAGGGCTGGACCAGCAGGGAGAGAAGAGGTGGAAGGGTGCACGTACTTCAGCCATGCTGGCCAGAGCTGAGGGCTCTCAAGTGGGCCAAGGGGCGGTGAGGGGAAGGCCAGGGCAGTGTGGAGGGAAGTCGGGAATCTACGGCAGGGGCACGGCCTCACCTTCACAGGGTTGTAGCCCAGCTCGATGGCCTTGTGGATGCCCTCCATGACCTTGTGGAAGCCTGGGAGGGAGAAACAAGGATCCAGGAACTTCTGTCCTCTCTCCTCTTCCCCCACACCCCCACAGAAAAGCACCAGAGCCCATCTAGTCTGGAGATTGGCAAACGTTTTCTAAAACAGGCCAGAGTAATATCGTAGGCTTTGCAAGCCAAGAGGCAAAATTGAGGATCCGTGTAAGTACATGTCACAAAGTGTTGGCTAAATTCAAAATGTAATAGTAATAACTGACTACAGTGTCTTGTAAAACAGATCTACAAATGGGATACAATAATGCGATTCTTTTTGCAGGGACAATATTTTGCTTAAATGGGGTTCATAGTTAATGTTCCCTATCATTAACTGATTTTGAATGCTATCTGTAAAATGCATTCTTGGCTCAAAGGCTACATGAAAACAGGCAGGGGGCTAGATGTGGCCTGTGGGCCATAGCATGCTGACCCTGGATCTAGTTGAACCCTCTTGTAGTCTACGGGAGGAAACCAAGACCCAGAGTGAGGCAATGCTCTGCTCAAAGCCCCATGGCTCCATCTTTCAGAATGCAGGTTTTCCACTCCCGTTTCAGTGTTTTTTCCTCAACAGTCCATCAATTATTCACTCAACACATACTCTCTGAGCACCTACTACGCACAGGTGCTGTTCCAGGGCTGGTAAGCAATTATTGTCTCAACAATCATTAACCACAGTCAATGTGACCCCAGGCTGACTTCTCACTGCCCAGTTCTCTCATGCATCCAATCACTTGATCACCTACTGCATCCTGGCCCCCTCCAGCACCCCCAGCCTGCACAGCCTGGGTGGTCACCTGTGAGACAGGGTGCCTAGAGATGGCCTCCATGGTTTCCTTGCAGCATTTTCAGACTGCTCAGTGAGAGGGTAAAGGGAAAAATGTATAGCTTTGAAAAAAATAATGCTGCTAGGATAACCTAGAACTATAAGTTTTCTTTTCTGTAAAACACTCCCCTCCAAAGGCAGGTGGTGGACAAAAGAGTATGAATGGGAGGGAAGATCTGATGTCTCCAATCCATGTGCCAGGAAATAAGAGACAAAAAGGGAGAACGTGTTTGCGGGCAGTACAGCCCACAGATCCACCTCCCACTTTCCCACCGTAGAGCCCTTGCAGGTTCTGTACTCCTGCTCCCCCTCAGAGTATGTGCCATTGATTGAAACCCTCCAGTTCCTCAAGGCCAGCATGCATGCATCCTCCTTGAAGCCCTCCTAGTTCTCTCCTGCTAAGAGTTCTTTCTTCCTCTCTGTAACTCTTTAATCAGTACCACAAGACAAGCAAAGGCTGTCCCATGGAATGACATCTTTTGGCCCTTAGCAGCCTGTAAGGACAGGGCAATGTCTTATGTGTCTTCTGTCCCCTCCACAGCACCTGGAGCAGGCCTCCATAGAGGAAAGAGACACCATGAGTGCTTCCTCAGCACATGGAGGGTATTAAGCAAGGCATCACACCCCGTTTAAGAAAAGGAAGGAAAGAAGGTGGTGGGGCTGATCTTGAAGCTGTTTCCAAGGAAGAGGAAGGAGATCTGGGTCTCCCTGCCACCCCTCTGATCCTCCAGAGTCCTCAGTCATGTACCCCCTCCCAAATATCAAAGGGTATCCCAACCTGAAGAGCCTTTGCCCCAACATGAGGTCCATGCCAAAGGGAAGCCAGGCACTGGTCTCCTGTGACCCAGAGCTCGAGGCTGGCTCCACCTGTCTACCTTGGGCCTCCTGAGGCAGGTGAGTGGAGGGTATGGCTGTGCCTGTAGTAGGAGGTGCATAGGAGGGGCTTATACCCAGGTGGGCACAGGGATAACCATGGGGGCCTGCTGGGGGACCCCCTCCTGGCAGCATACACCCAGACCCTGGCATCCCAGGGTGGCTACTTCCACCCTGGGCTGTCCCGTGTTTCTTCAGAGCTCATCGTAGAATGACCAACTCGGCCCAGTTTGCCACAGACTGTCTTGGTTTTAAAACTTCAAGTCCTTCATTCTAAAACCCCCTCAAGTCCTGGGCAAACTGGGGCTGGGGTGGTGGGGAGGTTGGTCACCCTAGGTCATTAGCGTCTGACCCCCAAAGTCCCTGACATACATTTGGCAAAGATGAGGGGTGAGAAATAAGTGCTTTGACTTACTGATAGCCCAGACACCAAGAGGAAGTGACCAGGCCCCTGGCTCAGCAATGGCCATGCCCTCCCCAGCTATGTGCAGGCCCTGGGAGGGACACCCACCCCATCCACATCCGCTCACCTTTCCTGCGGACAATGAACTCAAACTTGGCAGGCACCAGGGTGTCCAGGCTGATGTTGATGGCACTGAGACCAGCCTTCTGAAGCTGGGGCAGTAGCCGGGCCAGGTTGATGCCATTGGTGGTAACACCTATGGTTCTCAGCCCTTCCAGCCGCTGGAGCTGGGCTGTAAGGACAACAGAAAGGGGGTCAGACTGCTTGCTTGTTCTTGGTGAGGCCGGGAAAAGGGCTGGAAGGCAAAACTCTTTGTCCAGACAAGATGGATGGAAAAGAGGCTCTCTGCAGACCTATATTAACCAGGCCTAACTTAAAAAGAAAGCTAAGAATCAAAACTGACAAAAACAACCAAAAGATTAAGCATTGAGTGCTCTGTGCTAGGTGCTCTGCTGAGGGCTTTGCATACATTAGCTCATTGAAGCCTCACAATAACAATTATCTCATTTAGTAGGTAAGGAAAGAGGTGCTCTGAAAGATTATGAAAATTGCTTAATCTCACACAGTAAGAAGAGCTGGCATTTAAATCCATGTGTACTTGACTCAGGACTCTGCTCTTAACAACCAAGTACTACACAGGTCTTGATACTCTGTATAATGGAAACAAAAGTGTTTGAATTAAGTGCTATTTGACAGCTCCATTCTACCAAATATCCCTAGAAATAATGGAAGGATTTTAAAAATCCATAATAGCATTGGAAGGTAAGAAAGAATGCCGTAGATAGCCCAGAAAGGTAAATTAGTACTGAAAGAGAGAAAGCAGATGGAACCGACCAGACGGATAGAGACCACAGCTCAAAGTGCACCCAGGAGAAGGTTCTGTAAAAACAGGGAGTGACTAGTGTGCACGCAGCTTAGTAGTCACATGTACAGGAGCAGAGGGGTCCTACTACATGTCAGGGAGGTTGTCTAAGAGGGGAGTTATATTTGAAGGAGCTGGACAGGTTGGCCTCATCCTTCCCTGTCGGCACGGGAAGGCAGCAGAAGCATTTGCCTCAAGGATAAAGCACCAGTGCAGACACTTAAGCCAGCCATGGGGCTGTATTAGTTCCTTCTCATGCTGCTAATAAAGAAATACCTGAGACTGGGTAATTTATAAAGAAAAGAGGTTTCATTGACTCACAGTTCAGCATGGTTAGGGAGGCCTCAGGAAACTTACAATCATGGCAGAAGAGGAAGCAAACACGTCCTTCTTCACATGGCAGCAGCAAGAAATGTTGAGCAAAACAGGAAAAGCCCCTTATAAAAATCATCAGATCTCGTCAAAACTCACTATCATGAGAACAGCATGAGGGTAACCACCCCCATTATTAAATTACCTCCTACTGGGTCCCTCCCATGACACGTGGGGATTATGGGAACTACAATTCAAGAAGAGATTTGGGTGGGGACACAGCCAAACCATTTCGGGGGCAAGGCCTGAGTCCTGGTGACACTCAGCAGTACCTCACACCCCTTCTCCACAACCTTGGAGCAACCCAAACAGAAACACAACACAAACAACATTGCCGGGCAGGCCAACAGAGACCTCAGGCACTAAGATGAGTACACCGCCAAGAATCAACAAACATTTAAGGAAGAAGCATGAAAGAAAGATAACTACTTCCCCAAATAGAAGAATGAAAGGAGGAGGAGAAGGAACAGTGATAACAGAAGATAATTCTTTTAAAAAGCAGAGGGAATATCCTTATTGGGATAAATATTCAATCTTGAAAATAAACCAAGAAAAAACCCTAATTAGGGCTCTTGAAAATTAAACAATATATAGTTACAAGAAGAAAAAACTTGAGAAGCAGAATGAACACAGGAATGAATGAGCAAACTGGAAAATTCAGCAAAGGCATTCTTGAAGAGCTGGATACAAAAGATCAAAGAATGAAAAGAATGAGTCTGAAGAAACACACCTGCTCACATTCAAATCCAAGAAGATCTAGAGAAAAGATAAGCTATGAAAATGTACACAGTAGTTATCTGTGATCAATAGGATCATAGGTGATTTTTGTATTTATTTATAGGTAAAATTTCTTTCTATAACAAACACGTTTTCTTTGATAATGTGGGTGACACACATACACACCCCTCCCCCTGAATTTTAGCTGACCTTTGCTACATGGACAGTGCCACTGACTACACCCTTCCAGCCACCAGACCAGTTGTTTCCAAGAAGCTATGTAAACGTATGTCTCTATGAAGACCCAGCTCAGCGCTGCAAGAGAGAGGAAACCAAGAGTAAAGTGCTCAAGTGAAGCCAAATATTAGAAAAGGCAGAATGTTACAAAATTCATCATCAGTTTAAGGTAGGGGTGCATGGGAATGCACACAATCATGGTGTAAGAATAAAATCATATAATCTTTCTGGAGAGAAGTTGTACATGAATTTTTAAAGCCTTTGACCTGAAATTCCACTAAGAATTTAAGGAAATAATCACGGATGTGAATAACATTTACCTACAAGGATGTTCATCACGGAGTAATGCATAATTAAGGAAAGTGGGAAATAATCTAGAGAGCCAACAATAGCAAACTGGTTAAATTATGTTTTCTCTGGATGACGGAACATTATGCAACCCAAAATGACTCTATAAAATCATACATTAGGGTGTAGGGAAATGCACGCACTATATTACGTAGAGAGAACAGTAACAAGAGATGCAGTAAACACAAGATGCAGAGGAAAAATGGCAGGTGGGTCATCAAACCAAAATGTCAACAGTGGTTACAAACAGGCAGTAATGACATTCTTTCTGCTTTTCTGAAATAAACATAAATTACTTTTGTAAAAAAAAAAAATAATAAAGTTTACAAATAAGAGCTGTTTGAAAAAGGAAAGAGTTTCACTCTGACTCTACCAATAAGGAAAATTAGCAGTGGTTGTTCACTTCTACCAAATCAACCCCGGAGAAACACAATCTAGGCATGTAAGAACTTAACAATCTAAGTCCTTAAGAAGGCTAGTTGTTGTGAAATGGTATGAGTTAGGGGATGAATATGGGCAAAGAATGCGAGTAGATAAAGGAAAATGAAGCAGGTTACGTTGTATTCTTTCCCTTGCCCACTGAGACCTCAGCACCATCACTGATTATCCCCTTACTGAAGAAATCAGCGGCAACTGCCCAAAGAACTAGCTTAAAAGTCAACTGGAGGCCAGGCACGGTGGCTGATGGCTGTAATCCCAGAACTTTGGGAGGCCAAGGCAGGTGGATCACTTGAGGTCAGGAGTTCAAGACCAGCCTGCCCAACGTAGTAAAACCCTGTTTCTACCAAAAATACAAAAATCAGCCAGGTGTGGTGGTGGCATATGCCTGTAATCCCAGCTGCTTGGGAAGCCAAAGCAGGAGAATCGCTTGAACCCGGGAGGCAAAGGTGGCAGTGAGCCGAGATCGTGTCATTGCACTCCAGCCTGGGTGACAGAGTAAGACTCTGTCTCAAAAACAAAAAACAAACAAAAAACAGCAACAAAAAAAAAAAAAACCTGATAAGCTGATTTCAAAATTTACATGGTCAAGCCTTAGTATATGTAAAACACTGTTGAAAAAGAATAAAAAGAACTTGCCCTACCAGATAATTGACTGATGAAGCTACAGTGATTAAGACAGTTGATACTGGCACAGAGACTAACAAATGGACCAACAGAACAAAGTAGAACTTGAAACAGATCAAGTTCAGAATGGCAGATTTATGGAGGAAGTAAGGATTGTTCAATATAAAGAACTATAAAAAAATGGCTATCCATATGGAAAAAAATTACATTGAATTCCCAAAAATCATCTACAGATGAACTAAGGACCTATATGCAAATTTAAAATTTTTTGTGAAGAACGAAGGTAGGTGATCTGATCTGGGGTTAGGTGTTTCATTAACAAGATATGAAAACACTAACCATAAAAGAAAAAAACGCTGATAAATTCAAGAACTGCTACTGATCAAAAACAATCATTACACATGGTGTAACTTGTTTTTTCAGATGGGGAGGAGATATTCACAACATATATAAAGAACCTGTACCAAATAAGTACGAAAGGACAAAGAACCAAATAGAAAAATAGGCAAAAGACATGACCAGGAATTACACAGTAAAATATATTTTATATATATGTATAGCTAATTAACATGTGAAGAGATGCCAACTTCATTCTTAAACATGAAAATACAAATTAAGACCACAATGAAATATAATTTTACACTTGTTCAACTGGCAAATATCAAGAATAATACTGAGTGTTGGGAGGTCATTTGGCAGGATCTCTTACATAGGGCGGGTGAAAGTGTATTTGGCACAACCATGTTATTAAGTAATGCCACATTGTTTTCCAGAGTTAAACATTCACCTATTTTATGATCCAGCAATTCCACCGCTAGAGAAACTGTATACCAAGATATGTTAATGAAAACAGTGTTTAAAGTGGCACCGTCCACAACAAAAAAGCTAGAACCAATTCAAATGCTCACTAAAAGGAGAAAATAGGGTACATTCACATAATGTAACAGTAGACCACAGAGGAAAAAAGAACTACAACTCTGTATAACATTATGCATTTTACTTGAGTCAAAAACAATAAGCCCTGAAAGACTACACACAGCATGACACTTACAAACTTCAAAACGCTATATCTACTTTTTAAAAAGCAAGGGAATAGGCCAGGTGTGGTGGCTCATGCCTGTAATCCCAGCACTTTGGGAGGCCAGGGCAGGAGGATCACTTGAGCCCAGGAGTGCAAGACCAGCCTGGGTAACATGGCAAAACACTGTCTCTACAAAAAATACAAAAATTAGCTGGGTGTGGTGGTGTGCGCCTGTAGTCCCAACTACTCTAGAGGCTGAGGTGGGAGGATCGCTTGAACCCAGGAGGTTGAGGCTGCAGTGAGCTGTCGTGCCACTGCACTCCAGCCCGGGCAACAGAGCTAGATCCGGTCTCCCAAAAAAAAAAGGGGGGGGGACAGGGCAGCAAGAAAACGATAAATAGAAAACTGAGGAACACTTACCTTAGGTGGCAGTGGGGTGGGGGCAGGGTACAGTATAGGGAAGGCCCCATAGGTAGTTAAAAGTTATTGCCAAATGGCTGGGCGCAGTGGCTCATGCCTGTAATCCTAGCACTTTGGGAGGCCGAGGCGGGTGGATCATGAGGTCAGGAGATCGAGATCATCCTGGCTAACACAGTGAAACCCCGCCTCTACTAAAAATATAAAAAATTAGCCAGGCATGGTGGCGGGTGCCTGTAGTCCCAGCTACTTGGGAGGCTGAGGTGGGAGAATGGCGTGAACCTGGGAGGCAGTGGTTGCAGTCAGCTCAGATCGCACCACTGCACTCCAGCCTGGGCGACAGAGCAAGACTACGTCTAAAAAAAAAAAAAAACTTTTTGCCAAAACATTGGTGGTATAGTGGGTTTCCTTAGGAACCACTAACATTATTAACATGAATAAAGTAAAGCAAGTCATACATGGATCAATGATGAGAATATCTCATGAACCAAGTATGATTTAACTATGATTTAACCTAATTCTATGCAACTGGAGCCCACCAAAAATAAAACAAAATGCTTTACCTCTTTTCACAATCTGTCATTGGCTTTCCATTACATTAAGCCTCTCATGGGCTTTAAGCTGTGAAATCAAGCTATACTCTACAAGAAAGGCAGGAAGGAATGGAGGGAGCGAGGAATGGAAGGAAAGAAGGAAGGAAAGAAAAAGGAAAGGAAGAAGCTGCCGCAATGAGTGATTTTTTTTCAACTTTTTTTTACGTTCAGGGGTACATGTGCAGGTTTGTTACATGGGTTAACTTGTGTCATGGGGGTTTGTTGTACAGATTACTTCGTCATCCAGGTACTAAGCCTAGTACTCAATAGTTATTTTTTCTGATCCTCTCCCTTTTCCCACCCTCCACCCTCAAGTAGGTCCCAGTGTCTGCTGTTCCCCAGTGAGCAATTCTTAAGCTAAGTCCAGCTCATCTGGCAGTGGCCAGTCGTTCGGGAAGTTAGGATGGAAAACAAGGGCCCTGCAAACTCCTCCAACACTCTCACAGTACTTGTGCGCTTAGTTCCTCTTCCTTCCTTTGGAAGACCCTAACTTTCACTGTCCAACACAGCAGCTGCTGGCCACATGAGGCTACTTAAATGAACGAAAAAATCATAAAATACAAATTCAGTTTCTCGGTTACATTAGCCACATGTCAGGCCCTCAAGAGCTATGAGTGGCTACTGTATCAGACAACACAGATGCAGAACATTCCATCATCTTGGGAAGCTCTATGGCAAGCTTGTCCAACCTGTGCCCTAGGGGCTGCACATGGCCTAGGATGGCTTTGAATGTGGCCCAACACAAATTTGTAAATTTTCTAAAAACATTAGATTTTTTGGTAAATTTTTAGCTCATCAGCTATCGTTAGTGTTCGTGTATTTTATGTGTGGCCTCAGACAGTTCTTCCACTGTGGCCCAGGGAAGCCAAAAGATAGGACACCCATGCTCTATGGGACAATGCTATTCATGGCCAAACCCGCCATAACTTTTGCACCAAGATAATGCTTTAAACCCATCTCAGCTGAAAAGAAGGGGCATGGGACTTTGTCTGCACACGAAGCAGGGTGCAGAAGTGCTGGAGAGGCAAGGGGTTGGCAGAGGGAGCCAGAGAGAGCTGAGGGGCCCAAACCCTTCCCGTGGGGTGTTCTGCAGCACCTCTCAAAGGCTGACAGAGCTTCAGACATGGACCTGAGGTGAACGGGACCTCAGGCTCGGCAGAAACTGTAACCTGCAATCCTTTTGCTCTGCCTCCAGGTGGGGGCCCCTCAAAACCCTCACGTGAGAGGGTAGGCACAAGTGTTCGTGAACATCCTGGCCCTGACTTCTGTTCTCTCTCTTCCCCCATCCCTCCTTCCTCCACCAGCACCCATCTGCCCTGCCCTTCAAGGCTGCTTTGCTCTGAAGCAGCTCCTCTGGGGAAGATCAGAGGCTAGCCCCTGAGGGATGTCAGAGTGCTCACAGGCACAGCGCCACAGGAAGTGAGGGGGTGCAGCCACCATTCTTTTTGAAGCACTGGGAGAGGGGCAAGGGGAGGTGTTTCACCCACCCCCACCACCTGGGAGGCAGGAGGTAAATCCTCAGAAGCAGGTCACTGCAAGCGGGGCCTTGTCCTAACTAGCATCCATGTGGCGATCACCCCTTGCCCATCCCATTCCATCAGCCAGGGCCAATAACCACAGAATATCACAGCAGAAAACATCCTTAAAGTGGCTCATCCACAGCTGAGGAAACTGAGGCCCTCGGTGGGGAAGGAACCTGCACAAGTTCACCCAGCCAGAGAGTGGCAGAATGGGGACAGAGCTACCAACTTTCCTGGCTCCCATTCTTCCCTCTCTGCATGCTGGGGTTTCCCGGGAGAGCCCCGAGTCCTCATACCAGTGCTCAGCCATCCTGTACCTCCCTGACCAGTGAGTGATCCTCATCCCCTCTGCTCTCTCACAGGTCCTGGCACAAGGCGGCCCATGCCCGCGGGTGCCAGGGAGAGGAAGTGGCCTGGATGAGGGGGCTGGGCCTGGCAAGCAGCTGGTTCAGCAGGTTCAGCCCTTTCCTGGCAGCCAGCCTGCCTTTTAGCCCTGAGGAGCTGCCTGGAACATGGGGTCAGCTTGCCTGGGCCAGCTCAGCCAGCACAGGATGACAGAGGTTCCCAGGCCAAGTGACCAGTAGGAGCTGAAGGGAGCTGGCCATGGGGCAGGAGGGAGAAGAGGGCTGTCAGGGGGACCTGGGCCCCTCCTTGGGACTCTCACAGCACCTAGGCTCCCCTTATACAGCAGCTGCTTCCTCCAGTGGGCCACAGGTCCTCAACAGCAGGGCTGGTGCTCATTCATCTTCGTGTGCTCAGCACAGTAGGAGGCATGCAAGAGGGCACTCCAGCGAACAATTACTGAGCTAGAGAGCTGAGGGGCGGGGGGTCCTGTCCAAAGCAGCTGGACGGGGCAGCAATCAAGAACATGGAACCTCATAGCCCCGATTTCATCACCTATAATTACATGAGCAAAGGTCTCTTTCCTGATCTTGGGGTTTAGAAGCTCATGGCAAGAGGCCCTTTAGAGCTACCTTTACAGAGCACTTGCCATAGGCTGGGCATTTCATTCTCATTCCCTCCTCAGGTCAACCTTATAAGGTAGGTACTATCACTGCCTCAAGGCTTAGAACAGATTTTAAAAGTTGCCCAAGGTACGCTTCTTGTAAGAGGCACAGTGGAGACTCAGATAGGAATATGCCGTACTGCAGAGACTACTCTGACCCAGTCTCCATTCATTCAGCGAATTTCAGGGAGCATCAACCACGTGTCAGGCACGGTACTGGATGCCAAAAACAAAACCTGCTCCAGCAACCTGAGAGCTTTCACGCCAGCGAATGCAGGAGACAGACAATTAAAGAAACCAAACACACAACCCAAACACACAGTGCCAGGATGAGATAAATGCTATGAAGCAAAACAAAGTAGGGTAAGTGAGTAGGGCAGGGGTTGCCACACTTTTTCTGTGGAAGTCCAGATAGTAAATATTTTCTACTTGGCTGGCCAGCTTTGCAACACAGTCTTTGTCAACACCATGCAACTCTGCCAAAGCAGCCATGGGCAATATGTAAATGAATGGGCATGGCTATATTCCAATAAAACTCCATTAATAGACACTGAACATATAGGATTTTATAATTTTCGTGTGGTAGAAAATGTTATTATTTTATTTTTTTCCCCATTATTTAGGAGCATAAAAACCATGGCAGGATGCAGTGGCTCACGCCTGTAATCTCAGCACTTTGGGAGGCCGAGGTGTGTGGATCACTTGAGGTCAGGGTTTCGAGACCAGCTTAGCCAACATGGTGAAACCCCGTCTCTGCTAAAAACACAAAAAATTAGCCAGGCATAGCGGTGTGTGCCTGTAAGCCCAGCTACTCTGGAGGCTGAGGAAGGAGAGTCACTTGAACCTGGGAGGTGGAGGTTGCAGTGAGCCGAGATCCTGCCACTGCACTCTAGCCTAGGTGACAGAGCGAGACTCTATCTCAAAAACAAACAAACAAACAAACAACACTCAGTTTGCACGTTAGACAAAAACACATGTCGGCCCAGAT
The DNA here is from genome assembly GCF_000001405.40 of Homo sapiens. Lineage (NCBI taxonomy): Eukaryota > Metazoa > Chordata > Mammalia > Primates > Hominidae > Homo > Homo sapiens. The sequence continues at coordinate 39,925,147 of NC_000006.12, forward strand.
TTGGCTGCTATAACTTGCCAATTTCTGGGAAAGAGTGGCTGGTGTGAGTACATGAGGACGCACTTTAGACAGGATGGTTGAGGAAGGCCTTGCTGAGAAGATGACATGTGAACAGAGACCTGAATGAGGTCGAGGAGAGTGCCCTGAGCTCCTAGCAAAGGGAACAGCACATGTCAAGGCCCGGTCATGTGAATGGGAAGGAGGGGAAAGGTGGAGAAGCCTGCAAGGGTTTTGGAGGTCAGCAAGAGCCAGGTCACGTGGGCCTCCTGGAGGACCTTGGTCTCAATGTGACAGCAAGCTACTGAGGTCTGGCATTTGCGAGCTTCCTGACCTTGGGCAAGTTATCCAACCTAAGCCTCATTTTCTCATCAAAAATGGAAATAATAATAGCACCTGTCTCAGCAGGTGTTGTAGGACCAAGAGAGTGTCATGTGCTAAATGAATGTCAGCTGCCACTGTTAACATCGGCATCAGTGTCCAGCCGGATGAGGCAGCGCTGGGAGAAGTGGCGATGACTTTCGTCCAACTCACCCACAATGTCCACCACGTCCGGCCGGATAAGCGGCTCTCCACCTGTGAGCCGGATCTTGTCGATGCCTTCCTTCACAAAGAGCCGGGCGAGGGTCAGGATCTCCTCTGTGGTCAGCAGGTTGGCTTTGGGGGTCAGCGGGACCCCCTCCTCGGGCATGCAGTACTGACCTGAGGGAAGGATGAATGGGAATGTGGAGGGAGGAAAGAGGCACGGCCACAGCCCCGTGATGCCTCCACTCCCCAACTCTCCATCAGGCCAAAGGCTTCTCAAACCCATCTGGATGTGAGCGGAGACCTCACTAAACCTGAGGTGGAAAAACCCCAGGCCAGCATCTCCCCAGGCCTCACCTTTCTCATTTCTGAAACGTTAACACCTTTCCCTATGCCCAACACACACAATCTGGCCATAACATCCCTCAGTGGGAGGCCAAGGGCATGGGTTAGAGATGAAGTAGGCTGAGGGCAGAGCCTGGCCTGACTTCCTGGGCTGAGGGCACCTGGGCAGGGGCGTTCCTCCTGGCATTGTCACCCATCCTCCTGCATTTCACTGGCTATGGCAAACAGGTAGCTTTCTCTCTGTGTGTCATGGGGTGAGAGAGAGGTACTCTCTGGCCTGGCAAAAGCTGCCGTCCTCTGTAGCTACAAGCATTCTCAAATCCACTCTATCTATTTCAGGTTATCATCAGACCCATTTTATATGTTGGAAAACTGAGATACTACTTGTTCATGGTGAGGTATCAGAATGGGGTAAATGAGGTGAGCAGCGGCAGGCTGTGGAAGGGCCACCATCCTCCACCATCACTTCCTGTGGTGCAGTTTCATTAAGGTTTGGGTCAAGATCTGTTAGAGAGTCATGAAGGCAAATTACTCAGTTGGGTCCAGAACCAGTCCTTTGAGACTGAAGAGAATAAGTAAGACTACCAGAATGTAAAGCATATAGTACATCTTGTTTGGTTAAAAAGTTACTAAACATACATGCATGCATTTATTGGGCCATGAAGTAACTTTATTTCTTATCGTGAGGTATAGTGAAAGAAAGTGGGGAGGAAAAGAAGGGGGGGAAGGGGGGAAGGGGAGGGGAAAGTGGGGAGAGGCAGAAGGAAGGAACAGAGGGGAAGGAAGATCAACTTTGGAAGTCCCTCCAGCAGTGGCTACAGATCCAGAGCACTCTTTGGGAGGATTATGAAATGAGGCCTCTTTGTTATTAGCCTAGCCCCAGCTGATTTGTCACGGGACTGGGGCACCTCCAGAGTCAGCAGTGCTGGCATGGGCATGGCTGTCTACTTCAAATGTTTATAATGTCCACCACCCCACCCCTGGCCATGTCCTGGACTTCGGGAACTACAGGGAAACAGGAGGAAGGACCCCTGAAGAATGAGAGGTCCAGGATCCAATCTTAATTCTAAATCCAACTGCATTTATGTTTTCAAATCTAATTCCAAGTAGGACACAGCTTCTATAATCATACAACTCAGCCTTGACCCCTATCTTGCCCCTGAAGCCCACCTGGCCTGGTAAGCAAGGGGTAGCAGGTGAAGAAGTTAGAAAGCAGAACTGGAGGACACAGGAGGATTTCCAGGCACAGGGAAATTTCAAGGGCTGCTTCAGCAGATGGACACCAGCCCAGAGAGGGCCCAGGAAGGTGACTCACATCTGAGGTTGCACTTCTCTGTGAGGGAGATCCGCAGGTAGCTGTGCTGCCGGCCGAAGCTGTCTGTGAGGAAGGCGGAGAAGGGGGCCGCATGCTCCCGCAGGAACTGCCTCCGCCTGGACACCTCCTGCGAGGACAGACCAGGGAGGAAGCATGGGCCCCTGCTACCGGGCTGGGAAGAGGCACAAGGAGAACCGCCTGCCCCCTCCCTTACTCTGACATCTGTGCGGAGCTTCCAACTCTTCCACATGTTTGGGCTCTGCAATGTTGGGGAAGCTGGGATTGTCCCTCTCGTTGAGAAATCAGCTTGATGGGAAGGACCCACCCCTTAAGTATTCAGCTTGGGGGTCGGGGGCGGATGGTGATCTCTACTGGGAAGATTTCTGGCTGGGCAGCAAGGTGGAGGCAAGGGTGTGGGGAAATCTATTAGCCCTTATTCTTCACTCTAGCCAGTGCCAAAAAAAGGATTGTGCACCCATGGTCTCGGGCATAAATGAGAAGAGACTGCTGAAGGCCACAAGCAAGGCCCAAACCCGTCCTGCAGAGAGAAAGGAGGGAGCCGGCTTCACTCTTTCCCATGTACAAGTCTGATCTAGTCTGATCCGTCTCCCCCTGACCTATCGGTCCTTGGAGAGTACAACCTGGGTCCCGACAGATGCTGATGAGATAATTGCTCCAAGGAAGTAGCATTTACCAAGCATCTTAAAGTTTCCAAAGAACGTTCTGTTTCATTCCCACACCCACTCCACAAGGGATTATTATAACTAAGGCTTGGATGGGGTCCAAGAACACCCTCGGCAGAAGCAGGATTCAAATCCAGGTCTTCTGATTCCAGGTTCTTTTTTTTTTTTTTTGAGATGGAGTCTCGCTCTTTTGCCCAGGCTGGAGTGCAGTAGCGCGATCTTGGCTCACTGCAAACTCCACCTCCCAGATTCATGCCATTCTCCTGCCTCAGTCTCCCAAGTAGCTGGGACTACAGGCACCCGCCACTGCACCCGGCTAATTTTTTGTATCTTTAGTAGAGACGGGGTTTCGCTGTGTTAGCCAGGATGGTCTCGATCTCCTGACCTCGTGATCCACCTGCCTTGGCCCCCCAAAGTGCTGGGATTACAGGCATGAGCCACCACACCCGACCCTGATTCCAGGTTCTAAATTACTCCCTTCTATCACAGAGAGAGTCCAAGAAGATAGGGAGGATGACAACTAGGGTGGGTAGAAGTCACTTCTCTAGAATATTTCAGACAAAAAAATCACGACCCTGGAAGTCATGCATGAGATCTACAGACAAGGTTCTGGAATGGGAATAAGAAACCCTGGTTTCTGCAGTAGGTATGACCTGGTACACTGTGAAAGTCCCTTAACTTCTCCAGGCCTGCTTTCCCAGTTGTAAAATAAGAATACAGCTACAGGCTAAGGTTGTCTTGCTAGGAGTAAAGACAGGGGTGGAGTGGTAGTGGTGGTATCAGAAGATGGTAGGTGAACACTTAAAATTATGATGAAGAACAGAAGGTCTCAGGCCCTCCAAAGGTCTAGCGCAACTATGCCTACAATTAGGAGGAAGAAGCATTTGCTTCAGTAAGTTCCTCAGCTCCAGCTGCACATTAGAACCATCTGGAGAACTTTAAAAAAACATTCCAGTGGAGACCAACTAAATCTGGATCTCTGAATCTGTTACGTTTTCAATCTCTCCAGGTAATTCTCATCGGCAGCCCTTGACTGGGTCAAGAGCCACTGAGTGGCTCAAAGATAAGAGACATGAGAGTATGTGTGAAGCTGCTCTTGATTTTCTGGGCCCATAAAACATTCCTCACTCTACCCACCGCGGGAGAATTTCCCACCTCCTCTGAGAAGCCCTGCTCACCATCCTGTGGGGAGTAAGCAGCAGTCACTTCTCTAACTGCCGTCTGCTATAATCACAACAGTCACTTCCTCCCTCCCTGCGGTATGATGGAGAAAACTCAAACTCAACCCATTGCCTTTCCACAGATAGCCTCAGGGTTGGGGCGGGGAGCACTCCATAATCAAGAATCCCATCAGCCACCGGAGTCCAGATGAGATACCTGGGAATCTGGATGTATTGCAGTGCTGTGCCCTCTTTTTCATCAACAGCTATTTGCAATTCAGTCATGTTAGTCACCCTAGATTCTGCCTCTTCACTTGCCAAGATACCCCCCCTCAACCCAGTCTTGACATGATGGGGGGATGGGGTGGCTGGATGGGGGAGGAGTCAAAATACATCAAAGAATTGGAAGTTGAGAGGACCAAGGAGCATTATTCAGCAGAAACCTGAGAGCAAGCAGTGTGATGGAGCAATCAAGAATGGAATTAGGGGCCGGGTGTGGTGGTTCACGCCTGGAATCCCAGCACTTTGGGAGGCCGAGGAGGGCAGATCATTTGAGGCCAGGAGTGTGAGACTAGCCTGGGCAACATGGCAAAACCCCGTCTCTACTAAAAAATACAAAAGTTAGCTGGCTGTGGTGGCGCGAGTCTGTAATCCCAGCTACTCGGGAGGCTGAGGCAAGAGAATCGCTTGAACCCAGAAGGCAGATGTGGCAGTCAGCCAAGATCGCACCACTGTACTCCAGCCTGGGCAACAGAGCGAGATTCTCTCAAAAAAAAAAAAAAAAAAAAAAATGGAATTTGGTGCTTTTGTTCTGGCAATGGGAGAGGCTGGTCAGATTTCACTTTTAAGAACTTCTGTGACCTTGTCTAGACTTATGCAGACTGCACCACCCGTTCTGAACCCAGCCTCCTAAACACACACACTCTCACCCTGCCAGCAATGCAAACTCATTACTCAGATATTAACGAGCCCCATTCCTGCATCTTCTCTCCTCTAACACTGCATGCCCTACTTTCATTCTTCTACTTTTTTCCCTGTCCCTTAAGTCTCCTGGAGGAAAAAAATATCAGCACCAGTCAAAGGAGCCCAAGATTCAGAGGGAATTATAGGACAGAGTAGACAGCAACCCTGCTTGCTCAGGAGGGCTGGGACATGCCAGAAGTAGTAGGAAGCACTCAACGGATCATATTCCCAGGGTCCCAGGCTGGCCTGGGCTGTTTCCTCTCCGTGAGAAGTCATTCTGCCTGATTCAGTATCCCCAGTGTCTAGCACAGGATGTTGGTACATTTTGAATCACATGAACAAATAGTCCTGTCCCTAATGTAAGCAGAAAGGTCGTATATGCAAAAGCCAGTTACATGGGGGTAATCATTTCCCGGCTGGTCTCTACTGTCAAAATGGTTTAACCTGGTATAGTGGTTTGAAACCCTGGCAGCCCATCAAAATCACTCAAGGAGCTTCAAGAAGGATTCTAGTTTCAAGAAGGAGCTAGAATCTGTCCCAAAGATTCTAGCTCAATCTAGTGCCTCAGCTGTGCAGCCAGGGCTGAGAACCATCGGCCTAGTGACACCAAGTGCCAGGTGCTATTTTAATCCAGGGCAAGTTGTTGTGGTTCTGAGCACAGGATTTGGAGTAGGTGAGCCTATATTACAAGCCTGGCTCTAGCTGTTGAGCAAGTCACCTAAATTCTCGAAACCTTAGTTTCCTCATCTATGCAGTGGAAATAATAATCCAACCTAACTCAGTTGGAGGAGTTCCTGGCACCGAGGTTTTCATTCAGTGATCCATGGAGGAACACTGTTGTGTGCTGTGATCAGTTTTTCTAGTTTGTCAGCTTCCCTTCCCTTCCAAGACCCTGGCCTTCCAACCCTACTAACAGCAGATGGCCAGAGGCAGGGTTTCAAAGCTGCTGCCACACCACCCAAGTGGGGTCTGAGCATCCCCAGGACCACCAATACTGGTGTGCATCAGCAGGCACTAAGCAGCCTGCCAGACACTACTGGTCATCTCATGTCTACCCAATGCAGATTAGGGTGAAGGGGGTGGGGAAGGGTGGGACAAAAGAGTTAAAGCGGGACCCTGCCCTCAAGGTGCCCTCCTCTACTAGTCACTCATCTTAGGCATCTGATTTGACTGCTAAAGGCTAGCCCTCAAATAGCTCCAAAGTCTAAACAGAGCAGCAGGGTTATTCGAGAGGAAAAAAAGCACATTCCAAATCTAAGTATCGTGGCCCTGATTTACCCTGCTATTGGGATGATGTATACTAAGGGTCTCTTAAAATTAATCTCTTTTAAATGAGAGGACCCAACAAAGAGCCTAGCCTAGCTCGATTCTCCTTCCCCCTCCCCTCATTCCCACCCTAAGTGTGAGGTCTTTACACCTATAGCTTCTGAGGAGGACAGTCACATTTCGCTGAAACATGGATTTTGAGGAGCTGGGCAGATTGGAAGTCAAGATGACCTCCTGAAAGCCCTCTTTCCCTCCTCCCCCTCATTCTCCCTCACCAGTGCCTGCTGTACTCCTTCTACCTTCACCCACACCCACTTCCTTGCAGCCTAACCCCTAGCCAGCATTTGTTTTTTCTGGCCCCCTGAACAGATGGGTGCCTTTGCCTTGCCTAGACTCACCCTCCCTGCTTCCCCCGCCACAGGCAGCAGGCTTCATTGTTGCCCAACAAAGCCTGCATGGAGCCTCAGAGGGAGAAAGAGGGATACAGCACTCCCAGGCTAGGCTGAACCCTACAAAGATTGTCTGGGCCACCCCAGATGCAGGCTGGCAGGTTGCTGTGTCTCCCCCACCCACCTCCCCATTGACCCACACACTACTCCTTTCCATAGCTAGAAGCTACTCGACCTGTTCTTGGACTCAGCCCACAGCCCCCTTTCCGCAATCCTCACAGCCAGCTCCCACTTAACCTCACTTCTCTCCCTCACACCCTCATCCTGCCACACAAACAATGCCCAGTGGCTTTCCATCCTAGCTCTCCAAGCACCTCCCATCCCAAACCAGACTACCAGAGCCCTGTGTGGGCGTGTTGGGGGAGACAGACCCTGCAAGAAGGGGTTCAAGGTGTCCCCACCCCAACTGGCAAGCTCTGGAGATGAGCAGAACATATCCATTTCCAGACTCACCTCCCCTTAGAGTCTCCTCAAGACAAGTTTCTGTGCCCTCCCCCATCTTATGATGGGCTGGCCCAGTCCTCTCATTTTATAAACATGAAGCAAAGGGAAGTGACAGCCCCAGGAGCCAGGTGAAATTGGAGGCGAAACTGGCGGGTGAAAACATGGGACTCCCTGTCCAGTGTGGTCTACTATGCCACGTGACTCCTCACTAGTTAAGTTTCAAGCAGCTACAATTATTGGCTGAATCCACTGCCTGCACAACCCTGCGTTAAGCGCTTGTGGGGATAGAAAGGCGGAGGTGCACCCAGCCCTCAGGAACTCCCAGTCTGCTGAAGATAATCCTAATGAGATGTCCAGGATTCAATGTGAGTTGACAGAATAGCTATCCAACAAGTCCAGATGGGAGGGGACTCACAGGACAGAGCATGTGCCAGTGGCAGCATGGATAATAGTAATTACCACCAACATTTACATAACACAGCACTTACATGGGCTAAGCTTTGTTCTAAGTATATACGTTAACATACGTTAACTCTTTTAATCCCTGTGACATCCTATGAAGTAGACACTTTTATTCTTACTTTGCAGATGAGAAAACAGACACTGAGAGGTAAGGGGACTTGGTGAATCCCTAATAAGGGATGGGGCTGCCCCAGAGTCTATGTTCTCCTTTCTGCCACATTACCCCTCCCTTCACAGTGTAAAGGGATGGATAGGAGCAGGCTCTCTCCCTGGCCTCCACACAGGGAGGACGGAAAAGCATTAGAGTTGAGTTCCTGCCCTCTACAGCTCTGCGACTGGAGGAAAGTTAACTTAGATTAGCCCCCTCATCTGAACATACAAACTCTACTCACCTCACATGGCTTAGTGAGGACTAAATGCTTCCACATGTGAGTCACTCAACACAGGTTCTCTCATGAAAGACCAGTACAAAATAAACTAGGGGGTGGGGGGCTGGAGAAGAAAAGTCCCTTTTCTTGAATTCTTTAAAGATCTCTCAGCCATCTTTGCTTTCCTATCTCTTCCTCAATGATGTTCAGAGTTTGAGGATACTAAAAAGTCTTCACTTCCCAACCATGGGCCTGCTTATCTGAGGATCCCAGAGGGGCTTAGATTTGGGGAAAGCAAATTTGGCGGAAGTCATTGAGCAATATAGGGGAGGAGGGAGCAGTGATCTTATGAATCCCAGGACAGGAAGCCTAGTTCTGGGAGACGGGGAAAAAAACGCCTAGATAGGTACCGAAAAGAGGTTTCACTAAATGAAAAGAGGTACTTTTCCCCCCAAATTATTCCCTAACCACCTGAGCAGAAGAACAACCAAAACCTAAAACTTTTAATGACTTGAAACACTCTGAGGGGTGCTGGCAAGGACTGAGGGATCTTACCCAAAACCCTAAAGACAGAGGAATTAATTTCTCACCTGGAAGAAGCCACGTCCTGCCCTGTTCTGCTCTAGGATAAGGCTGAACCCTCCCAAGGTTAATAAAAAAGACAAGGAGAGTCAGCAAAGGATGGGTTACAGAGCCCTGGGACTACAGTAACAACTCATCGTTGGTGACACCGAGGTGACATGTTTAGTCAGTCGCACTATGAAGCAGGTGTCACAGGGACACCTGATCTCTCAGCTCTTGGGATAGGGAGGGAAAATGTTTAAGAAAGAGGGTGGGTGCAAGGCAAGGCTGAAAGGTACTAAGACACCTCACTGGACCCAAAGTCCCAGTCCTCTGCTTACCCGAATTTCTGGCCAAGCTCAGGGCTAGAAGGGGTGGCGTGGCTGGGGGGCAGGGAGGTTCTGAAGCGGGACTCCCAGGAACCTCTCCCGCTGGGCTAGCGGGTGAGACCGGGCGGTCCATCTGGAGAACATCGCTCCACTGAGGAGTGCCAACGGGTCCCTCCCAGAAGCGGTCAAGCAGATAGGCCGGGAGCTACTGGGGGAAAAGGGCAGTGTGCCGGGGCCACTCCTGCCCCGGGAAGCTGTGGACGCAGGCGGGGTGGGCTCACCTCCGAGGCAGCTCGCGCGGACTCCCCGGGGCAGGGCTGGGTCACCGGAGCCCCTGAGCTGCAGCTCCGGGCGCTGGACCTCAGAAGCCGCCGCAGCATCCGGGACAGTGGCCGCGCCGCCATGAAGCCTGATACGAGCGGAACCGCAGCCCGCTTCGGGAGCACACTGGCCGGGCACTCGCCCCCGGGGTCATCCCAGCAAGGGCGGGGAGGGGCAGGGGGAGGGCGGGACCCGCGCAGCCAATAGGCGAGGACGCAGTCCCGCGTGGCCTTGTGGGAGCTGTAGTACGCTCCCTGTGCCCACTTTCCTGGGCCGGGGTAGCGCTCTAGGGCAGAAGGGTAAACTCAGGTAAGGAACGGGGTTCTTTTCCTTCCAGTTTTTCTGGCTGCTCTAGTCTCAGATTTAGGTCGTGGTGTGACAGTAGGCAGGACAGGACAAGGGCCAAACGAATGAGGCACTGCCTTGGATGCAAAATTTAAGAGGGTGCCAGGTAAACTGCGGTTATCAAAGTAAGTAATTTTTTAATGTAATATTTCAAAAAATCGTAATAAATTTTCAGAAGTCCGTGAAATATCAACATTCTAAATAAAAAGATTTAGCCTACACTTGCATGACTCACATCACTCAGTGCACCATAGTGCAGATTGTGGTTGTAAAACGGTCAGTTAGGTCTTTCAAGATACACTTCTCCAGTTGTGCCCCAAAAGGATATTAACAATCTTTTTTTTTTTTTTTTTTTTCGTGGAGAAGGCAAGAGTATATGAGAAGTCACAGAATGAGTGGACAACATTTTTGAAATGCTTCTTATACACCAAGCACCATGCTAAATGTTATTTAAAACAATCCTGGTATGAATAGAATGTCCTTTTTGCAACTGAGGACATTGAGGCTTAGAGAGACCAGGTAATTTTCTCGAAGTCACACAGCTGATAGTGGGTTTCAAACCCAGGGCAATCTGCTTTCTACAGTCATTCAGTCAAGATTCAGTATGTGTTAGGAATGGTGGGGTGTGCCTCTTCCTCTCTATAAAAAGCAGAGTGCTGTAGTCCTTTAAGATTTTGGATAACACACACAATAATGAGCTTATGTACTAAGAATAATTATGCTCAAACCAGCCTGTTGTATCCAAAACCCTGTCCCTGTGGAATTGCAAGAATAAAACACCGGCTGGAACATACAGCTGCCAAGTGCATGCTTAGGAAGTGGGAATATAGCTCCTGATCTTGAAGAATTGACCGAATAGTGGGAGAGGAAAAAATAACTGAATATAACTGACTTTTACAAGTGCAGTGGGACTGTCAGAAAAGCTGAGATGATTTTAGCCTTAGATTCAATGTGAATTTCTCACAATGATACTCAAAATTCAGAAAATATATTGTAGGGGATGAAAGTGTATCTGGGGTGTGTTTGAAACTGATGAGACAAGTATGCCAGAGGTCTGTTTGCAAGGGGCCTGAAGACCAACTGAGGACTGTTCAAGCTCTGTCCACTGCTAAGTTTAGATATGTCTGGATTTATCAGGAAAACTGGGTATGGGGGAGAGAAGGATAAAAACTTTTTTTTTTTTTGTATGTATGAGGCTTGAAGAGCCTTCTAGAGAGGACTCAACCTCAGGGAAGAAGCCATCTGACATATGAACTTGATCCAAGAATGTCACCAGCTCCTTGGAGCCTCTCTAGATTCCACCCTCTTCATACAAGTTGTATGTGATCATCCCTTCACTTGGGCTTTACTGTCATCTTTTATAGAACTTGGGTCTCCAAGGCAAGACCTAAGGCTTACTCAGTTCTGTTTGAAGGCTGAAATCCTCTCCATATTATCATACATCTACTTGGACTCCTGTAGTGCTGGGAAACTTTCTGGCTTCCTGATGTTGTCTGGTCCACTTAAATGTTTCCCCACCTATTAAAGTTCTTACTTGTATTCAGCAAAAAAGTGCCCCTTTCTGTCAACATATGGTGATTAAGTGTCATCAGGGCCGAATCCTCTGCTAATGGCTGGGAATAAGGAAATACTTTCAAGGGCTCACAGCCTGCAGTAGGGCTCTGATGTGACAAGTCCATGGATTGATTTGGAGGGTTCTGTAGACCCCTGAACTTGAATGCATAATACTGTATTTTTTTTTCCTGGGGAATGGTGGCTTTTTGTCACATGCTCAAAGAGCCTCATGGAACATACTGTCCTAGAAATCTCTCTTTTGTGATACCCTCCTATTGGCCCTAGTTTTAGCCCCCTAGGCATATACATCCTCTCTTTGAGACTTTAACCCAAGTACTCTCTTAGTGATAAACAGCAGCAGTTATTGCCAACCCTTGTACACAATGTCTTGTGAGCCACTGCACTATCTTCTCTAATACAATTTGGTTTGCCTAGGTCCTGGTGGCAGACTGTATTTGCAAGATGGCTGCAACAATATTTCCTGTCTCGTATGTTCTAGAGCTGTGTTGTCCAATAGAAACTTCTGCAATAATGGAGATATTCCATGTCCTGACATAGCTATTGAACACATGAAATGTGGCTAGTGTGACTGAGAATTGAATTTCTAATTTTATTAAATTGTCATTAATTGAAGTGTAAACAGCCATGTGTGGCTACTGGCTACTGTATTATTCAGCCCTATGATAGAATTTTGCTTTCTCCAGAAGGGGTGGAATTAACTTTCCTTCCTTTGCATCTGGGTCAGTTTGTAACTTGTTTGTAACAGTGTGAAAGTGATACTGCATGGCTTTTGAGACTAGGTCAGAAAAATATGATGCAATTCCCACCTTACAATTTATCTCTAGTGATCTGTTCTCCAGCTGACAGGAAGATATGTTTCTCCTTATTCCCTACCCATTTTCTCCGCACTTGACTTTCATCTCCCAACTCCCCCTCAAAAAAAGATCCAGGATGTGATTTCCAGCCATATGTCCATTGTCTCTTCTAATAGGAACCTCAAGTGTCCAGTCATCTGAATATTCATTCAAACCTATCCCCATTCTATCAGTAACTGTGGACTCTCCTTGCAATTTTAAGCATTTTAATGAAGCAATAAAGTTTCAAAAAATATTGTATCAATTATTCCTATCATTTCTCTTTTGAGGACCTTGTTCAGGATAGTCTTTATTTGCCCCTCCAGATCCTTCTCCACCCTGCTCTGAGGACCAGGAGATTGACTTCTACCAACTGCATTGATGGCATCATCCAGGTGCCCTGACCTCTGGTTTCCAGGTGGATCTTGCCAATAGGGAGCATGGCAGGAGATCAGAGAGCAGGAGGAGAGAAAAGCTGGATTATCTATTCTTCCTGATCTCCCCTGTTTTGCTCTGGCTACAGCTGTAGTTGGTGTCATCTGGCCTCTCCGCCATGATTCCACCTCCCACTTAGTCCAGTAACACTATTTCTCACATTTGTTTCTTCACTTCAGACTGGGGTGGGATTGGCTTTCTTCTGCTGATTGTCCTTGGATGCCTCAGCATTCCTGTTGCCCCCCTCAGCCCGCCCACCTTAACCTTGCCCACACCTCCAAAATAGTCTCTCTTAATGGTAAAGAGCAGCAGTTACTTTTTTATTAAAACTTCATTAAAATATCCCTTCAAAACTTTTAGCTGAGTATGCCGTTTCTTGCTGGTTCCCTGATACAGGATTCGTGGACTCCTCCCTTCCATAGTACCCTTTGTTAATAGTGGCAATTACAACAGAGTGACATTGTTTATTTATATGCCTTCTGCACTATAAACCCTCTGAGGGCTGTTGCCAAATCTAAATCATCTGTAATCATACCACCTAGCATGGTATTTAATGCACAATAGGCTCACAATAAGTACATTAAATGGCAGATTCCATATCCTTGATTTGCCTGTAAGATGGCTGTTATGATTTGGATATGGTTTTTCTGTCTCCACCAAATCTCATGTTGAAATTTGATCCCCAGTGTGGCAGTGGTGGAAGGTGTGGGTCATGGGGGTAGATCCCTCATGAATGGCTTGGTGCTGTTCTCATGCTAGTGAGCAAGTTCCCAGGGGAAGGGATTAGTTCCCATGAAAGTGTGTTGTTATAAAGCCAGGACACTTGTCCAGTTTGGCCCTTTTGTACTGATGCTAGCTTCCCCTTTGATCTTCTCCACCATATCTTGACATAGCACAAAAGCTTTCACCAGAGGCTGAGCAGATGCTAATGTCATGCTTCTTGTAATGAGATAAATAAACCTCTTATCAATTGCCCAGCCCCAGGTATTCCTTCTATAGAAGTACAAAACAGACTAAGACAGCTGTGTCAGTCAGCCTGGGCTAGATTGTACTGTTGTAACAAATAACTCTAATATCTCAAAGGCTGAAAATCACAAGTGTTTATTCTCTCATTTGGGCTACATGTCCAGGAAAGGTGTATTTGTCTGCTTTACATTGCTGTAAAGGAATAATGGAGACTAGGTAATTTATAAAGAAAATAGGTTCATTTGGCTTATGGTTCTGTGGGTGTATAAGAAGCATGGTACCAGCGTCTGTTTCTGGTGAGGGCTTCAGGAAGCTTCCAATTATGGTAGAAGGCAGAGGGAAGCAGGCATGACATGGGGAGAGGAGGGAAGTCACATTAAACAACGAGCTCTTGCATAAGCTAATGCAGTAAAAACTCACTTGTCACCTAGGGGATAACACCAACCTATTCCTGAGGGATTTGTTCCCTTAGCCCAAACACCTCCCACCAGGCACCACCCTCCAACACTGGGGATCAAATTTCAACATGAGATCTGTAGAGGACAAACATCCAAACTATATCCAAGAGTTAGCTGTGAACTTTGTTTCTGGTCAGTGTTGCCCTCACTCTGGGTCCCGGCCTGATAGGGCAGCGAATATCCACATAGAACATTGGTGGTTACCAAGAGGGAAAAAGAGTGTGGCAAACAGCAAACTGGCTCTTACAGCTTCTTCCTGGAAGTGTCACACATCACTCTGCTTTAAGCAAGTCACATGGCTGTATCTAATTTCAAAGGGAAGAGCAGCTTAGTCCTCTCTCAGAGAGGGAACGCACATGCTGGCGAACAGTAAAATAACCTTACTCCAGGAACAAACTTCCCCTTGCTCTCTTATGTATCATCCAGTTTTTCCATTCAACTCTTCCACTTCTTTGCACCTATCACTCCCCTTGCATACTGAAACCAGCCATGGCAGCCTTATGCATCTGCATGTATCATGCATACCCTCAGAGCCATGAGGTGCTGACTAGGAGTCTCTTGTTTAGATTCTGTCATCAGCAAAACTAAGAGAAGAGTTTGTAATACCTCTTTAATTCGATTGTTTTCAAAGTGTGGATTTCAGAGGTCAACACTAGTTTCATAGTAATATTAAGAAATCGTGCCAGGCGCGGTGGCTCCTGCCTGTAATCCCAGCACTTTGGGAGGCCAAGGCGGGCGGATCACAAGGTCAGCAGATCGAGACCATCCTGGCTAACACGGTGAAACCCCGTCTCTACTAAAAATACAAAAAATTAGCCGGGTGTGGTGGCGGGCGCCTGTAGTCCCAGCTACTCAGGAGGCTGAGGCAGGAGAATGGCGTGAACTCGGGAGGCGGAGCTTGCAATGAGACGAGATCACACCACTGCACTCCAGCCTGGGCAACAGTGCGAGACTCCGTCTCAAAAAAAAAAAAAAAAAAGAAATCGTCTTTTCCACTCTCATGCTCCTATGACCATATAGGAGTTTTCTATGTGTGATTTCACAGATTGAACGCAGAAGCAGATATGAGAATCCAGTTGCCTTCTACTAAGCCAGACATGAAAGCAAGTTGCCAAAATGTAGCGCAATGCCACTTTTTTTCCCCTGTTTTTGTTTTGGAAATTATTGTTGTTTTCATAAAGCATTATGTTAACATGTAATAGGTATTATGGACATTATTATTTTTCAGTGAGTTAAATGTTTTCAGATTTTCTGAGTTTGAATTTCTAATATCATAACTATAAATCAAATAAATTGATATAGTAAATAGAAATTAAATATTTCAAAAGATCTGTTGTACGACATGGTGACTGTGGTTGATAACAATATATCGTATCTTGAAAATTGCTAAGAGATTTTAAGTGTTCTCGCCACACAAAAAAGTGAGGAAATGCAAGTGTTAATGTTAATTAGCTCAATTTAGCCATTTCATAATGAATGTTTCAAAACATTGTATATGATATATATTATTTCTGTCAATTTAAATAAGTTAAAAATAGGTATTAAGTAGATATAACACAAATAAACAAATAAGCTCTTTTGGGATGTTTGATACTTCAGAGCAGTGGTCCACAACCCTTTTGGCACCAGGGACCAGTTTCATGGAAGACAATTTTTCCATGGGGGCAGTGGTGGGGGAATGGTTTCAGGATGGAACTGTTCCACCTGAGATCATCAAGCATTAGGTTCTCAGAAGAAACACGCAACCCAGATCGATCCCTTGCAGGCGCAGTTCACAATAGGGTTTGAGCTCCTCTGAGAATCTAATGCTGCTGCTGATCTGACAGGAGGCAGAGCTCAGGAGGTCATGCTCGCTTGCTTGCTACTCAACCTTCTGCTGCGTGGCTCAGTTCCTAACAAGCTACAGACCAGTACCAGTCCAACGCCTGGGGGTTTGGGACCCCTGCTTTAGAGTATAAAGAGTTCCTGAGACAAACAATTTGAGAATTGCTGCCTTAATACACAACCTTTCATCCTCTAGAGACCTAGAGACATCCTAATTATTCTCTATAACTGCTGTGTCCACATCACCCTCCCCAAGCCATTGAGAAGAATATAGAATAAACTCTTACCTATCCCTCATTTCCCTGAGCTCCTGGAGTGGGCTGTTTTCCTATGGAGTTGATGATGAGATTGGTTTGAGGGTCCTCATCCTGAGGTTCGATAGGAGCCCTACACTGGGAATCAGCTCCACGTTTCACATCCAACCTCTGCCATAGAGTCACTTTCTCTCTACTAGTTTAGGCTCCTCATTGACTGGAAATAAAAAACTGGTCTTCAGCTTTGTTGTGAGACTTGAGTCATGGAATGCTTAAGCAAGTGCTCTGTTGTTTTTATGATATTGTTTTAGGGCAAGGAGGGCCTTACTCATGTTACCGAAACCATCCTTTCTCACATGAACGAGATTAAAGAGATTAGCTCTTTTGGATGTATTGAGCCTACAGAAAAGCTCTTATTAGAATTAGGTAACCCCCGTAAGGGATGGCGGGTTCATTATAAACCATGTATATAACTCAGCTCAAAATAGTTTAACTGTTTTCCAAGAGTAGGTAGCCAAGAGCAATAATGGGAAGTAGGGTAGGTATGATAATGAGTTAGGAAAAAATAAGGCACAGGGATTGCCAAGAAGGATGGGCCCCAACTCTCAGGGAGTCCTGAGACCCTTGGTGTGTGGGAGAACAGGAGGGGCTTGGAGGACACTGAGAACTTTCTTCTGAGGTATTCCCAGGTCTTTTGCAGGCCAGACCGTCACCCCTGTTATGAAATCATCCTGAACTGTTTTCTCCTACTGATCTTCTTAGTGTATGGTGGTTTTAAACAGGTCCATAAATTCTTAAATATTCTTCACTTTAAAAGGTGGAGCCTAGTTCCCCTCCCCTTAAATGTGGGCTGAACTTATGAACTCTAGCAAATCAAATGTGGCAGAAGTGATGGTGTTAGGCTCCTGAGGGTAGTCAGTAAAAGACCACGTGGTTTCCTCCTTGCTCCCTCTGGGAGAAGCCAGCGGCCATGCTGTGAGCAGTTCTCTGGAGATGCCCATTTGACGAAGACTGAACCTCCTGCCAACAGCCAGTTAGGAACGAAGGCCTCCAGCCAACAGCCATGTATGGGAACCATTTTGGATAGGACTCCTCCAGACCTAGTCACAGCTTCATGTACCTGCAGCCCTTGCTGAGATCTTCACTGCAGTCTCACAAGATATCCTGAACCAGAAACATCCAGCCAAGCCACTCCCAGGCTCCTGCCCCTTAGAAACTGGGTGAGATAAATACTGGTTGTTCTTAGCTGTTACATTTTGGAGTAACTTGTTACACAGCAATAGAAAATTTAAAAGTTGTGTGTGAATTCCTACAGTGAGTTGCTGTTTAACTATATTGCCTGTTGCCATCACAGGAAAGAGATGCTGTTTATGTCTGTAACTGTATTGGTGGCGTTCTGGGCCATTTGTTCTCCATGTGCCCCACCCTTCCCTGGGATCCATTCTCCACCTGTCTTTGCCCCCTGTTCTCTGCCCCAAGAGGTTGATCCCATGGACCCCCTTGCCTTCAGGCTTCTGTTTGGAGTCCATTCACGGAAGATACTGGGAGGGGAGCAGAGGACAGCATGGGAGAGAGATCTGGGCATGGGCACCTCCTCCCCGCCAACTCTGCATTCTTTTCTACCAGCCGAGGGAGGCAAGAGATGACTTTACACCTGACTTTGTTCTACTCACACCTACAGAGTTAGAGTTCACTGTGTTAAGGCCCATGCATTTAGAAGAAAAGCAACTCACGCGTGGCTCTACCTTTGAACTAGAAAATAACCTTTAATTCCCCTAAGACAATCAAATCCACTAAACTCAGGCCTAATTCCTCTGCAAGCAAGGTCAAGTTGTACTGTCTGGATTATGCAGTGGCTGTTTGTTAAATTGAGTTGGGGTAATTATCGGGGTGGAGAGATAAAACAAGAAGTATCAAAGGCTGACATTTTTGGAAACACCTCAGAAGTCCTCACGCTCATGAGACTTGGCCCAGCTGAGAATGCCACCTGACATGTTCCCTCCTGGGACAAGTCAGTGAAGGGCAAGCCTCTGTAAGTAAGGCAGGTGATGGCTTGGAAAGAGCCCTGGCTCAGCAGTGGGGGCGATCTGATTTGTGCCAGTCCTCAACTTGGCACAAATTCCCTGCTTAACCTTGGGCCAATTACTTCATCTCTCTGGTTTCATCATATGTCAGAGGGGAAACTGCCTGTCTTATCTACTTCACAGGGTGGTGGTTGTGAGAAATCAATTAGAGAGGATTTTACTATATTATTAAAATATAAGATGAAGCACAAAGAGGTGAAGTAACCAGCCCAGTGATGCATAGCTAATAAGGGGTGAAGCTGAGAACCGGGGGGTTAACATGTCCGGCTCGCAAATCCACACTCTGAAGCCCTATCCTTTCTGTGTTCTTGACCCTGACCACACCCCTGCAAACAGTCCCTTTAGTACATTCTGAGTGTCCCTTTGGCTTCCCCTTTCTTTCCTGCTGCAATCCTATGCTATACTTGATTGTCTTCCACGATCTCTTAATATTCAAAAGGGGCAGAGGAAAACTTAAAAAACTAAGCTTGAGTTAAAAAGAACTTTACATGTTGTAAAGTTCAATTTATAAAGCCACATTCTAAGTAGAGAAAGTCTATCAATCATAAATGTAAAACATAACTTTCCCTATCCTTTTTTTTTTTTTTTTGAAGAGGAGTCTCGCTTTTGTCGCCCAGGCTGGAGTACAATGGCATGATCTTGGTTTACTGCAACCTCTACCTCCTGGGTTCAAGCGATCCTCCTGCCTCGGCCTCCCGAGTAGCTGTAGCTGGGATTACAGGTACCTGCCACCACACCCAGCTAATTTTTTTGTATTTTTTTGTAGACATGGGGTTTCACCATGTTGGCCAGGCTGGTGTCAAACTCCTGACCTAAGGTGATCTGCCTGCCTCGGCCTCTCAAAGTGCTGGGATTACAGGCAAAAGCCACCACGCCTGGCGCCCGACCCTGTTTTTTTTTGTTTTTTTTTTTTTTTTGAGACAGAGTTTCGCCCTTGTCAGCCCAGGCTTGAGTGCAACGTCACAACCTCGGCTTGCTGAAACCTCCACCTCTTGTGTTCAAGTGATTCTCCTGCCTCAGCCTCCCGGTGGCTCATGCCTGTAATCCCAGCACTTTGGGAGGCCAAGTTGGGTGCATCACTTGAGGTCAGGGGTTCAAGACCAGTCTGGCCAACATGGTGAAACCCTGTCTCTACTAATACAAAAATTAGCCAGGCATGGTGGTCCCTATCCCTTTTCTAAAGAATATTATGGAGTTGATGTGAATCAGAACATAAGTTCAAAGTCTCTTTTCTGAAGGCTGAGGGGCCAGATAGATTTTGGACTTTAGGAGTGTTTGGGGTTTGAAATGTCATAAACTGTACATTATATACATTTTGTATGTATATGTAAAAGCATATGAATATAGAACATAAGACAGGGGCTAGGAAAGCCCCCAGTAACCAAGCAATTTTTCTGCAAGAAAATATTCACACGAAATAGGGTAATAAATAGTTCACATCACACGGCCATGTTTTGTTGACAGATGAAGTATGGAAAAATTTTCAGTGTACAGAAGTAGTTTAATTTTGGAATTACACTTAAGGGATAATAGACTTGAGGTAATATAGAATTGGGCCAAGGGTAATCAAGATAAACTGTTTCATTACTGAGAAGATTACACACTTTCCTTTTCTAGTTCTAGTTACCTCTCCAGGAAGGAGAACCACATTTTACAGCTTTGTTCCCTCCTCAAGTCAATTGAAGTTTGGTAGATTGGAACAGTCCCTACTAGCCACATCAAGCCATGAAACACTGATCCTAAGAAAGTAATGAGAGATTTTGCTTTTGACATGGGGATGTCTTCCATTTGCACCACCAGGCCTCCCCTCCATCTTCTGCACCTTGCTCTGGCCTCAGAAGGCTGACCTGCAGGGATGACCCTCCCCATCTGGTTCTGATGGGGCCTGTCCAGTGGGGAGCCCTGGCAGGAGACTAGAGAGAGGGAGAAGAGTTTGTGAGGGTACCAGGCCCTTGGCTGCTTCCCTTGGTGGCTGCCTTGGGACAGCTGTGTCCCTCAACTGCAGTTATAGCTTCTGTGGGTGATCCTCCCCATGTAGTTCTCTCTCTTCCTCATGATTCTTCAGGCCTAGGAGTGGGACACCCTCCACCACTCCCCTCAATACACACCCAAACCCACACCACTAGCTCCAGAATACCACACTTTCTCCTGAGGTTTCCTTGCACCCAGCCCAGACCTTTATAAATATTACTTTATTAAACTCCCAATTAAAAAAATAAACTCCAAACTTGAGTGTGGTCCTGACAGGACATTGATTGGTACAAAAGCCAAGATCAATTAAAAAGTAATAAGAGTTGGACCAATCTGTGCCTATGATTAAGTTTATTTAAATATTGCTTCCAAGTGGTAATTTAGTAGACAGTTAATATGGAAATAGTATTTTATAAAATCATTTATTAAAGAGTATTTTATGGAAAAATTATAAACTCAACTTTGTGAGTGTGAATAAACTTATTCCCTGTGTGGTCTGTTTTAAATCCTTTCTAGAACAAGGTCAAATACAGGCATGGTGCACAGTGAGCTTGGGGGCTTGCTGCCATGACTCTAGAAAACATCTGGGCAACTGACTCTTGGTCTGTGTCAACAGCTCTGAGTGCTAGAAAGTTGCATTGGACCAGGCTGTACTATCAGAGCATGGGGGTGGTATCCTACCTGTGCAGAGCCTCCCAGCAATTATACCATACACTTGAACACCCTAAGCAAGATAAGACATGCCTAGCCCAGGGGAGGAGTTCTGCAGCACATACATAGGTTACAGGAATACAAAGACTGGCCCGGCCTGATGTGTATAAGGTGGGGCCATGGAAGGGAATGACTTGTGCTTTCAGAAGCCTTAAGAGGCCTCTGACTCCTGGTGAAGCCATGTGGACCAGGGAGCCCACAGACCTCTCAAGATGGAAGGGGAGTATAGTCCAGTGGTTATGAGCATGGGCTCTGGAGCCAGGATGCCTGGGGTTAGATCCTGTCTCTAGCACTTACCAGCTGTGTGACCTTAGCAAGTCATGTCCCCTAGTGCCTCAGTTTCTTTATAATTGGAAGGGGACAATAGTATCAACTTTCTATGGGTACATGAAGGTCAGATAAGTCAGTGTTTAGTCTCAGAGCTATGCCTGACATATTGGAATGCTTAGTATTGTCACCTACTGCTATGGTGGGAATGTTTGTGTTTCCTCAAATTTCGTATGTTGAAATGAAATCCCCAGTTCAAAGGTAGAGGGGAGGCATCTGGAAAAGGACTGAGTCATGAAGCCTCCTCTCTTATGAACAGGATTAGCTCTTTATAAAAGAGGATGGAGATGCCCTTTTGCTCTTCCATCATTTGAGCTATGAGGAACAGGCTCTCAGACACCGGATCTAGTGGCAGCTTGATCTTGGGCATCTTAGCCTTCAGAATTGTGAGCCATAACCTTCTATTGTTTATAAATTACCCATTCTAAGGGTTTGTTTGTTTGTTTTTAAATAGCAGCCTGAATGCACCAAGGTCTTTATTGGAGCTGGCTGCTGACCTTGCTGCTGTGTCCTGGCCGCTGGCTTCTTTCTGTATTCTCTAAGTATGTCTGGGCCTGGCCTTTCAGTCTCTCCATCCTACCTCTGGATCTGTCTGCTATCAGTCTTTTGGGCTTTCATTAACATCCCTGTCGGGCACCACCAGACCCCTTAGTGACATCCCTATAACACACAGTCGGCACCTAGGGAGGGCCAGGTGGCCTCTAGGAGAAGAACTCTGCAATTTCACGCCTGTGAGTTATAAAAATGGACATTTCCTATGTGGGAATCAGAAACCAGAGAGAATATAAAAAGTAATAGAGACCTCAAATGAGCTAATAGAGAGGGTAAAACTGTTCTCCATCTCTGAGGAGTCAAAGAGCAGGGATAAATAACAATTTCTTTCTTTAAATTACATTTTGTACATTCCCATCTCATTTTGCTAATCAATCAAGGATAATTTCCTAGAACTGCAGTTTGGCTTTCTTCATGAAGACAGGCAGGGGACTTAGAAAACTAGGAGAACAGGTAAGCCTAGGGAGAAGCTAGGCAAAGACAAAGGCAACACCTGAGCAAAGGCTATATGATAGCTCCTTGGAGAAAGAAAGATGAACAGGAGGAGGGGCTTCCATAGGAGAATTAAGGAAGGAGAGATGCATGACTTTGAGCAGTGAGTGGTACCATCTCAGTCCTGAGTGTGACAGTTTGACAGTAACTAAAATGTTTACTGCAACTCTAATCACAGACCTTAGGCCTGGTAAAACCTTCCATTCCACTTCTAAAACAGTGTACAGTCACTTCCTCCTAAATGCATTTAATTCTCCTTTCTTGTTCCCCAGGATTTGAAACATCATATGTATGCATGCTTCTGTACGTGTTGTTACTAATGCAGAACATTTTTTCTTTTTCAGACACAAGGAGGGCTCTTAGAAATGTGTGAGGAGACTGGTGATCAGGCAAGGATATTAAAGGTGAGATCAAACCCAGGATTGCAGGTGTGCAGTCGTTCAGCTGGCTTGTCACAGTCAGCCATGATAGGGATCACTCTTCCTGAGTCTACCCCTAGGTTGCCCAACTCTCCCAGTTTTTGCTGTTCCTCCCCCCGCCCCCAGAGTGTGTATTCGGAAGGTCCCTGGCTGAGATGTGTTCTCACCGTTCTGCCTCTGCATTACAAAAGAAGGAAGACCTCACAGTGCAGCTGGAGACTGTGCTCAGGAGATCCACAATGCTACCAAGCTTCAGCTCAGTGTTTAGTACTGCCAGCCTCTTCCAGTGCTCTCTGTTTCACTCTTTCCCCAGGCACACCTTGTTTTTCTTCTACCTTTGACCTCTGGAGAAAGGGATGGGTGTAGGGAGGGAGGGAGGGGGGAGTAGCTCTTGCCTGCTGTTTCCATGCTCATTGCAGGACCGTGCTGCTGCGCTCCTATACAGTAACCACCATTTCCTGACTTGGTCTAAGGTTCATTGCTCACCTTTAGGGCAAATGTTTTCTTCAACTCCTGGTGTATGGTGCACGATCAATAAACTGAGGAACAATGATGGTACAGATATTAGGTTGCTACAAAAGTAATTGTGGCTTTTTGCCACTTTCAATGACAAGAACTGCAATTAATTCTGCACCAACCTAATATATGCAAGAAAAGTCAAGTCACTGGGTTCTCTATTTTAACATAGAGTGTACAGAGTGCAGTTGTGGAATGGAATGAAACATGACCTAACAAGGCACTGACTACATACCTTCTTATGCTTTCGAAACAAAGGGTCAAAGGGTAGAGCACGGTGATAAAATCTGCACCTCTGCCTGCTCCTGCCGTTAATTCTACCTCCCATTTCAGGAAGAGAATGTGGGGCTGAGAAAAGTTATCTATTGCTCAATTGGACCTCTCCAGTTTCTGTGAGACAATGTCCTGTAAGTACATCGCATTATCATCCACTCATTATGCTAAAGTCTCTATCATGCCTGCCTTGAGTTACATTTCGAAAGGTCCCCTGCTGTGACCTTAGCCATGTGACTTGGTGAGGTAGTTAAGGGGTTCTGCCTGTGGCAGATACTAGGCTGATGCCCTACCCCACACTTCCTGAGCTTTCCAGAGTTCAAGGCAGTTGCACTGATAGCTCCAGCATGCTAAACTCTTCCCACCTGCACTGAGGGTGTTCTCAGAGCCACAGGAGCTTGCTGGGCAAACTGTGAGGGGATGGGTGTTGTCAGGAAGGATGCTCCAGCCACAGCCGTCTATCAACAAGGCATCGAGTCAGTGAATATGTGGTCCATGGGAACTATTGAGTCCTGGTTCACAGTTTCCTGGGAGCCCCAGAAGGGCTGTGCCTTGGTTGTTTGTGCACATGAGTCTTGCCCATAAGTGCCCTGTTTCACTGCCTTTTCTTTCTTCTTATCTCTCTTACCAACACTTCACTTGGAATTTTGGGGTTTACTTCCCAATTAAATTAGCTGTACCCAAGTACTGGTCTAGGGTCTGCTTTTGGAGAAAATCTAAATGAAGATAGTTGGAAAGGAAGAAAAAGTCTACAGTGGCTCTCACCTCTTCTTTTTAGCTTAAATTTACTCTCCTACCCACTGAAAGCTAGCTTCTGGCCCTGTCACCCTGAAATTCCCCATACTGTCAAATCCAGTGATTTTGCCCAATCATATCATACTTGACCTCTAGGTAGCAGTTGACCAACCATCGCCTCCTTGGAACACACTTCTCTTTGCTCCCAAAGACGGCCTTTTCTCCTAGATTTCCCCTTTCCATTAAGCTTTCTGCCATTCAGAGATGCATCTTTTCACTTCCCCCTTAAGTGTCCCATGTCCCATAAAGCTCCACCTGAGCCCTCTTCTATTCACACTCCCCACACTCACTAGGCAGTCTCAACTTCAGTGGCTTCCATGATAACAAATGCCAGCGATACGCCAATCTGTCTTCCACCCAGGCTTCTGTTTTGAGCTCCCCCTTCTATGTTCAACTGTCTACTAGGTAGAGACCCTGAACACTCCATGGAGCCTTCCCCAAGCATGCACCCTAGATAAAATTTCTGTGGTAGAACACTTTTCCCCAAGAAATTTGGCAGGGAAGAATAGAAGAGAGGCAAGAAAATGAGGTGGTGAGGTTGAGAACAGTTATGGACTGTTCCATAAGAACAGTAAGAGGCCAGCCATGGTGGCTCACACCTGTAATTCCAGCACTTTGGGAGGCCGAGGTGGGCAGATCACCTGAGGTCAAGAGTTCGAGACCAGCCTGGCCAACATGGTAAAACCCCATCTGTACTAAAAAATTAGCCGGGCATGGTGGCAAGTGCCTGTGTAGTCCCAGCTACTCAGGAGACTGAGGCACGCAAATAGCTCGAACCCAGGAGGCAGAGGTTGCAGTGAACTGAGATAGCACCATTGCACTCTATCCCTGGTGACAGAGTGAGACTCTGTCTCAAAACAAAACAACGATAAGAAGGCAGAAAGGCAGAGACACATGAGAAGCCAAGTTTCTGAGAAGGTAGAGGGGAAAGGCTTTAAGGAAGGAGGAAGACAAGTTCAGATTCAGAAGTACTTAACAGTGTCAGAGAAGCAGGTGATAGAGTTCTTGCCAGATGACTTTCATTTCTTCCCTCAACTGGGAGGCAAGATCATTTGCTGTAGCAAAATGGAAGATTTGAGGGTAAGAGGTAAAATTTTGGAAGGGGGCATCAGTGAAGATGCAAGCATGGAAAGCTCAACAGAAACTGGCTTAAAAAGCAGTAAGATTTATTGACTGGTATTCTTGAAAGTCTAAAGGCAGACCAGGGTGTTGGCACAGTTTTATCCAGTAGCTCAAGATATCAGGACTCTAGCTCCTGTGATTCTCTTGCCCCTGGTTCTACCTTATGAGCTCCAGCAGTAAGACATTACACCCACATTGCAACACCCAGACAGAGTCTCCTCTGGGGCTCCAGAAGAAGACAGGGGAAGTATATTTCTCAGAAGCCCTTATGGTCATCTCCTCTTGTCTCATCAGCCCATCTGGGTGGTGTGCTCATCTGTGATGCACCCATCAGGTGACCACAGAAATGGGAGAGCTGATTTGCTGAAGCCCATCAGTGCCTCCTCCTGGAGATGGAATGAGGTCAAGCCCACCCAAACAGCATGATTGAGAATGGGAGAGGTACACCTCCTCGAGGGAAAATCTGGGTGCTATTGGGAAGAAAAGGGAAAAATGAATACTGGGAAGTCAACCAATAAATGCCCACCCATAGTTAGTTTCTGAGGAAATGGTGAGAAGCAGCTGTTGAAAGATTTGTTAAGGTGTGATAATGCTGAAGTGGAGGTTCTGATGAGTGTGCAGGAGAGAAATTTGTAGTGGCTCCCACCCTCCTTGCTCTATGATTGTCCCAGCAGCCTGAGTAGGGGGGTTGTAGGAGTGGAGAAGGTAAATGATTGGATTGATCCAAAGTTGAGGTTTGCCAGGTGTATATTGTGTAGGGAGAACTGGGCACAACATGTGTTGAGGGTAATAGAGTGCTTGAAGTGATGGATGGGGGAAGAATGGAATTTGGAAGAGAGTCGATAGATTGGGATAAAATGGACTGTGTTCAAGGACTGAACTTTCAGATGAACTCAGAAGGCTGGCTTGAGGGGAGGGAGAAAGGATGAGTGCATACACGTAAGACAGCCAGTGAGAACTGCGAGCTAGGGAGCGTGTGAGTGAGAGAAAACACGTGAGAAAGGGTAAGACATTGCCATTTAACACTCAGAGGGAGTCAGTGACAGCAAGGGCTTCCTGGGTTCTATTTTCTAAATGAAGACATCATGACACGTTTGGCAAGTTACAGTGGGCTTGATAACACAACAGGTGTCTTCAAGCCTAAACCAGCCTCAGAAATGGGAGCCATATCCCTGCTGTTTCTCCTGCCTGGGTGTCATTCCCACAAATATCAGTCCAGCTGGGTTCTTTGGGACAAAGAAGCTGGAGGCTACTGGCCATCCCTTTGCCTTCAAAATGGAGTCCTTAGGACTCTGAGACCACATCTCACTTTTGTTTTGTCTAAGGACTCTGCAAAAAGGTTTGGTTGTTATCTTGTCTTTTTCTTCCAAAGATGTGTCATGCCACTTAGGTTCTTGGAACAGAAAAGAATGGAAAGGGAAGATGCCAGGAACAGATATATTCTAACCACTTTTTATTATTTTTTAATCAGATTCTTATTCTGGGTTAAGGAGATACACATGATTGAATGGGTCTAAATTTGGAGGCTTGCCAGGTACACATTCTGTAAGGAGAAAGGCAATGTCTTACCCTTACCCACTCTGAGTTTTCTTGTTCACGCTCTTTCTAGCTGGCTGTCACATGCATGCACTCATGCTTCCCTGCTTCCCAGAAGCCAACCTTCTGAGTTCATGTGAACATCCAGTCCCTGAACCCATTCCATTTTATCTTAATCCATTGACTCCTTTCCAAATTCCCTTCCTCCTCCATCCATCACTTTAAGCACTCTATTACCCTCAACTCAAATTGTGCCCAGTAGAATTTCTATAGAATGAGCAGGCAAAGAAGTTGGAGAAGGAATCTACAGGCCTAGACTGAATGATTGGCTTGACTACTAACATACTCTGTGAATTGAATTCAGTGATCTAAATCAGCAGAGCCGCAGTTTATACATACATACGATGAGTAGTGTAACAGTCTCTATACCATGGGTCAGCAAACTTTTTCTGTAAAGGCCCAGAGAGAAAATATTTTAGGCTTGGCAAGCCATCTGGCCTCTGTTGCAACTACTGATTCTGTGGTTGGAGTGAGAAAGCAGCCAAAGACAATCCCTAACCAAATGAGCATGGCTGTATTCCCATAAAACTGTACTTGCAAAAATAGATGGCAGGAAGGATTTGACTCCCTGAAGCAAGGGGCTGTGGGGAGGATCACGTAGCCTGTGTTCGTGGAGTCCTTTTGCCATAGCTTTGGTCACTAATGAGACTAATCACCCCTGTGCACTAAGCTGACCTCTCACCTATGTATTTGAGAGGACCAGTAGATGTTTCAAAGATGATAATGATGCCAGTAAATACAACAGATACTATGTTTTCCTTGCTCATCTTCCAGCCCCCGACCTTCACATGATGTTAGTGGCCATGACCTACTATGCCAAGTGGAAGACCCTTAGCCCTGCTTCCACCTTCCAGAGTTAGTTGCTTCCCCAGTGCTGCTGTGCACCACTGGGTGGTGGCATCTTGAACTGCCAAAAATCATACAAATTACACCATATTCATAGCAAATGGAGTTGAAAGTCTCTCTTATTTGTGTTGTTAACATCTAACAGAAAGCTACAAAATACAAACATAAATGAGGTCAAATGTAATGGGGGGAGCTATTTAAGTTTGGGGTAGAATAGCAGTAAGGCTGATGTATTAGACTACATAATGCTAGATACTATAATTGATACACTTATTGTCAGACCACTAAAACTTGATTGATTTTTTTATTTACATCATAGTTCTATGCACCTTGGGAGAAGAAAGAGAATCACTGCTCCATGCAACTATTCAAAGACCCAAGCTTCTTCCATCACATGATTCTACCATCTTTTAGGAATTTGTCTTTTTTTGCATTTAACCAGAGTAGGAAAAGGATGAGGAGAGGAGACAGAGAGGATTGTGTGGGGGACATTTTATAGGTCAGGCCTGGAGATGACAGCGTGACTTCCATCTGTTTTGTTGTCCAACTGAGCCATGTGGCCATATTTAACTGCAAAAGAGTTTGGGAGATGTGGTCTAACTGCAGATCTAGATAAAGAAGAAACAGATTTATTGAACATGTGGGCAGACTGCCACAACTGGGGACAAATTAAGTGACAGGCATGCCTTACTCAGAATTACTTTTCCCAGTTGACCATAGAGGCTATGTTACTGTTGGGAAAAAAAACAAAACAAACAAAAAAACTCCCTGTGGATAGCATCTTCTGAGAAGAGGCACTGACAACACTCTGGGTTATCTTTTCATGGATGTTTATATTACAAACGGCATTGGAAGATGGAAATAGTGTCTCCCTTTGGAGCAGAGGGCAGTTTGGTGTCCAGGTTAACAAAGATATTATCTCTCTCTGGGAAAAAGTTTAGACAGGTTTGCTTACAAACCTTGTTTAGATTGAAGTTTCCTAAGTTTGAGGTTTCTTAGGTGTGACCCTAAACCATAATATGCTCAGCATCCATGTGCGCCCAGCCCTTGCCCCACAATCCTTGGTAGGCAAGAAGAACCAACAGAAACATAAAACCTATGCTGCCTGCTGTGGTACCAGTCACAAAATCCTTTTCTTTTGCCTAGACATTCTGTGTCTTCTGGAAGCACACATGAAACAGTGCCAGGCTAACCTGTTAGCTTGCAAGTAAAGCCTCAGACCCATTACAGTTTTTGAGAGTTACCAGTTCAAGTTTATCATGGTCAGCATTTAGTAAATGTCTCTGGCTAGCCAAACATTTTTAGCTTTCCAGGATCCCAAGTAGCAGGCTTAAACTGACATTTCATCTTTGGTTAAATGAAATAAGTGATAACAGTGTAAATTTTGTAGCCCCCAGGCATATGTAACATAATACCAAGGCCTCCACATTGTACAACTCCGGGTGCTCTGTTCATATCATAGTCTATGAATATGAAATATAGCTGCTCTAACTATTATAAGATTTCATCATATCTAACACCCTTAATAGTAGAACACACCTTTACTTTAGGTGTAACAGAAATAAAAAAGAAACTTCCAACTAAACTATGATAAAATGCTCTTCTGTCATTTTGATTTTTTTATTGTACATTGAAAGAGCTCTTTAATGCTTTTTTTTTATTTATTTTTTCAGAGACAGGGTCTCAGCTCTGTCACCCAGGCTGGAGTGCAGTGGCACAATCACGGCTCACTGCAGCCTCGACCTCCAGGGCTCAAGCAATCCTCCTGCCCTAACCTCCAGAGTAGCTAGGACTACAGGCATGTGCTACCATGCCTGGCTATTTTTTAAAATTATCTGTAGAGAGTAGGTCTCACTATGTTGCCCAGGCTGGCCTTGAACTCCTAGGTTCAAATGATCCTCCTACCTCAGCCTCCCAAAGTGCTGGGATTACAGGCATGAGCCACCATGGCCAGATTTTTATGCTTAGATTTATCATATATCAATCATGTACACATATAAGAGAAATACCTATTTCTATTCAACATTATACTAGGGAGTCTAGCCAGCACAATAAGGCAAGAAAAAAAAAGAAATAAAAGTTATATGAATTGGAAAGGAATAAATAAAACTAGTTGCAGACAACATGATTATTTACCTAGGATGTCCTAAAAAATATAAAATAAAAGCTACTGTTGAGGTTATCCTGGTTGCAGAATACAAGGTGAATGTACAAAAGTCAATTTTATTTCTGCATACTAGCAATGAACAATTATAAATTTAAATTTAAAGAGAAATGCCATGTATACTAGCACCAAAAAAGCTCACAAAATATTTAGAGATAAATCAAAATATGTGCAAGGCTTATGCTGAAAATTATTAAAACAGTGAGAGAAATCAAAGACCTAAATAAATAGACATACTGCCTTCTAGATTGGAAGACTCAATATTGTTAAGATGTCAATTCTCAAAGGAACACTTATACATTGTTGGTGGGAGTGTAAATTAGTTGAACCTTTGTGGAAGACAGTGTAGTGATTCTTCAGAGACCTAAAGACAGAAATACCATTCAACCCAGCAATCCCATTACTGGGTATATACCCAGAGGAATATACATTGTTCTCTTATAAAGATCTGTGCACATGTATGTTCACTGCAGCACCATTCACAATAGCAAAGACATGGAATCAACCCAAATGCCTATCAATGATAAACTGGGTAAAGAAAATGTGGTACAAATACACCATGGAATACTATGCAGCCCCCAAAAAGAACGAGATCATGTCCTTTGCAGGGACATGGATGGGGCCGGAGGCCATTATCCTTAGCAAACTAATGCAGGAACGGAAAACCAAATATCACATGCTCTCACTTATAAATAGGAGCTAAATGATGAAAACACATGGACACATAGAGGGGAACGACACATTGGGGCCTATCAGAGGGAAGAGGGTGGGAGGAGGGGGAAGATCAAGAAAACTAACTAGTAGATACTAGGCTTAACACCTGGGTGATGAAATAGTCTGTACGACAAACCCCGATGACACAAGTTTACGTACGTAACAAACCTGTACATCCTGCACATGTACACCTGAAGTTAAAAAAAGACAAACAAAAAACCAAACCCTCCCAACCTCAAAAAACGCCCAAAACCCAAAACAAACATAAACCAATTTGGGAAGAATTGACATCTTTTTATAAGTTTAACACAATCCCCAGATCCTAGAAAGGTTTTTGTAGAAACAGAAAAGCTGATTCTAAAATTTATAAGGAAAAGCAGTGACAGGAATAGTCAAAACAATTTTGAGAAACAAGAAGAAAGTTGGAGGACTTATACCACTTGATTTCCAAGTTTGCTATGAAGCTGTAGTAATGAAGACAGCATGAAATTGGCAAAAGGACAGAGAAATAGATCAGAGGAACAGAATAGAATAAACCCACACTTATATGGTCAACTGATTTTCAATAAAGGTTGAATTCAACAGAGAAAGAATAGTCTTTTCAACAAATGGTAATGAAATAATTGGTAACAAATGTTAACCCATCTCTTGTACCATATACACACATTAACTTGAAATGGATTATTGACCCAATTGTAAAAGTCTAAAAACCATAAAATTTCTACAAGAAAATATAGGGGATGATCTTTGTGACCTTGGGCTTCACAAAGATTTCTAAGACAGGACATAAAAAACATGAGCCATAGAAGAAATTTGACAAAGTGTAGTTTATACATTTAACTATTTTGCTCTTTGAAAAACACCATAAAAATAAAAAAAAGATTGAGAGAATATTTGCAAAACATATACCTGATCAGGAATACCCAGAATATATAAAGAACTCTCATAACTAAGTAATAGAAACACAAACAATCCAATTATGAATGACTTGAACAGCTATTTCAAAGACACGGGTAGCAAATAAGCTCACAGAAAGATGCCCAACATAATTTGCCAACGGGAAAATGCAAATTAAAGCCACAATAAGATACCACCACAAACTAGTACAATGACAATTTTTAAAAGCTGATCATACTAAGTGCTGGTGATGTTGCAGAGTAACTGGAAGTTTCATTCATTACTGGTGGGAATGTAAAATGGTATAGACACACTGGAGAACAGTTCAGCAGTTTCTTAAAACGCTAAATCTACATTTACCGTATGACCCAGTAATCCTATTGCTAAGTGTATACCCATGAGAAATGAAACTGCATTCACACAAAAACCTATACAGGAGTCTCTTCTTATCCATGGTCTTGTTTCCCGTGGTTTCAGTTACGTACGGTTAACCAGAGTCTGAAAATAGATAGAAAATTCCAGAAATAATTCATAAGTTTTAAGTTTCATGCAGTTGAGATCAGCTTGGTGAAATATCTTGCTCTCCTGCTCAGTCCTGCCTGGGATGTGAATCATCGCCTTGTACAGTGTATTCACACTGTCTGTGCTACCTCCTCATTAGTCACATAGTAGTTATCAGATCAAAAAACAATAGTATATGGCATAGGATTTGGTACTATCTGCAGTTTTGGGCATCCACTGGGAATCTTGGAATGTATCCCCCATGAAAAAAGGGGGACTACTGTACCTAAATATTTACAGCTTTATTCATAATTGCCCAAAACTGGAAACAATCCAAATATTGTTCTACTATGAATGGATAAACAAGTTATGGTATATTGGCACAATGGAATACTACTCAACAATAAGAAGGAATGAACTAGTCATAAATGCAGAGGTATTATGCTAAGTGAAAGAAGCCAGATTCAAAATGCAGCATGACGTTATAGAAAAGGCAAAATAGTAGAGATGGAAAACAGATCAGTGGTTGCCAGGGGCTGGTAGTATGGTATGGGATTGACTATAAAGGGCATGAGAAAACTTAAAAAATACTCTATCTCTTCATTTCAGTGATAGACACACAACTTCATACATTTTTAATAATTTGTAGAACTTTGCACCTAAGAAGTATATCTCCCCGTACTCCCCCAAACTCCCTTCCGAAAGAGTCATCTCTTGCTGGCTGTATCTCTTGACTTGAAGGTCACCCTTCTCAAGGTAGTCTGCTGTACCTGTCTTCTTACCTGTTCAGGTTTAGAGATAATAGCTCAGCTGACTCTAATATTGTGTTCCTATGCTGTTCTTCATGATTTTCATATGTTCTGCCCACATTTGTCAGTAGTCCCATATATAAAACCATCCTAAGTTTTACTAAGTTCAGTGTGACATCCGTTTCTTTGCTGGGACCCTGATGACACCAGGCACAGGTCAGTTGAGCCAGACCCTTTTAGGGTTTCCTGAAAGCTCTGCCCACCATTTTTTACTCATGGTTAGAAGTTAGTCAGATGGCCATCCTGAATAAGAGAGGTGGGGATAGGTAGGTGGTATATTATTGTTGTTGGCTTTTTGGGGGACTGGGAATTGTAGTTATGAAGGAATATTGGATACTGGATAGGCAGTTAGATGTCTGTGTCACAGAGGTAAAGATAAAGAGAGCCTACAAGGGAAGAAACAATATTAATGTGTAGTTAAGTAGACTGAGGAGAAAGGGAATATACATCAATAATCATTGAACTCTCAGCAACACAGTCACATTTTAAAGGTCACTGGCAAATCCATAGGCCCCTGCCTTTGAAGTGCCCCACCTTAAGACTTTTTAATGGGCTTAAAGTTTTTTTTTTTTTATTTTTTACAAATATACTGGAGAATCATGCAATGCTGCCAGCACTGGACGCAATCCAGGGCCACAAGTCTGCACACTCCTTTGCTACTGGTCCTGTAATGGCAGAACCTTTCATCTCGCCTTTATTGTTCACTGTGACCCCTGCATTATCTTCAAAATAAAGAAACACGCCATCTTTTCTGCGGTATGACTTTCGTTGTCGAATAACCACTGCTGGATGTACCTTTTTTCTGAGCTCTGGTTTGCCTTTCTTGACTGTGGCCATCACCGTGTCACCCACACCAGCAGTGGGAAGTCTGTTCAGCCATCCCTTGATCCCCTTTCACGGAGATGACATACAGGTTTTTGGCTCCTGTGTTGTCAGCACAACTGATCACACTCCTACCAGAAGACCCAAGGAAATCTGGAATTTCACACCAGAGGACCCACCACGTCCTCGCTTCAACATCTTGAAAGCCGGAAAGAAGAAAAAAGCACTTAAGGCCTTTTTAAGTGTGTTTTTCCCTCTTGTACAGGCCCATGAATCCAATTAATTTATAACTTTCACCCTGGAAGAATACAAACAATATGCACAATTGTTTAACTTAATATTCTTTCTGTACAAAGAATGTGAATTTTCAATGCAATAAAATCTTATTTAACAACAAAAAAGCATGACATAGTTGTTAAGAAGTTGTGTCCCAGAGTCAAAGTACCCAAGTTGGAATCCTGTTTCCACTACGTGCCAGCTGTGTGTTCTTGAGCATGCTGGTCAACCTCTTTGTGTTTGTTTACTCATGCACAGAGTGGGTGTGGTGGCATGAAAATGCACCTGGCAGACCTTCTAGTGCAGAGCACATAACTAGCCAAGGGTCCCAGTTGCTACAGTTTGGAATCCATCATAGCATGTGTGCCAGGGTCACATCTCTTCCGGGCTGCTCCCCACTAATGACTGAAAATGGCAGGGGTACTAAGGTACATCTATTCCCGAAAGACACGGGACTCCTTTCTTAACCAACTGTGGCTCAAAGACTCTCCAAAGGCTTTGCTGAACATTTCCGAAACTGCTGTGTAGTCTAAGACATTTCTACCCAGCCTTTTCTCCCTTTCTCCTTCACTCAGAGTCAATCTTGGGTTATGACATGATTCTCCCAGCCTTTACCCTCTTTCTCCCATTTCTTTTTCAAAGGCATTTCCCTGAACATACTTGCACATTTATTCTGGTCTTGTCACCTTTGTCTTGGAGGACCCAGATTAACACAGTGGAGACAGTAGTACCTACACCTCACAGAGTTGAGAAGATGAGTTAATTCATTTAATATGGTAATAGTCATACTTGAGAAATAGTAATAACTCAGTCCATTTTGATTGTTAAAGATAGACCCCATCTTACATTTCTAGTATTACAGAAATGCTGTAGCATTGTAGCAGATTAGATAATCCAAAAACCTTTTCATTATAAAATACCATGAAAGTATGATTAAATACAGAAAATAATCTTCTAAATGCATAGCTGAGCTTATAATAACATAAATCCTGGAGCAAAAATGAATAGAGAATTGAAAACCAGAAGTATTCTTCAGTTCACATTGTAGCTGTCCTTAGGTTTGTCTACCTCAGAGACCATGATGGAGGCTTTGCACATGAAGCCGAAAACTATCAAAGAACTACTACTATATTTTCAGAAGAAGGGCAGCAACTAAAAACAAGATCAACCCTTCAGCAAAGAGGGATATCAAGGAAGCTTGTCTGTTTTTACTTGTATTTGAATAAAGGGATAGGATTCCCCCAGACACCTGCTCTCCCTGAAGGCAGAGTTTCACATTTAGATCTCTTATGTGGCTGAGAACTCCCAAGCTGGTAATATCTGTAACAAAGAGAATGTAAGTCCTCTCTGGAGGGACAAAACCTTATCTAAGGTTTCTCAGAGTTCCCTTCAATACAGCCCTGCTAAAGGTGAACTCACAATCCACAATCACAAAACACATAAGAAAAGAATTCACCATGAGTGAGAGTTGTCAGTATTAAAAGTGGGATTATAGTCTCAAATTTAAAAGATAGTAATTGTAAGCATTTTTTAAAATTTTAAGTTAAGTGGTACATGGGCAGATTTGTTACACAGGTAAACTTGTGTCATGGGGTTTTTTTGCACAGATTATTTCACCCAGGTATGAAGCCTAGTACCTATTATTTTTTCCTGATCCCCTCTCTCCTCCCACACTCCACCCTCTGATAGGCCCCAGTGTGTGTTGTTTCCCTCTATGTGTCCATGTGTTCTTATCATTTAGCTCCCACTTGTGAGAACATGCAGCGTTTGGTTTTCTGTTCCTGTGTTAGTTTGCTAAGAATAATGGCCTGCAGCTCCATCCATGTCTCTGCAAAGAACATGACCTTGTTCTTTTTTATGACTGCATAGTATTCCACAGGGAATCAATATCATTAAGCATCTTTTACTCTCTCTGGCTGGAAGTTACATTAATAGTTTTTTTTAAATATAAGAGAAGGCTAAATTATCAAAATCAAATAAAAGTGTTAAAGACTCTCTTAGTTTAAGTTCTCTAGAAAGCAGAGCTTGAGACAAGGATGAAGATGGAGATATTTTATTTAGAAATTACAAGCCCAGTGACATGAAAGTGAGGGAGAAAAGGGGGAAGTGGGGCAAAGAAAGATGTGAAGCAATGTAATATGAGGCATTACTGCACTAGCCACTGGTTCTTGAGAAGCCATGAAGAAACACAGCTAGTCACATAGAAGGTATATTTGCTTAGCACACAGTACCTTTCTGGAAAGTTTTAAAAAAGAAGCACCACCTCTGATTAGAAGGGAGAAAAGAAGGGGGAATTTCTCTGCCCAGCTCCTTCCTGTTTCTCATTTCCCATTGCTCAAATTTCACACCATGGAGACCTAACTCATAATTATTGCATTATTCATCCTTTGATGTCACTCAGAAAGCCAGATCCTATGTCCATAAGTGGAGGAATGACTTGTTGCAGACAGGCATGGCATGTGAGATGTGAGGTCCGTTCAATCTCAGGCCCCCAGCCAGTCTGGGAAGCCGAGTAGAGGCGGCAGTGCGCCTGTTTACTCCAGGGAGTTATCGCAAATAGGAGGAATTTTGAGAACAAGGGAGGCAGTTTGGCTCTGAGAAAGTACACAAGGTTTGTGTCTGATGTGAAATGAGAATAGAGCCATTGAAATTAAGGAAAAATTCCCAGTGGAAAGATTAATCAGATCCAGATGAAGATAGAATTGGGAACTGGAAAAGAAGTGATTTCTCTGTGCTACATTTTGGGTAAGGAAACATTAAAAAATGAGAGGCATGAGAGATAGAGTGAAAAGGTTCAATTTATATTCAGTACAAATTTCAGAAGGTGAGATTAGAGAGAATCAGCAAGAGACTACATCGGTAAAGAATATGAATCCTTAGATTCAGTTTCTATGTGAGAATTTTTTTAAGTCCAAGGGCAGGTTTTGTGCACATAGATTAAAAATCAAACCCAAATAACTAAAAATAAAGTTTTGTTTACTAAAATTGTAAATGTAAACAGTTTTCCCTAAACCTCTAAATTTATCTTATAAATTGTATTATACTGTTTTAAACCCAGTAAGTTTTATATAAAATAATTATTTTCAGGGAGCCTTATTAAATTGGACTGATTACTTAAGGGAGTTTGATTTTGATTAATGTTAAGTAAACCTGAATTGAACAGACTAGTTTTCTGTAAGCACTTTAACATTTATAAATTTAATATATTCCATTTTCTTTAAGAAATTAGAAGTCTAAACTCAACAAACTCATGACCTAACAAACGAATCCTTCCCTCATTATTAAGCAGCTACAGTTCTTTTAACTATCCTAACACTCTTTATAAGTTAAGTCACTTCCTCTTATACCATCCAACCTCAAATCCAATGCACATTTAATTTGGAATGACAGGTCAATTTGTCATTTACTTTAATATGCCACATTCAATTATATTTTACCAGCATTTTATATACCCACCACTCAGATTATCTTGACTGTAACATAAACTAATGTCATGGGTTTGATGCACTTCATAATTTCTATATTCCTGGGGTTAAAAGACACTTAACCCACTAAAGTTCAGTGTTATTTTAGGTTACTGAGACAATTCATGATGTGATTATCACCCAAGGCAAGTTGGATTTGCAACTGGACAGAGACATAGAGACATTTGGCACAGGGATACCAGACTTGGAAGTGCCTGTGTCAAGTGTGGCTTCATGCATCACAGATGGATGTACTGAGTCCAGTTTTAATAATCTCTAGATTGTTAAGGACCTTTCAGGTAGGGTTGGTACCTACTGTTTCAGTTATACACCATCACACAATACTTTTTGTAATCTTTCAGTTTTATTACTTGATTTGAATCATCTGAATTCTACAATCTCCAACCAAATTTCAGCTGATTTTGTTCCCTAATGTCATCACTACTTGACTAAACTACGTATTTTTCGTGGCTACCAAGAGTCTGGTATTGGTAGACTCTGCTTCTCTCTTTTCTTTACCTAGCTCTATGGTCACAACACCCCTGAATGGTATAAATAAAAGTAGGTATACATTAGACACATTGAAATGGAATCAGAAGCAATGGCTACCAAGAGGTGGAAGTGGCCTAGTCAAAGCAAAAGCAGACCAGTGAAGAGCAAAGATCGTGGCAAAAGTTTCTTGGAATGCTCAAGGCATTTTTCTTGTTTACTTTCTGGAGGGCTGAAGAATGATATCATCTGTTTATTATGAGTGTTTTGAGAAAGCCAAGCTTTATGAGAAAAATACTCAGGAAGACTGCTAGAGAGTCTTTCACTACGACAATGCTCCTGCTTATTCCTCTTAAACAAGGGCAATTTCATGAGATTTGATGGAAAATTAGGCATCCACCTTACAGTTCTGATTTGGCTCCTTCTGATTACTATTTGTTTCCTCATCTTATAAAATCTTTAAAGGGCACCCATTTTTCTTCACCTAATAATGTAAAAAAGGTTGCACTGATGTGTTAAATTCCCAAGACCCTCAGTTCTTTATGGATGGACTAAATGGCTGGTATCATTGCTTTCAAAAGTGTCTTGAACTGATAGAGTTTATGTTGAGAAATAAAATGCTTTATTTTTATCTTTTAATTCCAGTTTCCATGAAATTTTGAGGTCACCTTGTATCTTTTAAGTGCTGAGAGAAGGTAAGAATGAACCTACAATTTTATGCCTAGTCAAACTATCATTCAGGACTGAGAAAAAAGTCATTTTCACAAAGACAAAGACTAAATTCCCTAACAGACTGTTTCTGGAAAAAAAAAAGTTAAACTACATAAATTCCACTCTATGAAAACACTTGCTATTTGCTATCTAAAATGCAGGAACGAAATAGACTTGCATAACATGATATACTTTACAGTCTCAGTATCCAAATTCATTATCCAAACCTAGGAACCAGAAAGTTCAGATGGTGAGGAAAACATAACTAAAGGAAGAAAAATTAAACCCCCCAAAAAAAGAAGTGAGATTCTCAAGAAGGAAAGGTGAGCAAGGAAACTGATTAACATATGGGTAAAACTAAATGACCATTGTTTGAAATAATACAAATAATCATTGTTTTAGGAGGTATACAAAATAGTGGAAATAAAATATGTACTGATTAATATATGAAGTAGAATTGGTAATTGAAATGAAAAGTTCAAGGTTTTGGCAATCGGCAGGAGGAGATTAGAAATATACTAATCGTAGCAGGCACTGTTGATACCGGTTTCCCCAGTATCCTTTCTGCCCACCCAAGTTCATTTGCAACTGTGGTAGACAGTTTTCAACAGGCTGACAGCTCCTGCTGAAGCACATGTCTCTCTCCCATGCCCAATGTCCTTCTCCTGAACCACAGAAACGTGCTCTGCCTTAAGCACCTGTAACCTGGAAGTTTAGGGAAGTTAACACCCATGGATAACGTTCAACCAATAGAGGAGTCAGATAAATGTCCTGACCTCCTTATCCCCTGGCGGGAAAATTGTCAGACACATTCCATTTGCTTATTCAGAGGGTTTGAGCATGTTATCCACAACAGTTACCTGCCCATGAGGGCTTCCCGTATTGGCTTCTCTCTCTTCCCCATCTCACTGTCCCATTCATTCACTTGTGCTTCCTGATTTTACTTCCAAATGCCTGTACTCAAGTTCTTGTCTCAAGGGCAGCTTCTAGAAGAATCTGAATAAGACACCGATTACCTTTAGAATTTAACTAAAGCATGCTTGCTACAATTTTAAGAGTAATCACTAAAACGATACAGACAGGATGTGAAAATTCCAGGTATAAGGGAAAAAAGGAAATGAAAAACCTTAAGTCAATAAAGATAAAAGGGGTGGAAGGGGAAGAGAAAGTTAAGAAAATCTGAGTAAATATTGTATTTCTTAGAATCTAAGAAATCTAGGATGACATCAGTTGTAAAATGTACTTAAATTTTACATGCTACTAAGTTAAAAAAAGCTGCTAACTACAACATGAATTGTAAGAAACACTTTAATTTCAAAGATATTGCAACATGGGGAAAATGTATATCTTTTGGCAGCACCAGAAAGATTCTAGAAATATAAAAGTATTCAATAATCATTATATAAAGGGGCTAAGTCATTTGAAAGGTCAGATTGTCCAACTGGATTATATTTTTAAGATTAGCTCTATGCCATCATTAAGAGATACTTCAAACATGAAAGAACACAAAGGTCACACATAGAAGAATGGAAAAAAGATAATATCAGGCAAATATTAACTAAAAAGCTGGTGTAGGTATCTCAAAATACCTCTAGAAATGCTTTTTTGCTTTAAGGAGAGCTTCTCCATGGTTGTAAAATTTCAATTCCTAAGGAAGATGTGACATTTCTAAATATTATGTACCTAAAACAGCCTAAAAACATAGAAAGCAAAAAGAAGTACAAGGAAACATAGAAACAGCCTAAGAACATAGAAAACAAAGAGAAGTGCAAGGAAAAGGTCAACTCCAGGTAACTCCAAAACAATCTAGTATTGACAGATCAAATAAATAAAAAATTAATAAATGTTTAGCAGATGTTAACATAATGACTATTATATAATGAACATGTAATAAACCCTATATCACAAATTAAAAATATATATACTCTTACACATGGAACATTTATGAAAATTAGCCACATATTAAGACATAAAACCAACCTTACAAATACTGAAAGAATCAATATCATACAGATTGTATTATCTGACCACAGTATAATTAACTTAGAAAGCAGTAACAAAAACATAAAAATACATTTGGAAATTTTCAAACATGTAGTTTTTGGGTCAAAGACAATATTGTAAGAGATATAAAGAAACATTTCAACTGAATAATAATGAAAATCTATGTATCAAAACTCATGCGGTACAGCTAAAGCTACCTTTACAGAAATTTACAGCCTCATATACTCAAAGAAGTCTGAAAATTTATGAGTTAATCATCTAACTCAAGAAATTAGAAAAAGAACAGGGTCCAAAGTAACTAAATGGAGGACAATAAAGATAAGATCAGCAATTAATTGTAATATCTTGCATTGGACTCAGTTTTTTTTTACTCTCCTACAATAGGATTATACATCCACATCCTCTACGTACAATGGAAAGATACTGTAAAGTTACTGGGCAGATATAGTTCCCTGCCCCCCTGAAAAAGGGCTTCACTATCAAGGCCAAGGCTTCCCACTTGGCCTCTGCTGGCCTCAGGACCACCAAAACTCAGCATTTAAACAACAAGCATTGATTTCTTACTGCAGGGTGTATGAGTCAGCTGGGATAGGCTAAAATCTGGGCTTCAGCCTCCAAGTTGCAGGTTGTGTTCAGGTCCTTAAACCTGGAGCACGTTCTTCCCTTAGTGAATGGCAGGCAAGCAACAGATTAAACTAGGCCGGGTTCGGTGGCTCACACCTGTAATCCCAGCACTCTGGGGGGCAGATGCAGGCATCGGAACACCTGAGGTCAGGAGTTTGAGACCAGCCTGGTCAAAATGGCAAAACCCCATCTCTACTAAAAAAATACAAAAACAGTTGGGCATAGTGGCACGTGCCTGTAATCCCAGCTACCTGGGAGGCTGAGACAGTAGAATCACTTGAACCTGGGAGGCGGAGGTTGCACTGAACCTGGATTGTGCCACTGCACATCAGCCTGGGTGACAGCAAGACTCCATCTCAAAAAAAAAAAAAAAAGATTAAACAAAACTGCGCTAACATATTCAAGTCTCCTGCTCCTATCAAATTTACCCACATTCCATTGGCTAAAGCAGAGTTTTGGTCGTCCCCAGGCCAGCAGAGGCCAAGTGGGGAGACTTGGCCAGACTGTAAGGAAGCACCAAAATCTCCTGTCCTCCAAAAACTGGTATCAAAGAAGGCCAAGTGAGAATATTCATCCTTCCTGGCAGTACCAGGCACACTGCACCCACATGGGAGCCTCGATTTCCATGGCCCCTTGGCAGTAATAAGACATCTCTCCCCTCCTGCTGGAGGGTGGGTGTCAGGAAGCCTGTGGAGAGGGCTGGGCCTTTCGCCACCAGCCAGCCATAATGAGGCTACCCTCTACCCCTATGGTGTCAGTGGAGGCTATTTGGAGAACACTCATGAGACACTCCTACCCCTCCCCTCAACCAGGGAGGCCTAGATGGGGGCTGGAACTTGCACCCCTGCCCAGCAGTAACAAGGAGTTCTCTCTCTCAGGTGTTAATAAAGGCCAAGTGGGAAACCTGGACTTCCAGCCCCACCTGGCAGTGGAACCCCCCTTCCCCTATCAGTGCAGTGTCAGAGGAAGCCAGTTAGAACAGAAAATTTATGTAAGATCAGACTCTCATGACATAATACCCCAAATTTCCAGGGTTCAATCACAAATCACTCATCATACCAACCACCAAGATCTCAAACTGAGTGAAAAGAGGTAATAAATGCTCATATCAATATGACAGAGATGTTAGAATGATCTGACAAATAGTTTAAGATAGTCATCATAAAAATCAATGAAAAACAACCAGATTTTTAAAAATAGGCAAAAGATTTGAATAGACATTTCTCCAAAGAAGATATACAAATGGCCAGTAAGCACCTAAAGAGATGATCGGCATCACTAAACATTAGGGAAATGAAAATTAAAACCACAATGAGATAATACCTTACACCCATTAGGATGGCTACTGTCAAAAAAAAACAAAAAACAAAAAATAACAGCGTTGGTGAGGATGTGGAGAAATTGGGATCTTTACGCGCTGTTGGTGGGAATATAAATGGTACTACTACTGTGAAAGCCAGTAGGGTGGGTCCTCAAAAAATTGAAGATATAATTACCATATGATGTAGCAATTCCACTTTCACCCAAAAACTGAAAGCAGGATCTAAGAGAGATATCTGTATGCCCATATTCATAGCAGCATTATTCACAATAACTAAAATGTGGATGCAACCCAAATGTCCATCAATAGATGAACAAGCAAAATGTGGTATATCATAAAATGGAATATTATTCTGCCTCCAAAGAGAAGGAAATTCTAACACATGCTACAATGTGGATGAACCTTGAGGACATTTTGCTACAGTCACAAAAATATCAAATTCTATATGATTCCACGTATGAGGTAGAATAGTCAAAACTAGGGAGACAGAAAGTAGAATGGTGGTTGCCAAGGGCTGGGAGGAGAGAGGAGAGAGGATGGGACATTATTGTTTAATAGGGATAGACAGTTTGAGTTTGAAAAGAGATGGATAGTGATGAGTTGTGTAACAATATGGATGTACTTAATACCACTGAACTATACACTTAATGATTAAGATGAGAAATTTTACATTATGGGTATTTTAGTACAATAAAAAAATAGAAAAGGCTGGGCATGGTGGCCTGTAATCCCAGCACTTTGGGGGGCCGAGATGGGTGGATCACCTGAGGTCAGGAGTTCAAGACCAGCCTGACCAACATGGTGAATCCCCATCTCTACTAAAAATACAAAAATTAGCGGGGCATGGTGGCGTGCACCTGTAATCCCAGCTACTCAGGAGGCCGAGGCAGGAGAATTGCTTGAACCTAGGAGGCGGAGGTTGCAGTGAGCTGAGATCACGCCACTGCACTCCAACCTGGGCAACAGAGCAAGACTCTGTCTCAAAATAAAAAATAAAATAAAATAAAAAAAAAAAGAAAAAAAAAATCAAGGTGCAATTATGACCATATTTGAAATGAATAAAAAAAGTCTCAAAGACATAGAAGATACAAGAATCAAGTGACAATTTTAGAAGTAAAAATACAATTAGTTAAATAGTTTTTAAAAACTCTCTCCTCTGGGTCTTTGTAGTCAGAAAAAAAACCCTTAAAGGATGATACTGAATATCATTGCCTCTAGAATCTGAAGTCTGAATTATTTCTTGCAAAATTGAAGAAATAATCAGTGAACTTTAAGATAGAAATT
This sequence comes from Homo sapiens, assembly GCF_000001405.40. Classification (NCBI taxonomy): domain Eukaryota; kingdom Metazoa; phylum Chordata; class Mammalia; order Primates; family Hominidae; genus Homo; species Homo sapiens. The sequence continues at coordinate 39,968,809 of NC_000006.12, forward strand.
ATGCAGTGTGAACAGACAGAAAGTAGACCAAAAATAATTAACAGAACCTCAGGGATTTGTGGAAGTATATTAAAAAAATCTAACATTTATATCACTGGTGTCCCAAATAGAGAGGAGAAGGAAGGTGAGTCTGAAAATGTTCTTGAAGAAATAGCGGCTACACAATCCTCAAATTTGGCAAAAGACATAAAACTACACATTCAAGCAGCTAAGAAAACTCCAAACAGGGTAAACCCAAAGAAATCAACACCAAGTCATATATACTCTAACTTGTGAAAACTATAGAAGGAGAGAGAGAGAGAAAAAAAAAAACTCTTGAAAACAGCAAGAGAAATGATACGTTAACTATATGAGAAAACCAACTTCAATGGCAATGACTTCCCATGAGAAGCTCTGGAGGCCAGAAGGAAATGGCACATGTTTCAAGTATGAAAGAAAAGAACTGTCTGGCATAATATTTTTCAAGTAGGAAAGAAAATAATTGTCAGCCAAGAATTCTACATTCAACCAATATATTCTTCAAGAATGAAGGGTAAATCAAGACATTCTCAGAAGGTAATGAAATAGTATCCAACAAACCATATACAGGATTTGTATGCTGAAAACAAACACTGATTAAATAAATCAAAGAAATGAATTGCGATACACTGTTCATGCATTAGAAGATATCAATAGTTAATATATAAATTCCCCCAGGTTTAAACGAATTTCTATCAAAGTTGTTCCAAAATTTAGACAGGAAGGCGAAGTAATTGGAATGATTCGATTTTATAAAAAAATGAAATGGAAGGAATATGTCTATCCAACTTTAAGACCTTATATAGCAATAGTAATCAAGTCTGTGATATTGGCAGAGATCAATGGAACAGAATAGAGAACTATACAAACAGATTAAAGGAGATAAATGATATTTCTCAATGGATGCCATTCTATGAAATTCTCAGCTAACAAGGAATACAAGGCAACTGCTTAATCCAACAAAGTGTACCTTCCAAAAACCCATAGGAAGTAACGTACTTCATAATGAGTATTCTTTTAAAATCAGGAACAAGATAAGGATGCCCATTACCACCATTACTATTTAACCCTGAACTGGCAATCCTAGGCAGTACAATAAAAAATAAATAAAAGTAATAACATTGGAAAGATAAAAGCAAAGCTTTCACTAATTGTATATGTTATAACTGTCCTCATTAAAAACTCAAGAGAAGCTAAAGATTACATGCAAAAATTAATGGTTACTTGCGGAAAAAATCTTTAATCCCAATATCCGTGATTTCTCCACTCATAAATAGCCAGCCTTCCCTTTTAGAGATAGGGGTATAAAACCTTTCCAATTGGCCATGGGAAGTCCATTCTTCTAATCAAGTTATCTGCTCTTCACAAAATTTCACAGAATCCCTATACAAATGATGCAGGTCCAAAATTCTTTAAGGCATTTTCTGCTATCTACACATTGCTTCTACTGGCTGTTGCTACTCTTATCACACTCGTTTTGGCCAAGTCTGGCCACTGCATCTTTCCTTCTTACAATTAGACTTAGGCTATGGTGTATCTTCCTGAAAGCTTTAGAGTAATAGAAGATGGTCACAAAGCAGAAAGGAAAAAAATTGATATTGGATACTGTATATCATTGCTTCTAGAATCTGAAGTCTGTGTGCATTCACAAGAGGTCTCCTCTAGGTTCTAGCCAAACCATCCCCTTCTCAGTCCTGAGAGCCCCTACCTTCCTTCTATCCCCTTTTTTTCTCCCCTCAAATAGATGCATTTTTTATTAACAGCTCAGGTTTTGATCCTAAGCCTTCATATATTTGCTTGCATGGCTGACCTACCCAATACGTAGACAACCCAATACAACTACTCTAAAAGAATAGCATTCAGTGTTGGTTCATCCCCTTCTCTTCCTTTTATGCCCTTGGATGATTGACAGCAGTATCCACTCTATATCATTTGGTCATGGCTCTCCTTCAGACAAAGCAATCAAAATAGATAAAACTTCATAATCTAAAGTTTCTTTGTTTTCTAGAATGACACTTGGTGCTTATATCTGGGAATGAGTTTTGGCTTTAATCTGTGATTATCTTTTAGGATTCTGCTACCAGCATTAGATAAAAACAGGCCAGAAGGTTCTTTATGTGACTGTCCTCTGTATACATATTCCAAGAATTAATGGCAGGGAATCAGAAGCAAACTGGCTAAGAACAAACAATTCAGAGGCAGATAAAATTACTCATAAACATCTATTTAAATCACACTGATATGGTTTGGCTCTGTGTCTCCACCCAAATCCCATCTTGAATTATACTCCCATAATTCCCACATGTTGTGGGAGGGACCTGGTGGGAGATGATTTGAATCATGGAGGCAGTTTTCCCCATACTCTTCTCATGGTAGTCACTAAGTCTCATGAGATCTGATGGTTTTATCAAGGGTTTCCGCTTTTGCATGTTCCTCATTTTCTCTTGCTGCTGCCATGTAAGAAGTGCCTTTCACCTCCTGCCATGATTCTGAGGCTTCCCCAGCCATGTGGAACTGTAACTCCAATTAAACCTCTTTTCCTTCCCCGTCTCGAGTACGTCTTTATCAGCAGCATGAAATGGGCTAATACTGGACATTGGTACCAGTAGAGGGGCGCTGCTGAAAAGATACCTGAAAATGTGGAAGCAACTTTGGAACTGGGCAACAGGCAGAAGTTGGAACAGTTTGGAGGGCTCAGAAGAAGACAGGAAAATATGGGAAAGTTTGGAACTTAGAGACTTGTTGAATGGCTTTGACCAAAATCCTGATAGTGATATGGACAATGATGTCCAGGCTGAGGTGGTCTCAGATGGAGATGAGGAACTTGTTGGGAACTGGAGCAAAGGTGACTCTTGTTATGTTTTAGTAAAGAGACTGGCGGCATTTTGCCCCTGCCCTACAGATTTGTGGAATGTTGAGCTTGAGAGAGATGATTTAGGGTATCTGGTAGAAGAAATTTCTAAGCAGCAAAACATTCAAAAGGTGATTTGGGTGCTGTTAAAGGCATTCAGTTTTAAAAGGGAAATGGCATCAAAATTTGGAAAGTTTTCAGCCTGACAGTTTGAAAGAAAACAAAATCTCATTTTCTGAGGAGAAATTCAAGCTAGCTTCAGATATTTGCACAAGTAATGAGGAGCCTAATGTTAATCCCCAAGACAATGGGGAAACTATCTCCAGGGCATGTCAGAGACCTTTGCTGCAGACTCTCCCATTCACAGACCTGGAGGTCTAGGAGGAAAGATGGTATTGTGGGCAGGTCCAGGGTTCTCGTGTTATGTGCAGTCTAGGGACTTGGTGCCCTGTATCCCAGCCACTCCAGCTGTGGCTGAAAGGGGCCAATGTAGAGCTTGGGCCATGACTTCAGAGGGTGCAATCCCCAAGCCTTGGCGGCTTCCATGTGATGTTGAGCCTGCAGGTGCACAGAAATGAGGAATTGGAGTTTGGGAACCTCCTCCTAGATTTCAGAAGTTGTATGGAAACACCTGGGTGCCCAGGCAGAAGTTTGCTGCAGGGCCAGGGATCTCACGGAGAACCTCTGCTAGGGGAGTGCAGAAAGGAAATGTGGGATTGGAGCTCCCACATGGAGTCCCTACTGGGGCACTGCCTAGTGGAGCTGTGAGAAGAGGGCCACCATCCTCCAGACCCCAGAATGGTAGATCCACCTACAGCTTGCACCGTGCACCTGGGAAAGCCACAGACACTCAACACCAGCCCATGAAAGCAGCAAGGAGGGAGGCTATACTGTGCAAAGCCACAGGGGCATAGCTGTCTAAGACCATGGGAACCCACCCTCCTGCATCAGTGTGATCTGAATGTGAGACCTGGAGTCAAAGGAGATCATTTTGGAGCTCTAAAATTTGACTGCCCTGCTGGATTTCAGACTTTCATGGGCCCTGTAACCCCTTTGTTTTGGCCAATTTCTCCCATTTGGAACAGCTGTATTTACCCAATACCTGTACCCCCATTGTGTCTAGGAAGTAACTAGCTTGCTTTTGATTTTACAGGCTTATAGGCAGAAGGGACTTGCCTTGTCTCAGATGAGACTTTGGACTACGGACTTTTGGGTTAATGCTGAAATGAGTTAAGACTTTGGGGAACTGTTGGGAAATCATGATTGGTTTTGAAATGTGAGGACATGAAATTTGGAGGGGCCAGGGGCAGAATGATATGGTTTGGCTGTGTCCCCACCCAAATCTCAACTTGAATTGTATTCCCACCTGCTCACATTTAGACATACCTATGTCATGAAAGGTGAGAAAATTAGTGAGCTGCTACTTCTTTCCACTTTCCTTCTCCCCTTCCCCCATCTGACTCACTGTATTAAACTTTAACGAAGTGAAAAGGATATTTTTGTTGTTGTGGTACCCTTCTACTAAAATGACTACTGTGCTTTTCTACAGATTAATTCTGTAAGAAACAAAAACTATTTATGATTATGATTATTTGGCTTTTATTTGTAGTGAATTCCAAGTGGGGTGATTGAACCCTTAGTGGAAGGAAGTGTGATGCTTTATAGCCTGTGCCACCTGAAGGGCACTGCACCAGGCATTGAGGTTACATAGGCTTTCTTTCATAATTTTCCAGCTTCCTTTGCTGTTCTAGGGTGAACTCAGTGCCTGTGATTTCTCAGGTTTCCCTCTCTCTTCTTTTGGGATGTGTTTCTTTTGGGAAGAAGTATATCCTTCATTTTTAACACACAAGGTTAGTTGGTTGTAAACTTTCTGAATCTTTGTAAATCAGAAGACATCTGTGGCTGCTGTGAGAATGTGTCCCTCAGAAGTTCCACTGCAGGGAGTATAATTGACCCACAGACTCTGGTGCTGCCTCTGAAATCCATCAGCATGTCCACACTGGGGCTTCTGAGAGGCTACTCCCAGCCAAAGACTGAGCAGGGAGACAATACTCCCCGGGGGCTTGAGGACTCCCTGCAGACTTTTCTAACTCTAAGACTGCAGTGCAGTCTAAATATGCCCACCCGCCCTGTCTTCCTTCACTCTCTCCTTTATAGGGGGTCAGATCATTATTGCTGACTGACAGCTTGCTGAGCCTATCCTGGCCTCGTATCTTTACAGGTGTTTGCTCTAATAAATTTCTTGCACACATAACCCTGTCTTGTAATGTTTCTCAAAGGACCTACCCTACCACATCATCTTTATACTTCCTTATACTTGATTTGATATTTTTGTCCCAGGGATTCTATAGCCATTTCTCTCAGATTTTTGAGGGCATTTTTCCACTGTCATTTAGCTTCCAGAATTGGATGAGGTCTTATGTCTTTTTGATTCTTGTTCCTTTGTGGAAAAAATTTTGCATCTCTGAAAGCTTTTAAAATTCTCTTTATCTTTGAGGTACAGAAATGTCACCAGTATATATCTAAGTGCATGTCATCTTAGAAGTTCAATACTTGATGAGCTCTTTTGAAGATGTATTCTTAGTGATTATCTTAATATTTCCATTCCTCTTGTTCCACTCTGTTTTTCCATTCTGTTCCTCTTTGACTTCTATTAAAACTGCCTCAGTTTTAAACTCCTTCATGTTTAAAACCCCATAACTACATATTTTGGAGAAAGAGTTGCATTTTGTTTTTTGTGGTAGTTAGTGGTAGAAATATGAGCAGGCCAGAGCAGGTTGTAGAACCAGAGCAGGATTTCCTGGGAGGAGAAGCCCCAGGAGAGCCACAGGAAAGCAGATCCAGGCCAGGTGCATGTGGCTGTGGATTCTCGCCAGGTGAGGCTCTGTGCTTAGAAAAGTGCTGATGCCCTTTGTGGTCGTGGGTCATTTGTTTCGGTACAAATTGTCTTTATTCTCTGGATTTACAATGATGAGAATATGCAATTGTGTAATGGGGAAAATTCACTGTATTCAAAAGTCACCCTGGCTGCCCCTTTTCCAGGACCCAGTGAGCCCGGAGTCTGGAGCAGAGCAGGCCACCTGTGATGGCAAAGGAGAGGTGCGTACCCAGAAGAGTCAGCTCAGAAAAGGCAGGCCTCAGAGAGAATGTGCCAGTCAACCCCTGTTTATTGGGATGCTAGAGGCAAAGCTAGTATGTATATGTGGCCCAGGGTTATTTTAGCACTAAATTTGCACGTATCACTAAGAACTGTGAAAACAGTTCTTGGGGGCTCAAGTGGGATCTCCTGAGCCCCATTCTCACTGATAGCCTCTCATTCCACTCACAGGAGGGGAAAGGAGCACTGGACCAGGAGCTATGAAATGAGTTTTAATCCTGGAGCTTAGGCAACTCGTTTCCCTTCAAGGCTCTTAGACCTCTCATTTGTCTGCCCAAGGGGTGGATCTGATGCTTCCCTCTTCCTGTGAAGTGCAGGATTTCCCAGGGCTGCTTTCTTCCTGTCCCCACTGGAGTGTCTTGGTCCTGGCCCTCTTCTGTCACCTCCATTGCACTAACTGCCTCCCTGCCAAACATCCAATGTCATCCCCCTCCACAACTCATGGTGGCATACATGCTTCCCCAATCACGCCTTTCTCCATGTCACAACCCTACTCAGAATCACTTTGCCACAGAACCATGATTTCTGGAAAGATACTTGCAGTGAATGGTCTGACAGAAAAATAGACATCTGAAATAGACAGAACTTGGGAAAACACAGGGTACTGCCTAAAGGATGAGGTCCAGACCCTTAAGCCTGTCCACCAGTGTCCTTTGAAATCCTTGACCCCAACAACTTAGTCTTCCTAGCATCATCAGAACCATCAGTTCCAGCCACACTGGCCTGCCCTTTATTTACCAAACATTCCAGACCCATCTGTACCTAAGGCTCCGGCTCGAAGCATTTCCTTAGTTGTAAAATCCCTCCTGCAACTGGCAGCCAACCCCCAGCCCAGCTTAAACCCAATTCCAGTTTTGAGCCCCTTATAAGGGTAAGGCCCTGTGGGGTAAGCAGAAGTGAACATGACCACTAGTGAACTAGCTGTGAGTCTAGTGTGAGTGACAGGCAAGGGCACTGTAATGACTGGCACAACAATAGAGGAAGAGAGTCTATGTAGACAGAGGAGACAGCAATGAATTCTGATTGGTAGAGGAACTGGGGCAGGGAGGAGATGGTCTAGAAAACCTCAAAGGCGATAGCATTTGAGCTGACATGTTGAAGCCTTCACGGTGAAATCCAGGCATAGGGATTAAGTTTGGCCTGTGGCCAAGAATGTACACAGTATTTTGGGGAGGGTTATGTTCCCCATACATAGTGGAGCACTGGTGTAGAGCAGGAGACAAGTTGGAGGACTGAGGAGTCAGACTGCAGTGGGTCTTACTTAAATGCCCTGCCATAAATGTGGACTTTCTCCAGAATAATCCTCTGAAGTCTATGAACAGGGAAACACTATGAACACCAGATCTGAGTTTGATAAGGTGGAAGGCAAATTAAAAGTGAGGAGGCTAGGAGCCTGTTCCCATTAGAGATGAACCAGTCTTTCTGTTTCCAAGGCCAGGACTAGGCAGCCCATTGAGGGCAGGATGAGTAGTTGGTGATCTGTGCAGGTTTTTGGCCACAGGGAGTCTGGGATACTGAGAATCCAGGTGGCAAATGTGGGACTCTGCCCAGAGAAGGAAAGCAGAGCTCCATCTCTGCTCCTCTGACAGAAAAAGAGAATGGAAGTCATTCTGATGTGAAGGAAAGGAAGTTCTCTCATTTTCTAATAAAGGAAAAGCTGTTTGTAGGATGTGAAGGGGTCAGGAATGGGGAAAGCAAAAGAAATACTGTGGGACCTGGTCAAGGAAACTACCCCGTAAAGGCTGAGTGGAGGACCCAGCAGCCCCAAGACCCTCTTGGGATGGAAAGTATGGATATGCAGGGTAAGCACGCTCCCCGGCTCCCTGGGCCATCTTAGTGACAGCCAGGCACATGGAGACAGTCAAAGGGCTCCTTCTGACATGCTTCCTTCACCTCCAGGACGTTGGTTCATCGAGGTTTCCTTCTATTCTTTTGGTGACTTTGTCAACATCCTTGCTGGTTTTCCTACCCCTCTGGACTCTAAACATCAAGATGTCCCCAGGGCTCCATTCTTATACCTCTTATTTATGCCCACTCCTTAGAAAATCTCATGTGGCACTGTGGCTTCAGACATTATTGGTAATCTGATGACGCCATTTTTTTTTTCTTTTTGTTGAGATGGAGCTTCGCTTTTGTTGCCCAGGCTGGAGTGTAGCTGGAGTTGCTCACTGCAACCTCTGCCTCCTGGGTTGAAGCGATTCTCCTGCCTCAGCCTCCTGAGTAGCTGGGATTATAGGCGCCCGCCATCATGCCCAGCTAATTTTTTGTATTTTTAGTAGAGACGGGGTTTCACCATGTTGGCCAGGCTGGCCTTGAACTCCTGACCTCAGGTGATCCACCCGTGTTAGCCTCTCAAACTGCTGGGATTACAGGCGTGAGCCACTGCACCTGGCCACCCCATGTTTATATTGTATGTTAAACTGCCTACTTAATAGCTTACTTGACTGTCTAAGAGACATCTCAAATGTGTCTAGGAAACAACTTCTAATTTCCTTGTCACTCTGCCAACCTACTCCTTTAATCCCCCATCTCTTAAGATGGCAACACTCTTCACTTTGGAGTCACTCTGGATTTGTCTCATGATTCCCTGTAACTCATGCCCGGTTCTTTCACAGATTCTGTGGGTTCTACCTACAGTCCGTGTCCTGCACCTGAGCCCTTCTCATCACTGCCACCCTCCTCGCATGAACCCCCACTTCTCCCCAGGATTTCTGCAACAGCACCTGCATTGGAGGCTCTTTTCTCTAGTGATCACATCACTCCTGCTGAAATATTCCCTCTCCAATGGCTTCCCATTACACTTAGAATTCAAATACAGCTCATGAGGCCCTATGTGCACCCATTCCCAGCTTTCCACTTCCTACCACTCCTCCTCTCGGTTAGTTCACACAGCCACACTGTCTTCCTACCTCAGGGCTTCTCCTCCTGGAGTTGTTTTGAGATGGAGTCTCTCTCTGTCACCCAGGCTGGAGTGCAGTGGCGTGAGCTCAGCTCACTGCAAGCTCCGCCTCCTGGGTTCATGCCATTCTCCTGCCTCAGCCTCCCGAGTAGCTGGGACTACAGGCACCCACCACCACGCCCGGCTATTTTTTTGTATTTTTAGTAGGGATGGGGTTTCCCTGTGTTAGCCAGGATGGTCTCGATCTCCTGACCTCGTGATCTGCCCGACTCGGCTTCCCAGAGTGCTGGGATTACAGGCCGCCTGGCCCTTGGAGTTTTCTTATTCAAGATATTCTCCTGGCTCACTCTTTTACTTCATTCAGGTCAAAGAGTTCTTCCCTGACCCCTCTTATTACTCTGCTTTGTTTTCATAGCTTTTATGACATTTTATTGCATTTTTTTACTATATATTTATTGTTTATATGAAAATTTTCTACACAGGCCCCAGAAGGAATTTTATTCCTCACTAATGTATCCTTAGCATCTAGAAGAGTGGCTGGGGCCCATGGCAGGTATTTAAAGAATATTTAAGGAATGGATGAAAAGCATGGGTTGCATTTAAACTGGGACTTGACAAGGTGGAAAGATCAAGGGCATCGGGGATATGAGGAAGTTGTTAAGAATATAGCTGGCCATGGATTCATAGGAAAATATGAAGGTAGGGAGGTAAGGAGGCTGAGTAAGCTGGGAGCTGGGAGATGGGTGGTGGTAGGGGTGGGTCAAGGAATCAATGAGTGGGTGTAGCAGAAGGAATGGGAGACAGGAACTTGTAGTAAAAGGGAGGCTGGAGTTGGATATTCTAGAGAAAAGAAGTATGAGTCAATTGAGTGATTATGAATTTTCTCAGAATGGTGACTACATTTTCCTCATCTATCTATCTTCTGTGGTCAGTATTGAGTTTGGCACATACCACTCAATAATTCATTGGTAAGCTGGGTGCTGTGGCTCATGCTCATAATCCCAGTACTTTGGGAGGCTGAGGCAGGTAGATTGCTTGAGCCCAGGAATTTGAGAGCTGCCTGGGCAACATTGCAAGACCCCGTCTCTGCAAACGAAAAAATTAGGCATGGTGGTGCATGCCTATGGTCCCAGCTACTAGGGAAGCTGAGGTGGAGGATCACTTAAGCCATGGAGGTCAGGCTTCAGTGAGCTGCAATCATGCCATTGCACTCCAGCCTGGGCAACAGAGTAAGACCTTGTCTCAAAAAAGTATTAGTCCATTGGTAAATGAAGAAACCCTATTTCCACCAGACTCTGGGGACACAGTTTTATTCTGGTTCCTTGTATTTCCCAAATGCTGCAATGAGAACATGTTATTCTTATGCCCTGTTCCTGTCACAGTCAATGCTTCCCCTCCATTCATTGCCACAGGGGACACCTCCCTTCCTCTTACAGGATCCTGGGCAATGCAAATCAGGCCACCTGAGGGAGATAGAAAACCTTGCCTGATGTTGCCCAAAAACTGGTGGCAGGATCAAGATGCGGCCACTTTATTGGTTATAATAGCAGGTTCAACTAGATTTCCTCAAATTCTCAATTTCTGATACTAAGATTTTAGACTTATTCTAAATGTCTCTGCAGGACTTATTTTTGAATTTGCACTTTCCAGTTTCTGCTATTTCTTTTCAACTACTAAATAGCTTCCTCCTTCATTGTTCCTAGAGTTTTGCATAGAAGATCCAGATTAACCCTCTAGGTATCTCCCCATAACCTTGACATTCTCTGTTCAGTTCTACTCAGCAAGCTCTTATTGCATGCCTACTCTGTGCTAGGGCCTGTGCTGGGTGCATGAAGTCTGCAACTTAGCAATGTTTAACACAGGCACCATGATGCAAGTAGAGAACTGAAATCCAGGCCTTCTTCTCTGTGGACCCGAGCCATTGCCTCCTCTCAGGCCAGCTCAAGTCTTGCCTCTGCAGAAGCCATTCAACTCCCTCTTTTTTTACGTTCTTTCCCAGGAGATGGGTGGAAAAGACAAGCCCAGCCTCTCAGAAAAACAGGGTGAAATCTTCAGCCAACAAGAGAATAAACATAATCTTTGGCAATCTTGCAAAATTCATGACCAAAAATAGACCCAAAGCAAAACAAACACATCCCTTTACTCTTTCACTCCTGACAATTAAAAGGAGACCAAATCAGTCTATTTCAATAATTTTGATTCCATATTACACGAAAGACAGGAAGTCATGTCCACCAAGTGACCTGAAAAATATGGACACTTTCTACTTTTTCATGGAGTTTTCACTGTATTCTTTTTGTTTCTATCTCTTTCTCCCTTCTGCCCACTCTTCCTTCCCCTCCCATCCTCCTCCCTCAGTTCTGTTCCAGGCTGAACATAGCATACAGCAAGTGGATGATGTCCAAGGCAATTCCTGGGTCTAGAAATCCATCAAGAATGATGCCTGGAGTCCAGATCAGAGGATCCTGAATCATCTGCCCTTTTCTCAAAGTGAGGAACAAAGCAGTGAGACTTGGCTCTCTAGTTGTTTTTCTCCTACCCAGCCTCAAACCTGGCCATGTCTCAGAATTAAGCACTGGAAAAGAGAAGAAGCACAACTCACTTTGGTGGAACTTCATCCAAAGTTGCAATAGAAATATTGTTCTTCTGACCCTAGGTTTGAAAAAAGTGGATAGAAGTTGGGGTATAGAAATAAGTAGAATTAGAAGTAGGGATGATTTTCTCCAATAGAAATATTTCATCAGCCTTTGGACTGTAGAGCAGAAAACTTTTGTCTTCATAGAACATTGAATATGTAAGAGAGCCAGTTGATGACAACTGCTGATAGTGAGGGGAGACGGTAGGGGCAGGGGGTGGGGATGATGTCCTGGTAATGGTAATAGCCAATACCCTTGACAATGACACTAGTAGCTCAGACACTAGAGGACATCTGGTGATGGTGGCCTTTTCAGCATAGATAACAATGTCCCCAGTATCTTACATGGGCTTTGGTATCTCATTAAGCAAGGAGCTGTAATATTTAGAGATGAATGCCAAAAGAACACATCATTCCAGTGAGTGAACATATAGTTGATAAAAAAATAAACATGGCATACATTACAGTCACCCAGATGACTGGAGTTGTCAACTGGCACTGACAATTTCTAAAATCACTAGGGAGGAATATGAGGGGGCTGAAGGCCACTCAAAATAGACAGTGAAAGATCCAGAGGAATGCCATGTTTGGACACTATTGCCATCCTATGTTTATACCAAGATGACGAACAGAGCCAGGAAGCACGGATGTACTGTTTTAGATGAAGGCCACAGAGGCTGATATGTGAGCACTGCTTGCAGGTTACAAAGCCTTATTCCCATGTAGGGAACTATGTTCATGTGCATGGCAGTGGAAGACTGGGGTCAAAGAGACAGTCACTGAGAGACCAAGCAGAGAATGGGACATTTCTGTCTTTTATAGAAGCTGTGCAGTGGGTGGCGGGGAAGAGGGGTGTTGATCCTGTGAGATGATTTCCAAAGGTTCCCACTAGGTGGAAGTGTTGGTTAGTACATGAGTCAGCAAAGGTTTCTCAATGAACCAATTTTTTTTTTTTTTTTTTTTTTTTTTTAAGGGCTGAATGGGAAATGCCACTGTCACAGATAAGAAGATGGGGGTGGGGAGTAAGGGGTAGGGTTGGTGGTCAGGGAGGCAGTAACTTGGTTCAAGATCACCAAGGAATAGCACTGTCCCATCCTCCCTTGCCTCAGACTTCTAAGGACAAGGCAATGAGCTCAGATTCTGCTTCCAGTTATTTTTAACTTCTAATCTCTACTTCTACCACTGAAAACAAGAAGTGCCAGTCTAAGACCTATTAGTTGTTTTGATGGAATAGAGAGGTTAAGGGTCTTAGACGGTAAACCCTGTGGCTCCCCATCGCCTGTGAGATAAAGTTGAAATGCCGTAACATGGCTTGTGAGACATTTTCCTGCTGCAGAATTTCCTTACTTTTACTAGTCTGTTACTTGAAGCTCCTTAAATTCTCCCATGATGCTTTTTGGGTTCTGAAAACCTATGCCTTTAATAGGTATTGCTTCTTTGGGAAGCATCACCTGACCTATTTATGGAGATTTGATCACCGTTGACTTTGTGGCATTCCTTTACCTAATCTGTACTGTGAAGGATTTAGGTCAGAGGTTGTATGATGGCCAGGGACCCAGAACCACCACACATCTTCTCTACTAAATCAGTCAGGACTCTGTTGCTTGTGACAGAAATCCAATTAAGTCTACCCTAGACAAAAAGGAAATGTTTTTGGCCTCAGGGAGGGCATGGGTACAGCTGGGAAAGACTGGATGAGTGACAGTTATATTTTCTGGAACATTCTCACCGATTTTTCTATTGCTTTGAATGTCAAATTCTTTCTTTCTTGTGAAAGACTGACTCTCTCTGGTGGGAGATGGGGTCCTGGCTGCTTTATGCTCATCTCTTACCAACTTCACTACAGGAAAGGTAAAGGCTCTTTACAACCAGAATTCAGTTTAACAAGGACTGACACTGGCAAAAGATGAGCATATGCTCAAAGCAGGGCCAATCATTACTGTTGCTCTGATTGGCTTATCTTGGGCCACTTGCCCACCCTATAGAGTGTGATTGACAATCTCACTCAAACTGCATGATTAAAGTCAGAATAGAGTTTTTCAAAAGGAAAGTGCTCTTACCAAAAGAAAAAGTTTTTCTTTTCACTGGGTAAAGAATAGTGGATGTCTAGTCTTCTGCTCCCCAAAGAGACATTTATAAAAAATGAAGTCAGAACTCAAAGTGTCTCTTTATTACTTGACAGATCAGTGTCTTAGTCCATTTTGTATTGCCATAAAAGAATACTATGGATTAGGTAACTAGGAAAAGAAACTCATTTCTTATAGTTCTAGAGGCTGGGAAGTCCAAGATTGAGGGTTTGCATTTGATGAGGGTCTCCTTGTTACATACCATGCCAGAAGGCATCACATGGAAAGAGAGGAAGAGAAGAGGGCAGAACTCATCATTTTATCAGAAACTCACTCTGATAATGGAATTAGTTTATTCATGAGGGAAAAGCCCTGAGGACCTAGTCACCTCTGTTTATACCCCACCTCCCAACACTGTTGCATTGGTGATTAAGTTTCCAACACATGAACTTTGAGGGATATATTCAAACCACAGCAGTCAGTGACATGTAACCTTCAATACAGAGCTCTGAATTAAACACAAGGCTGGGGTTTGAGGTTTTGGCACAGATTGCTACCTACCCTCCACACTCAAAGGCCATGGATTAGAAACCAAGATACTTAGCTAAAGAGAGCTGAGCTTCAAACTGCAAGCAGGAAGGAATTTGATGAAGACACTCAAATAATAAAGATCATGAAAAACTTCCTAGAGCTCTCATTCCAGTTGACAGAATGAGTGCGCTGAATCAGGACCCTCTTATAGGCCTAGTCCTTCATCAACTAGTAAATGAGACCCAACCAACATCTCAGCAATATCTTTAGATGCAACAGGTCTTCCTTGTGTGTTGAGTAGAAATTAAGATGGAGAGGGTTGGTTGGTGGGAGTGGTGGAAGTGTTTCCTCATCAACATTTACTTGCTTTGTGTTTTATCAGAACTGTGAGCTCAGGTTTATTGTCCTCACTCAAGGCTATAGTCAACCAGGAATGAGACCTGCTCCTTCACTTGGGCAAGTTCCTCCCTTCAAGGTAAACACTTAAGGCTGCTTCCTAGTACCACTGACTTTTATAAATTCCTGAGCCCAGAGAAATGGGCAGTTCTTCTGTTGGCTCTAGTCTAGAAGCTTCTGAAATGGATAAACCAACACATTTGGCCCAAGCTCATAGTCAGATATTGACCCCTCAATTTTATTTCTTAACTCAAATTGTTGCCTGCCATGGATAAACCTGGTTCACTAGAACAGTGGGTACCTAAAGTAGCACACATAGAATACTCAGTGTGAAAAATGTCCCAAACAAACCATATGAATCTTCTCCCTTTATTAAATTCTCTCAGATATTTAAGCTCCAGTAATGAACCCTTTATTTGTTGCCATGGAGAAAATAAAATCTCCCTTCCCTTGGGGAAATTAAAATCCTAGATAAATTAAAGGCCAAAAGTCACTGTAATTTTCTTATTTTGCTCAACCTAAGCTAGGGACAGTCTCACTGTGTTGAGTCTGCTTACTCCCCTAGCCCTAGCCCCACTCCTCATCTTTCTCAGATCATTTCCTGCACCTCTCTGCCCAGGAAGCTGGTGCCTGCGAAGTGCATCCTGGAACCCCCTTCCTAGCTGGCTTTTCTCTCAACAGGTTCAGCCAGTAAGAGACACTGATAGGAGATTGACAGGTGGGAAAAGAAGATGAACTATTTCTTCCAGCTTCCTTCCTGCTTTGGGCCACATTTCTGGCAGTGGCTCTGAACTTGAATAAGCATAGATCTGTTCAGCAGCCCCTATTCCTCAGTTCTAGCTCTGATGAGCTAAGATAACCCTATTTCCTCTTATGATTCAAGGGATTACCAGGTTCCTACAGATGCTAGCCTTGGGTGCCTCAACAACCTGGTTGATTCTCTTAATCCTGCCCACACCTCTGAAAATCCTTCCATTAAGTCCTCTTCCTTTGAACCATATGAGTTGCATTCTCTTTCCTGCCATGAGCTTGACTTAATACTCCCTATGTACCTGGCACCAGGAAGCCTTGGAAGAGGGGGCCCTTCTCCAATGGCAGCATCCTGGGATGTCTTCCACTGGAGGGGATGGAATTATTTTAGCACTTTCACTGTTAAATTCCAACCTTGAGTCTCATCTGTTCCACTTTTCCTAAGGGTAGTCTTCCAAATAAATGGTAGATAGAACCTATGGATGTCATAGCACCAGTTCTAGACCTATACCATCTAGGTACAACCATAGCATTTCCTAAACAAGCATAATGTTTCCAGAACACAGCATATATTGCTGTCTCTAGCCTCACATTGCTGTTGCCAGCTACAGACACTAACACAGATGCAGGGCTCTCTGGGCGAATTGAAGTAGACAAAGCAAAAGAAGAGAAAGTCTGGATCTGGGCTTCACTTTTATAGGATGCCAGTTGTGGTCTTTAATAATGCTGTTCACCAATATTCACCTTCTTCACTCCAGGCACATATTAAAAAAAAACACCTATTTCCTGGTTCCTGGTTGGTTTGGCTCATATAACTCATGAAGTCCAAAATGATGAGCAGAAATGACCGGAAAAAATGTCTATTTGGGATAGAGGATTTAGTTTTTGGTGGGAGGCTCTCCAGAGTGTTCTTTATGGGCATTATGACCTGGCAAGTTCAGGTGGATGCTTCACCAGCCTGAGTGGTAATGAGCAGAACACTCAGGCCAACCCCTTATGGACATGAAGCATGAGAAAGAAATAAACCTTTGAGCCACCAAAATTTGGGGGTTGTGTTACTACAGTACAATCTAGCCTATCCTGATATAAAATATTTTTTAACATAGCAGAAGTCCAGTAACCTCATTGACCTTTACCATTTGCTTCTCTTAAGCCTTTCAGAAGCCCAACTTGAATAACTATAGAAGCCAACTGTGATTCTGTGAAATATATTTTTAGCTCTTTTTCTCAGTTTCCAGACATATACATACACATCTATGGCTTCTAAAATCCTTGGAACCTCCAGAGTTTCTGGAGCGTCTTTGGTATACTAATGAGATGATCGATGGCTGAGTCACTTAAGTAGCTTCAAGGTTGGGAGCTGGTCACTGGAAAGACCATGACAGGATTAGAGGGTTGGAACTTTTAGTTCCATCCCCAGCCTCCTGAGAGGGAAATGTGGCTGAAGGTTGAGTTGATCACCAATGGACAATGATGTAATAAATAGTGCCTGTGTGAAGAAGCCTCCATAACAACCCAGGACTAAGATCAGGGAGCTTCTGGATAGCTAAACTCAACACATGAGGGTGCCTGGAAGATGTTGCCCAGAGAGGGCATGGAAGCTTCTTCCCACATGCCTTACCTTGTGTGTCTCTTCCATCTGACTGTTCACCTGTACCCTGTGTAATATCCTTTATAATAAATGGGCAAATGTGTTTCCCTGAGTTCTATGAGCCACTCTAGAAAATTAGTCAAGTCCAAGGAGGGGCTTATGAGAACTCCTGCTACAGGGTCAAAGTGTAGGCAGCAACTACTACTTGCAGCTGATACCTGAAGTGGGGGGCAGTCTTGTGGGACTGAGCCCTCAGCCTGTGGTGTCTGATGCTATCTCCAGGTAAATAGCATCAGAATTGAATTAAAGGACTCCCAGCCTGTGTCTGCTGGATAATTGACTAGTTTTGTGTGAGGAGAAATCCCCACACATTGTAGTGGCCAGAGGTGAAGTATTCTGTGTTGATTGTTGAGTAAAGGAATAGGAAAAACACCTTTGACTTTTTCTGGTATCTTAGACTGCCCCTAGTTCATGCTTTAGAAACCCAGTGAAATACATCAGAACCTCAGCTCCACATGCTGCAAAATCTCATCTTACTTTAGCCTTTGGATTCCCTAGGCCTTGGTTGATTTTACTACTCCAAAGGAAGCATAAAAATCCCTTTCCTCTGCTGTGTTGCTTGCAACATCAGAACTATAGTCCCCCTGGAGAAGCAAAAAATTCCTGAGCAGCATTTGAGAATATATATTTTTTTGAGAGGAGGGAGGAGGAGTTGTGGTAGCAAAAAGCCATTACGCCCACCAAAGATTAAAGGAGTTCTTTTGAATTACACTTGCTCTGGCCCAGATGAGAGCCCTGCCCTTCTCTATCTGGAAAGAGGTTAGCATGCAAGGCCTCATGGTAGGTGTAGCCACTTCCAGTTTAATGTCCCAGAGTGAGACTCCCCTGACCCTAAAAATTCCAATGCAGGCCAAGATCTAAACTCAATTTATGATCCTAGGCCAGCTATACATCAGAGACCTCAACTTTCCAATATAGTGCTTAACTCCCAAATTCTACACATGTACTCACTTGATCTGCCATGATTATAGTTAATAGCATTCGGTGATATTTCCATGGGATCCAAGAATGTCAGTCATCCCTTCAGTTCACAATGATCCTTGGAGGAGGATAAGGAACAGGAACTGAATGAAAAGCAATTACTGCTGATTGTTAAGTGGAATAGGACCTCCCTGCTCTGGTATTACTCTTTGCAAAAGCTGGGTAAGAGGTATCAGAGGACATGACAGCCAGCTTTCAAAATGGTCCTCAATGATCCCCACCTTACTGGTATTCAGGCTCTTGTGTAGCCCCCTCTTGCTTTGTACCAGGGGTTGGTTCTGCAACCCCAATATGCAGCAGAAGTGATGGCATTCCACTTATGAAATTAGGTTATAAAAGACGCTGCAGCTTCAGTTTTGGGTTCTCTCTCCCTCTTGGGTCATTGGCCTGACAACAACCATGTGAGTGAGCTTGGAACAGATCCTCCAGGCCTGGATGCTTGAGGTCTGGTCCCAGTCAACAGCATGACTGTAGCCTCCAGAGCCAGGACCAAACTAAGCTATTCCTGAAGTTCTGATCCTTAGAAACTAAAAAAAACAAAACTTTAAATGGACACAATTATACATATTTATGGGGTACATAGTGATGTTTGTTGTTTTAACCTGTTAAATGTTGAAGGATTTTCTTCATAGTAATAGATAACTAATAAAAGGCCAATGGCTCTTTGAATCCTGGGACCTTCCCAAGCTTCTGATAGCTTTATTGTACTGGAGCTTGAAGCAACATTCAGCCTCTTGGCTATGCTTTTGGGATTGGGAAGTATGGGCTTGGGGACTAGTAAGCATGGCCCGCTGAACTTTTTTTAGGTGCAGGGGGTCAAGAGAATAGGAAGAAAATGGGCATGTAAACAGATCTATGATAGGGGAAGGGGGTTTGAGATTTGCGTTTTTATATATACCTATACTAATACTGATCTTTTCTGTATTGTTTTTGTTGTTGCTTGAGCTGGGCCTTGCCCATTGTACAGACAATGCCTCACCTCTGTCTCTCCCAAATGTACCTATGTACATGCATAGATACAGGATGGGAATTTTTGCTTTGTAATTTGGGGGAGCAATTTTGGTTGGGTTGGAAAGAAAGTAACAAAGGTAGTCTGAGATCTTCTTCAGGAAGAAAGTGTAACAAAGGCAGTCTGAGGTCTAAGTCCTGTCCAGCCTCAACAGAGAGAGAGAGAGGTCAGACCTGCTCTTCAGGAGACACTGATACACAGAGCAAGGCTCTTGAGCCTCTGGGCCCAGGAGAACTGTTCTGGAGTTGGAGAGGAGGATTTTCTTCTTCCCCTTCCTGCTAGCATCCAGGAACTTGGGTATCTCTAGGATGGAAAACCTAGTATACATGCCCTGGGTGCATACTTCAGGAGGTGGCATGCCCTACCACCGCCCGCCCGCCCCACCATAAGTCCCCAGAAGCAAAGCAGCTGAGACCCACCCCAAGTTAAACCCCCCTCTTGAAGTACCTGGAGTGCTTTTTTTTCCTGACTGGACCTTTGTTGACACAGACCCTATTGCCTAGGAAATCAGCGGAGGAGGAAAATGAAGCTAATAAACATGAGACTCTAGAATAAAGTAGCATAGAACTGAAATAACTTTTACATCTTACCAGGAGCACATACCAGTCATATAGTTCTGGGCTTCCAGCCACCTGTCCTGAGTCTCCAACCTGGTCCGCTCCAAGTCATAGGCATATGTCTGAAAGGTCAGCCCTCTCATTGCATGGCAGAGTATAGGAGCCAGAATTTGGAGATGGTTTCAGAAAAGCAGAACCTTAGGCAGAAAGTGCTGCACACTTGCAAGAATGCCTTGCCCTGCCTGCTTCAGTATTTCTACAAGCAATGTCCCAGGTGAGGGTTTCCTTTAAGGTAGGCCAATCCTATGTTATGGAAAGAATACAGACTCACCTTGAGTATTTAATTTTTTTTTCTGGGAGGTTTGAAGCATAAAGAAAAATAAGAATTTATAATACATGAAGCAAACAATTCTTGGCACCAGGAAAAATCAAACTAAGCAATGGTTGGTTTCAGCGCAACTCAATCACCTTTACATTTTGGCGAACAGCTCCTATAGGAAGCCTGTAATTTTCTTTTTAAAAGGTGTTTTTTCTTTCCATGTTAATTTTCTAAAATCTGAAGTTGAAAACGAGATACCAATACTAAAACCCATTTATGGTTCCTTGGTATATTTGATTGGATGATACTGATTTTGTTGGGTTTCTAATGTGGCCATATTGCACATGGGGAGAATCATGTCTGTGCTGCCTGTAGGGAGGAGTTGGTCTCACCCATCCCTGGGAGTGGGATCATCTTCATTTGCAGGTAAGATGTGATGCACTGAAGTGAAGGGAAATAACTGAGGTTATTTCACTGTAACAATTTTCTATAAGCAAGATCTCCTGGAAGCAAACAAAAAGTTATTGAGAGTTACCTTATGACATTCCATTGCATATGAGCTTCTCAAAAAAAAAAAAAAAATGAACCAGAGTTTTTAAATTTCCATGTGGGGAAAAATATACATAGCTATGGTAATAAACATACAAACCCCAAAATGTATGCATTATAGTCAGTAATTTTTTAAAAAATATTTTAACTTTTATTTTAGGTTCATGGGTACATGTGCATGTTATATAGGTAAACTTGTGACTTTGGGATTTTGGGTACAGATTATTCCATCACCTGGATGCTAAGCATAGTATATGAGTTGTTTTTTCTTAACCTCTCTCCTCCTACCCTCCCCTTTCTGATAGGCCTAGTATCTGTTTTTCCCCTGTATGTGTCCATGTTATGAGTTAGCTCTCACTTATAAATGAGAAGATGAGGTATTTGGTTTTCTGTTCCTGTGTCAGCTTGCTAAGGATAAAGGCCTCCAGCTCCATCCATGTTCCTGCAAAGGACACGATCTCCTCCTTTTATGGCTACATAGTATTCTGTGGTGTAAATGTACCCCATTTTATTTATCTAGCCTATGACTGATGGGCATTTAGGTTGATTCCATGTCTTTGCTACAGTGAATTTTACTGCAATGAACATACATGTATATGTGCCTTTATGGTAGAACAATTTATATTCCTTTGGGTATACACCCAGTAATGGGATTGCTGCTCAAGTGGTAGTTCTGTCCTCAGTTCTTCGAGGAACTACCACACCACTTCCCACAATGGTTGAACTTATTTACACTCCCACCAGCAGTGTATAAGCAGTCCCTTTTCTCTGCAACCTCTCCAGCATCTGTTATTTTTTGACTTTTTAATAATAGCCATGCTGAAGGCTGGGTGCAGTGGCTCACACCTGTAACCCCAGCACTTTGAGAGGCCTAGGCAGGTGGATCACCTGAGGTCAGGAGTTCAAGACCAGCCTGGCCAACATGGTGAAACCCCGTCTCTACTAAAAATACAAAAATTAGCTGGGCATGGTGGCACATGCCTGTAATCCCAACCACTTGGGAGGCTGAGGCAGGAGAATTGCCTGAATCCAGGAGGTGGAGGCTGCAGTGAGCTGAGATCGTGCCACTGCACTCCAGCCTGGGTGACAGAGACCCTGTCTCAAAAAAAAAAAAAAGCCATTTTGACTGGTGTGAGATGGTATCTCATTGTGGTTTTGATTTGCATTTCTCTAATGATCAGTGATACGGAGTTTTTCATATGCCTGTTGGCCTCATGTATGTCTTTTGAGAAGTGTTCTTTCCTTTGCCCACTTATTAATGAGATTGTTTGCTTTTTGCTTGTATGTTTAAGTTCCTTCTAGATTCTGGATATTAGATCTTTGTCAGATGCACACTTTGCAAATATTTTCTCCCATTCAGTAGGTTGCCTGTTTACTCTGTTGATAGTTTCTTTTGCTTTGCAGAGGTTCTTTAATTAGGACCCACTTCTCAATTTTTGCTTTTGTTGTAATTGCTTTGGCATTTTGTCATGAAATCTTTGCCCATTCCTATGTCCAAAGTGGTATTTCCTAGGTTATCTCACAGAGTTTTTATAGTTTTATGTTTCACATTTAGGTCTGTAATCCATCTTGAGTCGATTTTTATATATGGAGTTGATTTTTATATATGGTGTAGGGAAGGAGGTTCAATTTTCTGCATGTGGCTAGCCAATTATCCCAGCATCATTTATTGAATAGGAAGTCCTTTCACCATTGCTTGTTTTTGTCAGTTTTGTCAAAGATCAGATGGTTGTAGGTGTGTGGCCTTATTTCTGGGCTCTATATTCCATTCCGTTGGTCTATGTGTCCATTTTTATACCAGTACCATGCTGTTTTGGTTACTGTAGCCCTTTGGCATAGTTTGAAGTCAGATAGCATGATGCTTTCAGCCTTGTCCTTTTTGCTTAGGACTGCCTTGACTATTCAGGCTCTTTTTGGTTCCATATGAATTTTAGAATAGTTTTTTCTAGTTCTGTCAAGAATGTCATTGGTAGATTGATAATAGTATCAAATCTTTAAATTGCTTTGGCAGTATGGCCATTTTAACAATATGGATTCTTACTGTCCCTGAGCATGAAATGTTCTTCCATTTGTGTCATCTGATTTCTTTGAACAGTGTTTTGTGGTTCTCCATTGTAGAGATCTTTCACCTCCCTGGCTAGCTGTATTCCTAGGTATTTTATTCTCCTTGTAGCAATCGTGAACAGGATTTCATTCCTGATTTGGCTCTTGGCTTGGGTGCTATTAGGGTAACTGAATGCTACTGATTTCTGTACATTGATATTATATCCCAAAACTTTAAAGTTGCTTATGTGCTCAAGGAGTTTTTGGGCTGAAACTGTGGGGTTTTCTAGATGCAGAATATCATCTGCATATGGGGATAGTTTGACGTCCTCTCTTCCTATTATATTTGGATGCCTTTTATCTTGCCTGATTGCCCTGGCCAGGGCTTCCAATAGTTTATATACTTGCAGATGTTGAGATAAATGTCAAAATACTTCAGCCTTGTACTATGTATGTATATGCAAAATTTTGTGTGTGTTTATTTTGCTCATTATTAAAAGCCTGTGGCTTTATTATTATATGGTTTGGAGGACTTAACTCTTATTTGTGGATTTTATATATGTCTTTTCAAATTTTTGCCAAAAGTTCTGCTGTTATTGTTTAAGGAGATTAGTCAGGACATTGAAATATTAAAATGTTTTCAGAAATTAAGAGAAACATGTACAAGAATAAAGTCATAAAAATACTCTATTTTTTGAGACAGTCTTGCTCTGTCACCCAGGCTGGATTGCAGTGGTGCTATCTTGGCTCACTGCAACCTCCACCTCCTGCGTTCAAGCAATTCTTCTGCCTCAGCCTCCCAAGTAGCTGGGATTACAGGCATGCACAGCCACGCCTGGCTAATAAGCCACCATGCCCGGCCTAAAAATACTTTTTAAATCATGCAGTGGAGATGCTTGGAATATTAGGGTAACATAAATCTGCTTTTCCATTTGACAATGACTTAAACACTGAATATTGGCACTAAACTTTTAAGAACAATTATATTGAATAAAAAAAGAAATATCAATTTAATTAGCTGTTTGTCCCACTTCATTTTTACCTTTTAGGACTCAGCTTCCTCACCTGTAAATTGAAAATCTTATCTAAGATTTCTAAGGCCAGAAGGAAACAAGGGTCTGTTTTTAAAAATTCTTTGATGTCTGAGAAAACCCAGGTTCTCAAAATCAATCACGTAACAGCTTTATCTTTACTAGCTATAGGTCACTAGTTCTCAAAGTTGGCTGAACACTGAAATCGCCTGGGGAGTCTTAAGCCAGAATCCAGGAGTGAGAGCTGGACTTTAGCCAGAAAGTTTAATTGGCTTTGGGTGTGGCCCTTACATTGGGAGTTTCAGGAGTGCTCCAAGTGATTCAAATGTGTAGCAAAATTTGAGAACCACAAGCCTAGGTCATGTATTAAAATCATCTAGGTTGCTTCTTAAAGGTGCAGCTGCTTTCTCCCTCTCAAACTTCCTGCCACTGTGTTCTCACCTTACTGCTCCAGCCTCTGGGGCACATTCCAGTCTTCCAACCTGCGACCAGCAGAGAAAAGAATTACATGTTTTCTTGCCCCATAGATACTTTGAGGTGAACAAAAAAATTAAATTTTAACCATGAGGGAAATTGTGCATATCCAGGCCAGTCACTGTGGCAACCAGATCAGTGTCAAATTCTTGGAAGTGATCCATGATGAACATGGCATTGACCCCACCATCACCTACCATGGTGACAGTGACCTGCAGCTGGACTGCATCTCCATGTACTACGACGAAGCCACAGGTGGCAAACATGTTCTTCATACCATCCTGGTAGATCTAGAACCTGGGACCATGGACTCTGTTTGCTGAGGTCCTTTTGGCCAGATCTTTAGATGAGACAACTTTGTTTCTGGTCAGTCTGGGGCTGGCAACAACTGGGCCAAAGGCCACTACACAGAAGGGGCTGAGCTGGTTGATTCTGTCCTGGATGTGGTATTGTAGCGGGAAATCAGAACTGGAGAGACCAATAGGGTTACAGGAGGATTTATTAAGGTGTACAATGGCTCAGGGGACTCACATCCAGAAAGTCTGAGCCCCGAACAAAGACAGACAACCCTTTTAAGTGTTTGAGGCGAGAAAAATGTGAAGCAGGAAGCAGGCTTACAGAAGCAAGAACAAAAGTAATTAATCATCATGTGACAGGTCTTACATCTTAGAAAAGGAAAACATGTTTTGCAGCTCACGCTTATCTGCCTTGTGACCTTGCAGCTGCTCAGCAAGAAAAACAAGAACTTACAGAACTTACAAAATAAGCAGAACAGAGATATGGTTAATGTTTCAGAGAGAGGCAGTTAATACTCTTTAACTTCAACTTTGGTTGGTAGGTGGGGGGTGGCGCTGGTTACCAAAAACCTATTTCAGCCTAACTTTAAACAGCAATTTTAGGTAACCATAATGATTTTCTCTATTTCATTCCCCTCTTTGGTGCCTTTTATAAATGGATTTTAATAGAAGGCACCACTATCATTTGTTTCTTCCTTAGTTGGCACATATTTTTCCTTGGGTAGAGGCTGATATTTAGTTAAGGCCATTATTTGGGTGGTAGTATGTCTGGCCACAATTGCTTCTATAGTTGACTGTATACTCCTGATTAGAAGAGGTAGAAGACAAGGGAGAATTAGGCGTCTGCCAAGGATAAGCATAAACCCTCCTATTAAGGTTTTAAATCCATCAAAAGATGAAAACCATCCTCTGAAAAGGGAGTCTGGAGACAAACCTTTCCAGGTTTGGACTGAAACATGAGCTAATTTCTGCATCCTAGCAGTTATTTCCATGACAGCTTGTCCATTATCATCAATTTCTAGACAGCAATTTAAGTTAAACTTCCCACATACTCTTCCTTCTGAGGCCAGGAGGTAGTTTAGTGCTAAACTATTTTCATAAAGGGCATTTCTCATCTGTGTGGCTTGCATGGCCAGCAAATTCAAGGCCCTTGATGTTTCACTGGTTATAACCTCAAGAACAGCCTGTAACCATATGATAAAATTTATCACATAAATGGGGGTACAGTAGCCCCATGTTTCATCCTCTGCCCAGGTGGCTGGGCCATAGTACTTAATTCTCTCAGGAGGCCATTCATTTCTTCAGTCTCCTATATCTATATCCTTTTTTATGTGTGTGTCCTTTTTTGTGGTTATGCTTTCCTTAGCTTTTTAAAAAATATATAGCTCTATGGGCATGTAATGTGGCAAAGGCATAGAGTCAGTATAAATATTGACCACTTTTCCTTTGGCTAAGAGCAGGGCCCTTGTTAGAGCTATCAGTTCTGCTTTTTGAGCTGTCCCGGAAGGTAGAGGCTGTGCCTCTACCACTGAATCCCATGTCAGTACTGTATACCCAGCTCAGCAGACCCCTTCTGAGACAAATCTGCTTCCATCCATGAAGTACTCAACATGTGGGCCACCAAGGGGCTGGTCTTTTAAGTTCCTTCAGCTGGAGAATACCTCATCTACTATGTCCACACAATAATGCTAAGGTAGGGGGTCTTTTGGTCTATGGGCAGCAGAGTAGCTAGGTTTAGTGTATTTACAGTCTCTATAATCATGTGAGGATTTTAGCATAAGGGTCCTTGATATCTAGTCATTCTTGGGTTTGATGATACCTAATGATGTTCTCTCTGATCCATTAAGGTGATAACTGTGTGTAGCACTTGAATAATCAATTTTTGTCCTAGGGCCAATTTGTTAGCCTCTTGTGCCAACAGAGCTGTGGTGGCTAAAGCTTTGAAACAAGGAGGCCAGCCTAGTGCCATCAGGTCTAGTTGTTTAGTTAAGTATGCCACAGGTCGATGCGATGACCGCATAATTTGAGTTAGGACCCCTATAGCCATTCCTTTCCATTCATGGACATACAGAAAGAAGTGCTTGGTTTGATCTGGCAGTCCTAACCCGGGGGACTGAATCAAGGCCTTTTTGATTTTCTTAAAGAGCCTTTTTTGGTCAGCCTCCCAAAGGAGGGGCTCCCCTATTCCCCCATTTGTGGCTTCATATAGGGGTTTTACCATAAGTGAGAAGTTTGGAATCCAAATGCAGCAGAAACCTGCTACTCTTAAAAACTTACTTGACGCTGGGTGGTAGGGGTGGGAAGTACACACAGCCTGCTTTCATTCACTGCCAAGTTCACGTTTCCCGTGACTTATTTCAAAACCTAGATATTTGACTCCTGCTAAACAGATTTGTGCCTTTTTCTTGGATACTTTATATTCTGCTTTCCACAAAAGGTGGAGGAGCTTCTTAGTGACCTGTAGGCAGTCCACTCAAGTAGGGGCTGCAAATAGAAGATTTTCTATGCACTGCAGCAGGATGCATTTGTCATTAGGTGGGACATAAGCTGAGATCTGATGCCAGCACTTCTTCAAAGATCATAGGGGAATTCTTGAACCCCTTGTGGGAGTCTTGTCCAAGTGTGCTGTGTTTCATCCCAATGAAATGCAAAGATAGGCTGGCTTATTGGTGCTAACTGGAGACAAAAGAATGTATTTTTTAGATCTAAGCAAATAAGCCAGGCTGCACTAGCTGGTATTTGTCCCATTAAGTTGTATGGGTTGGGCACTACTGGGTGGATTGTCTCCATGACCCGGTTTATAGCATGCAAATTCTGCACTGGCTTATATTTACCAGATGGCTTCTGCACTGGCAATAAAGGAATGTTCCAAGGTGATCTGCATTTAATTATGATTCCGTGCTTGAAAAGCTGGTCTGTGTGCTTTTGAACACCTCAGATGCCGTCTATGAAAACTGGGTATTGGCGAACTCATACTGGGGAGGCTCCTGATTTTAGCTCTACTAGGACTAGTGCCTGATTTACAGCCAGCCCAGGCGGGTTGTCCTTTGCCCACACTCCAGGTATTTTAACAATTAGCTCATATATTTTAAGAGGTTCTGACAGTCTTGGGCTTAAGTGGTACTTCTGCATATAGCCTCCACTCCTTGGCCTTTGGGAGTGTGAGGGTTAACACCACAGCCTTTGGCTGACTGAAGTTTAAGGACATGTTTCCTTGTGGCCTGAAGGAAATTTGTGCCTGTAGTTTTTGGAGTAAGTCTCTTTCAAGCAAGGGGACTGAGCAGTTTGGGAGGTATAGAATCTCATGCTGACTTCCTATCCTCCAATAATGCACCTCCTTGACAGAAAGGCCTCTTTTTCAAAGATTCCAATTGCCCCAATAATAGTTGTATAATTCTTGGATAGTGGCCCTACAGGTCAGGTCACTACTGAGGGTTCAGCTCCTGTATCTACCATAAAGTCCATCTGTTGGTCCCCTACCTCTACTGAGACCATAGGCTCCTGAGGGCCTGAAGAGATGGAGCCTGGTCTGCCTCAGTCCTCATTGCCTGCAGCCTTTGCTAGGCTGATCAGGTCAGCATCTGGTTTTAGAACACAATGGCTGGCAGCTGGTGGCTCTAGCCAAATTCCCTGGTCATGGCTATTTCCTTTATCTTTCTCTGGACATTCATCCTTCCAGTGTCCTTTTTGCATAGTGCACATTGATCCCTCTCCAGCCTAATCTGGCCTTCAAATCTTGGTCTAGCCTGACCTCTTCCATGACCATGACTGCGTCCCCTCACAATGCCAGTCTCTCTTTCAGCCAGGGCTGCCACCAATAGCTCAGCCTTTTTCTTAAGCCTCTGCCCAGCTTCCTTCTTTTCCTCTTGCTCACAGTTGACATATACCTTGGTAGCCACCTCTATAAGCTCAGTAGCATTTATGCCTGCGAAACCTTCCAATTCTTGAAGCTTTTGCTTAATGTCACCTTGTACCTGGCCAACAAATGAAGTACTCACCATGTGCTGATTTTCAACAGCCTCCGGATCAAATAGAGTATAGAGCCAGTATGTCTCACAGAGCCTCTTGTAGAACTGACTTGGGCTTTCATTAGCCTTTTGTAGGACCTCTAAAATCTTTCCTATTGTCATGGCCTTATTCCCACCGGCTTTCATTCCATTTAAGAGTGCTCTCGGTACCTTTGCAGGTGTTGGAGCTCCCCTGCCTCATTTGGGTCCCAGTTAGGATCTGTCTCTGGGAACCACTCCGGGCATAACGCCAGACATCATTTGTGCCATCTGGCACATTGTTCTCTAACCACTGGAGAGCTGCTTGGGTCACTCTCCAGTGCTCTTCTGTATTAAGCAGTGTCAGAAGTTGCTGCTGGCAGTCTGGCCAGGTGGGGTTATGAGTCAGAAAAATGGACCTCATCAAGTCTATGACAGCCTCAGGCTTCTCTGTATGGGAAGGAGTACGTTGTTTCCAATTTAGGTTGTCTGTCATAGGGAAGGGCTGGTAGATGAAAATCCACGGCCCTCCCCCTACCTGGCCTTGCTCATTATAAGTTTGTGCTCAAGTCTCACAGAGGGGCATTCGTAAGGCTCGGGTGTGGCCAGACTGGAGGTGGCTTGCTATATCGCCTTGCTTTTCCTCTTTAGCTTTCATGGGCAGGGGTTCAGGCTCTCCCCTGTGGGGAGATGCTTGAGACTTGCTTTCCTCTGAGCCTGATTCCTCAAGGGCTATTTGCTCTGTACCCCGTCCTAGCCCTGACAAGGACAAGTGTATTGGAACATAACGGGGAGGAAACTCTTTCCTCTGGGAGGTGCTTGTAGGACTGGCTTTTCCTGGCTCTCCTGTTACTTTTTCTTTTCCTCTGAGGTCCCTGGCATAATTGGCTTTTCTATCACCTTAAGCTCAGCCCAGGCCACCAAGGCTTTACAATAGATTGCCAAACAAGGCTGTAGAGCCATTTGGGGCAAGTCTGGACCACGTTTAACCAGGAGTCAATGTATGTAAATTGATCTGGATACCAAGGCTATCCTCGACCCCACTTACCACCCTAAATACATGGCCAATTGCTTCCCTATCTATTGTTCCTTCAGCTGGCCACCCTGTATTAAAAGAAGGCCATTCTAATTCACAGAGTTCTCAACCTTTTGGGGGTCAGTTTAACTCCATAATCTCCTCCAAAACCTTTCTTAAAATTATTTAACATGCACTCCAATGGAGTGGGTTTCGACAATTTTCCTCCCATTCCTCCCTTTATGATGCACACTCACTCAGCCTTTTGTGCTGGACTGACCAGACCGGTTCCTATTATGGGAGTTTCAGGCGCCACTTAGCTAGGAGAGTACCTTATTCCTGCTATGACTGCTGGAATCATAAGGCAGATCCTATCAACCATATGTGGATCGACCTAGGCCTGGTCAGTCATACACTTGCTTTGGAGCACAATGTCAACACTAAGAGATCTGTGCCTCCCCACATCATGCCCTGCATTGATCCCTCCTGGAACTGTCTCTTTCACATACTTTCACACACCTCCTCACTCCCCAGTACCTGTTCCTTAATTGGGGTGGTGAGCCACTCTCACCACCTTCAGTTTTAGTTTCCTTTCCTAAGCCAACTTAGTGAGCCTCTCTCTCATCCTGTGTCAGTGGGGGTATAAACTTCATCTGAATTGGTGAGCCACCTTCTCTGCCCTCAGCCCCTCTGGGGCCAAACTAGTAGTTACACCCGGGGAGGCAATCAATCTCCCTCCCGTCTTTATGGGAGGGGTCCCGTCTTGAGGCCCCAAACCTAACTGTGGTTCTGAAGAATGCGTGCTGCTCCTGGAATCATCCTGCAGCCCCTTTTCTGGTTCTGTTGCACTGTCAGGGAAGGGCACCGGGATGCGGGAGAGCCAATCTCCTCTCTGGGCTGAAGTTCTCCCATTGGCGCCTAGGGTCTTGGGTCTCCCCCAGCCCGGGCTCCAATCCCACAAGCAAAGGAGAGAAAATCTGCCATCTCTAATCCTGGATGAGCCCCCAGAAAAAGTATTGGGAAATCAGAACTGAAGAGACCAATAGGGTTACAGGAGGATTAAGGTGTACACCAGCTCAGTGGACTCGCATCCAGAAAGTCCGAGCCCTGAACAAAGAGGGACACAGGCCCTTTTAAGCATCTCAAGGGAGGAAAAACGTGAAGCAGAAAGCAGGCTTACAGAAGCGAGAACAAAAGCCATTAATCATGTGACAGGTCTTAAATCTTAGAAAACACGTTTTGCAGCTCGCACTTATCTGTCTTGTGACCTTGCGCTACACAGCAAGAAAAACAGGAACTTACAGAGCTTACAAAATATGCAGAGCAGAGATATGGTTAATGTTTCACAGAGAAGCAGTTAATATTCTTTAACTTCAACTTTGGGGGGTGGGGGTGCAGTTATCAAAAGCCTATTTCAGCTTAAACAGCAATTCTAGGTAATCATAATAATTTTCTTTTCTTTCTCTCAGTATGGAAGGAGACAGAGAACTGTGACTGCCTGCAGGTCTTCTAGGTGACCCACTCACTGGGCAGAGGCACAGGCTCTGGAATGGGCACTCTCATTAGCAAGATCTGAGAAGAGTACCCTGATTGCATTGTGAACATCTTCAGTGTAGTGCCTTCACCCAAAGTGACACCAAGGTCGAGCCCTACAGTGCCACCCTCTCTGTCCATCAGTTGGTAGAGAACACTGATGAGACGTATTCCATTGACAATGAAGCCCTGTATAACATCTGCTCCCACACTCTGAAGCGGACCACACCAACCTACAGGGATATGAACCCCCTCGTCTCAGCAACCATGAACAGTGTCATCACCTGCCTCTGTTTCCCTGGCCAGCTCAATGCCGACCTCCACAAGTTGGCAGTCAACATGGTCCCCTTCCCACATCTCCATTTCTTTATGCCTGGCTCTTCCCCTCTCACCAGCCATGGAAGCCAGCAGTATCAAGCTCACAGTGTCTGAATTCACCCAGCATGTCTTCAATGCCAAGAACATGATGGCTGCCTGTGAACCCCGCCATGGCTTATACTTCACCTTGGCTGCTGTCTTCACTGGTCAGATATCCATGAAGGACGTCAATGACAAAATGTTAAATATGCAAAACAAAAACAGCAGCTACTTTGTGGAATGGATCTCCAACAACGTCAAGAACAGTCTGACATCCCATCTCATGGCCTGAAAATGTCATTCACTGGTATTGTCAACATGGTCATCCAGAAGCTCTTCAAGTACATCGCAGATCAGAGAAAGGGATCAAGTGGGGAAAAGAGACCATCCTTGGTCCCTAAGCCTCCAGAAATGTCTTAATCCCCACCTTTTCTTATCCCGAAAAGGAATTAACATCCCTGACTATGTGTGATGGTGTATACTGCCACAGTGTTTGAATCAATCCCCAGAGGAGAGGGGAACCCTCCTCCATCTTTTCTGCAACATCTCATATCTTCTTTTTGCTGTTGCTTCCCCTACCCCTACACTTGGTTTTGTTCTATCCTACATTTGAGATTTCTATAATGTGTTAAACTTGCTGAAAAGATGACATTGCTCCAATAGCCAAAAATAAATGGGATTTCTTAAAATAAAATAAATAGGTGCGGCTATTCTCTCAGAGACTCAGTTTCAGATTCAATGGGTGTGGAATGGAATCCCCAAATCCACCTTTTAAACAAGTTCCTCCAGCTCTTGGGGCAGGGGATCTCAGAACCACACTTTGAGAAGCATTGTTTGGTTGCCAATCTTTGGGCATTAATTTAAAGCTGGTTTCATTTAACTTGCACTATAAGGAACAGATTCTCTAGATTAGGATCCAGCATTGGGAAACTGGGAGGGTGAAGTGCATAAGGAGCCAAGAGGCCCTTCCTTCCAAATATTATGGATTGAGGTTTGCTTGAGAAATCAAGACACTTTTAAGATAACAGGCTTAGGAGAAAGAATCCTTCCAAACACATGAAATCCCCTGTAAAAGAGACACTCAGGTATGAACTGTTTAAACATGACCACAGGAGACCAGGCTCAGACCAGAGCGTCTAGGACTCTAGCTTCCTGCTTCTTCATAATCCTGAGTTCTTACATTTGAACATAAGTAAGGTGCTCAGTAACATCTTGCTGTAAAGTCTCTAGTGCAGTGTCCTTGACTCATATCAGGATACTCAACGAGTTATGTCCTCCTGCTGTTCTGGTCCAATATAATCACCCAGTGCCCTTCTGTGTCATCCAGGGCGCTCATTCCATCCAGGCCCTCTAAATAATGGTAGAGAGGGCCAAAGGTCTGTGGTTGTGTGTAGCAGACACTGCTGGTACCCTGCCCAGGCTTCTTCAGCCCCTCCCACTTCAGGGCATGCTGGCCTGACTCCCATTCACCAGCACCTGCTTCTCAGCCTGAGGACTTCCTTTATCCTGCAACAGTGGATTAACACATACACTAGGAGTCCTCAACTAATGACCAATGGGAGTTGGCGTTGGCTCCCTTGCCTCTTAGGTGGGATAACTCTAAAGCTTGTTTCCTACTGTGGCTCCCAGAATCCTTCAACAGGATTAAGCTTCAGGAGCTACAGTGGTGAGTAAGGTAGCCTTTTTTGGCTGCTCCCTTTCTTGTCTCACTCCCCAACCAGTTTCCTGGGATCACATCCAAAATAAACTACATGCACTGAGATCTTAGTCTGAGTTCCTTCACAAAAAGATGCTAAGACAAAGACATTGGGATTGCTAGCTTCTTGTAACGAATCCCCAGTGTTTATAGATCAGCTACTTCTGAATATTTAAATGTGATGCTCTTGGATAGAAATACACATCTTTCATTACAGAGAAGGTTCTGGTGCTGAGATATCTGAACTAAACATCTTTAATTGTCAATAATACTCAAAGGGTTCTTGACCTTTAGACTTTATAAAGAGAATGTTTGTTACAAATTAAAAATAATTTATGATATGCATACTCAATCATTTTTGGAACAAGTAGGCATGGATAAACTTAAAGTGGCTGGTAGGCTATTATATTAAGCTAAGTTTACAAACATTATTTCAAGCTACACATGCATGGCATGAACTGTGTCGTCAATTGCTGCATCCCTTACTGGACTTTTTCTCCATTCTGGTCTACATCATTTGTTGATCTTCCTCTGGGCCCATGCTGTTCCATACCCCATAGAGGCCTGTATTAGATCCTCTCTATTGCAGTAAAGAAAACAGGTATAAGGTAAACTTTGCATATCCAAGTGATTAATACACACAAATATGTATTTAACACTCAGCTGCTTTTATGATTCTAGTCATATATAATTTGGTAACCACACACCTCTGATTTGGAGCACAACCATTTCCCTTTGATGATACACTTTGTGAAAAGAATGGCAGCCCCCAGTAATGTAGCTCTCCTTTTTGGATAAAAAGACAGCTTCCCAACTACCATTTAGAAGTCTTACTGGTTGTGCAGGACATTAGTGAACATTTGCTTGTTCAACAAATGTTCAACCTCTGGGAGGTTCAGTCAGAAGCCAATATGACTCTGGTATCATATAGCATGTGTGGAAAACCCACACAGCTGGGGTCTTTGGAGATATTCATTTTCTTTATTTCCTGTCTTATCTCAGAACTAATTGAAAGGTAAACACCAGGGACATCTCAGTCGAGATCAAGCTATAAACTTTATTGTTGGGGTTGGTGGCCTGAAAAATGTGACTTGGGTCTAAGCCATGATCAAATTCCCAAACATCCTCCCCTCCTACAACCCTGCAACTCTAACATTACGCCCTTATAGGGGAGAGCTGGCCTATAGAGCAGAAGCCCATGCCCAGGATCACTTGGTGAGATATACAGCCAGAGGATATGAGGGACCCTGGCTCAGCTGACTAATTCTACCCATGGTCAAGGCCATCATAGGATGTGGATGCTGGTTGAAAAGAAGAGAGTGAGGGAAAGTTATTCTGCCTAAGAGCATGTGTACCTATCCACCAGAGAAGCATGGGCCTGTGAATGTCAGATTCTAACCTACTGCATTAACTATTACTCTCCTAAGAAGGAGTGAGGGTGCTAAAGGGTGGTAGATATTCCTGAGCTCTCCTGTTCCCACATGGAGGGGGAAAGGAGGTCCCTTCTGTGGACCATGTCTGTAGTACTTCTGTGCTCATCACCCCTTGGAAACAAGTCCTCTAGTTGGATGGACTTACTAAATCTCATTCAAATCTTCCCATTTCTCTGCTATGCCCTCTCCCTGTTCAGCCCACCATAATGCTGGAATTACCACTAGAGATTTGTCTTAGTCAACTTGAGCTGGCATAACAAAATACTATAGGCTGGGTAGCTTAAACAATGGATATTTATGTCTCAGTTCTGGAGGCTGGGAAGTCCAAAGTCAAGGTGCTAGCAGATTTTCTTCCTGGTGAGGGCCCTCTTCCTAACTTACAAAGTTGCTTTTTCCTCCCATGGGAGGAAGAGACTAATCTCTCTTGCTCTAAGGATATTAATCCCATCATGGGTTCCACCCTCATGACCTCATCTAAATCCAATTACCTCCAAATACCACCACATTGGGAGTTAGGTCTTCAATATAAATTGGGGAATGGAGGATGCAAACATGCGGTCCATAACAAACCTCCTGTGCACGTTTTCTCCTCTACATCCTTCTGTGTCTAGGAGGCTGAACTTTACAGATTGCATCACCTGGGCTACTGTGCCATCAGTCTTCTGGTTGGGTTAGGCCAATGGGAGGCATGGGCAGGAAATCAGAGGTTAGAAGGACATGGCAGTTGGGGTATCCCTCCATCTTCCTTCTGGGCATGGTTTTGGCAGTGTCATTCCTCAAGAGCCACAGCTTGTTAGGTGGCCACTTTCCTTGCTCCAGGTCCCACCAAACCCTGGTACACAGCTGTGTTACCTTGACCCTCTGGTCTTGGTGTGGTAAAGGCTCTGCTCTTGCCACTTCCTGGGTGCTGTACTGTCCTCTGTGTGGTTGCCTTGATCTGCCTACACTTTTAGAAGTAGCTCTTCCCTAAACTTTCTTCAATCGAACCCCATAAGTATGCTATTTCCTGTGGGAACCCTCCTCCACCCTCTAAGTGATCTCCTTACACACATCAGCCCAGAGCCACTTTTCTGAAATGCAAATCTGACATCACACCTCTGATTAACACACACCAGTGTGACTAACTGATCTCAGGTTAAAATCCAACTCATGGAAGACCCTGCGTAATCTGTTTATTCTCACATTTCCTCTTGTCATTCTCCACTTTGTTCTTTTCTGTCCAGCCAGACTAAACTTTAGAGTTGAACAAAACCTCCTCAAGGTTGTTGCTGCAACCTCAAGCTGCATATACTGCTTTCTGCCTGAGATATCCCTCTTTTTCTTTTATCTTCCACCCTTAATCCCCCATCATCCCAACCTTTTACCTGGATAGATCTTATTTGTATCTTAGGCCTCAGGTGTGATGGTGGTGGGGGTCACCTCTCCTCCCATTAGCAGTCTAGATTAGGGACCTTCCTTTACTTTCCATAACACCCATTTTGTTTGCCTGCACATCCCAACAAACAGATTTCCTGGCCTTGAGAGCTCTGGTGTACCATCCTATCCCCAGTCTTTGGAGCAATGCCTGGCAGAATAGGAACAAAGGAGTAAGATGGTCAACAAGTAATTACTACATCGTTAATTTTCCTGTTTCATGCAGAAATTACCTCCTGCTCAGCCTTTAACTAAGAACTTATATAACTAAGAACCTTATAGAAGAAATATGATATATGAATGTTCAGGCAGATTTGGATACTATCAAAAAGAGATCCTTTTGGTCCCAGGTCACCCTACTCTCAAAACTTAATGCTGGTAAAAGGCGCACATTTGTATTCTAACTGAACTCTGGGTTACTGAGAACCCATGCACATATATGCTTCTCTTTCTGCAAAGATAGCGACAATAGGACCAGTTCTGTCATTATGTATAACTATCTCAGGTACATAGATTTAGAATATGAATTAGTCATGATTCTAGTTCATAAAGCATTCAATCATGAATAAATTGCCATTTAGCTATTTTTAATAATATCACACTTATAAAATACTTCTGCTATTCCTCAGAAATCGAGATCTTGATAGTAGCCTACATATAACAATGCAGTTTTCATCCTTTGCCCTTGGATCTTCCTACCTCAGGTAACTATCATTCTGAAACTTGTGGTTATCACTTTTCTGCTTTCCTTTTTATATAATTTTATGGTGCCTATATGTATTCTTAGTATTTGAATTTTAGTTTTCTGAAAAGGGCATCTTGTTATATATATGAAAATATATATTATATTTATAAATTGTCTTTTGGATTTACTTTCACTTCATTTACATTGCTAAAGCTCATATGTATTGTTACATGTCACTGTAGTTATTTTACTCTCATTGCTGAATAACCTGAGTAAATATGCCGCAGTTTAGTCATCCTCTTTCAGGCAACAGGTATTTGGGTTGTTTCCGAAGCCATTGTGAACACTGGTGCTATAAAACAGTCTTGTCCATGTCTCCTATTATGTATGTATCAGAATAGGTTATGGTATTCTGTAGTAAAAACCAACCCTCAAAATCTCAGCAGCTTAAATCTACAAAGACTTATTTCTCACTTATGCTGTATGTCCTTTGTATTCAACAGGAAAGAACGTGTATTACGCTGAATCAAGGACCTAGGCTGACAGAACAGTCACTGTCTCAAAGGTTGACAGCTGCCAGAGGGAAAAAGCTCTGAAGAATCTGGAATCAACATTTCAGTGCCCTGGCATGGAAGAAACGTGTCACTTCTACTCCCAACTCATTGGTCAAAACTAGACCTATGGCTCCACCTAAGCAAAAGGGGCTAGGATGTATATTTGATGAGAAGAGAGGAGATCAGATATATTTGGAAAAGAATTTGGTGGCATCTCCTTAAGCTGAATATTAAAACGCTTCATAATCTAACAATTCTTCTCCTGTATATATACATGTGAAGTTATTTCATAAGTTATGGTATTAATGTTATCTTCTCAAGTTATTGTTCATAAGATATAAGAAATCTTACAGAATCACAGCTTTCCCAACTCTTGGCATTGTCAGACTTAAGTTTTTGCCAGTTGAATGGATATCAAAATGCAAGTCAAGATCACAATGAGATGGCATTTTATCACCAATAAAAATCTCATATTTTATTGGTTTTGTTTCACCTTCAGTAAATGCCCATTTATGTCTTTTGTCCATTTGCTCCTTATTTGTAGGACTTCTTTGCATATTCTTTGCATATTTTCAGTATATATTGCAAAGATATCAATTCATAATTTCTCTTAACTTTTGACAGCTCATGAAGTGAATTTTAATGAAGTTTATTAATTTTCCTTCAGTCAATATTTTTGTGTCTTAGGTTTTTCTTAACTCCCAGGCTCAAAAAATAAAGCTTCTTAAACCCTCAGTAGAAAACAGGTGAATTATTAATTCATGTGACATTATTGGGTGTGGTGTGAGGTAGGCATTAAAATTGTTTCTCATAAGGTTAAAATAATCCAGCTATATGAAAAAATTCCCTCACCCATGACATGACATCTCACTTTCAGGGTCTGTTTCTGGGACTCACTATTCTATCGCATTGGTCAATTTGTCTACCCCTGTCAATATCAACCGATTTAATATAGCATGATAGTTATTTTTTTCTAATACAGAAATGTACCCTTCCTACTATTCTTTTATTGGACAACATATAGAATAGTAAATATTCTAAGTATAAAGTTTGTGACAATATTGAGTTCTATAAAAATTTAAACATTAAGCCTTTAATAAACATGCTGTAATTCTCCATTTTTGATATTTCAGAGTTAGGGCTTTTTTTTCCTATAGAGGTCTTACTTTTTTTGTTGGATTTATTCTTACATCCTTGATATTCTGTTCTTGTGTTCTAAACAGAGTCTTGATTACATTTTTAAATTATTTGCTACTAGCATATGGATATACAACCAAATTTGAATATACTATTTGAATGCTATTCTTATAGCCATCTTGATGTGTATTTTTTCTTATAACTTGTCTGTAGATTGAGTTTGTTATGAGTTTTAGTTTCTCCTTTCCAATCCTTATGCCTATATTTTTGTTTTATTATACTGGCTAGGATCTTCAATACAACATTGAATTATAGTAAAAATTCTTCTCTTGATTTGAAAAAGAATGCTTTTAATGTTTTCTTATATAATAACTTATCAGAAGTAGTTGTAGAGTATTATTACATTCTTTATCCTATACATTCTGAGATGATATTTGTCAAGAAACGAAAAGTTTGAGATTTTACTTAGTAAGTTAGCCTGCCATAATTTTATAGATGTTGGCAGAAGACATAAGACTCATGGGTAAGAGATAAAAGGACTATTGTGGCACAGCAGGCAACAACATGTTGATGTTCACACCACTTCCCTTTGCCCCTCATGCCCCATGAGAGCAATAAAGGGAAGGCTAGGTGGATGCTGCACATGTAGTGGATTGTATCACAGCCAAGGAATTCTGAATCTTTTAAAATGGGCTAAGAAGCAGACCTGTCTAACATTTGCTCTGAAGTGAGACATCATATTTATTATATTGAACTGTAAAAAAATCTGCCATCTGCTTCAGAAGGAGACACTATCTTTGAAGGCTATTTTCTATACAGTGATCCTTGAAAAGTTAGTTTGGAATATATGCCATGGGAGCTTCTGCTCACAAGATGTGCAGAAACGAGATCTGTGGAGAATTCTCTCAATATTTGGTTTTTCTGTTAATCTGTGGGATGTGGCAGATTATGTTTACGAGCTTTCTGACAGTAAAAGATCTTTGTATATCCCCAATAAGCACTTTTATATACTCTTGGATTTAATTTACTAACTTTAAGATTTTTGCATCTATGTTTATAAGGGTAATATGCCTACAATTTTGTTTTTGCATAATATTTCACTAGATTTGGCATCAGGACTGGTAAATACTGCCTCTTTTCCTATTGCCTTATATTCTATAAGATAGAATATGTTCCTTGACAATTTGAGAGAATTTGTCAGTAAAACCACACAGGTCTTTTTATTAGAGAGATTTTTTTCAACTCCTTTTTAAATAGAAATATGAGCTTTTTTATTTTGTTTCAGTTCTAAGTCGTCTTTTTCTAGGAATTTACCCTTTTTGTTTAAATTTGCAGAGTTGTCAGCATATAATTGATGGTATTTATGTATTGTCTTTTGATCTTCTACTGTGTAACTGTGTCCCCTATTTTATGTATGTTGTCTTTTTAAAAATTTTAATTTTGTGGTACATAGTAGGTATATGTATTTATGGGGTATATGAGCTGTTCAGATACAGGCATACAATGCGTAATCACACAGTAAATGGGGTATCCATCACCTCAAGCATTTAACCTGTGTTACAATCAAGTTATACTTATTTTTAAGTGTACACAAATTGACCATAATCGCCCTGCTGTTCTATCAAATACTAGACCTTATTCTATTTTTTTAAACCCATTAATCATCCTCACTTCTCCCTCCTTCTATACTTCAACCTCTGGTAACTGTCATTCTACTGTCTCCATGGATGATTCAATTGTTTTAATATTTAGCTCCCATAAATAAATGAGAACATTAACGCGATGACCCTTAGTTCCAACCACGTTGCTGCAAACGACAGGATCTCATTTTTATGGGTGACCAGTACTCCATTGTGTATATGTACCACATTTTCTTTATCCATTTGTCTGTTGATGGACACTTAGATTGGTTCCTAACCTTGGCTATTGTGAACAGTGCTGCAATAAACATGGTAGTGCAGATCTCTCTTCAGTATACTGGTTTCCTTTCTTTTGGATATATATATCTAGCAGTGGGATTGCTGGATCATATGGTAAGCTCTAGTTTTAGTTTGGGAAACCTCCCAGCTATTTTCCATAGTGGTTGTACTAATCTAAATTTCCATCAACAGTACCCGAGGGTTCCTTTTTGTCCACATCCTTGCCAGCGTTTGTTAATGCCTGTCTTTTAAATAAAAGCCACTTCAACTACACAAAGCTACAATGAGATTATCTATTGTAGTTTTGATTTGCATTTCTCTGATGATCAATTACATTGAGCACCTTTTCATATACCCATTTGCATGTCTTGAGAAATGTCTGTTCAGATCTTTTGCCCATTTTAAAAGTGGATTAGTAGGGTTTTTCCCTTTTGAGTTGTTTGAGCTCCTTATATATTCTGGCTGTTAATCCCTTGTTGGATGGATGGTTTATGAATGTTTTATCTCATTCCGTGGGTTGTCTCCTGTTTCCTTTGCCATGCTAGAGCTTTAACTTGATGTGGTCCCATTTGTCCTATTTTCTTTGGTTGCCTGTGCTTGTGGGGTATTGCTCAATAAATCTTTGCCCCATCCAATATCCTAGAGAATTTCCCAAATGTTTTTTTTTAGTTTTGGTTTGAGGTCTTAGAGTCTTTAATACGTTTTGATTTGGTCTTTGTATATGGCAAGAGATACAAGTCTAGTTTCATTCTTCTGTGTATGGATATTCAGTTTTCCCAGCACTGTTTACTGAAGAGACTGTCCTTTCCCCAATATGTGTTCTTGGCACCTTTGTCAAATTGAGTTCACTGTAGATATACGGATTTGTTTCTGGATTCTCTATTCTGTTCTATTAGTCTATGTGTTTGTTTTTATGCCACTACCATGCTGTTTTGGTTACTATGGCTCTGTAGTATAACTTGAAGTCAGATAATGTGATTCTTTCCTCCAAGTTTGTTCTTTTTGCTCAGGATATCTTTGGCTATTCTGGGTCTCTTCTGATTCCATATAAGTTTTAAGATTGTATTTTATATTTCTGTGAAGAACATTATCGGAATTTTGACAGGAATTGCATTGAATCTGTAGATCGATTTGGGTATTATGAACATTAACAATATTAATTCTTCTAATCCATGAACATGAAATATCTTTCTTTTGTGTCCTCTTAAGTTTCTTGCATCAGTGTTTTGTAGTTATAGATATCTTTCATTCCCTTGGTTAAATTAATTCCTAGGCATTTAATTTTATTTTAGCTATTGTAAATGGGGTTACTTTGATTTTTTTTTTCAGATTACTTGCCACTATCATAGAAATGGTACAAATTTTTGATTTTGTACCTTGCAACTTTACTGAATTTATCAATGCTAATAGTTCGATGGGGTCTTTAGGGTTTTTCCAAATAAGATATCTTCAAACAAGAATTTGATTTCTTCCCTTTCAATTTGGATGCTCTTCATTTCATTCTCTTGTCCAATTGTTCCAGCTAGGCCTTCTAGTACTATGCTGAACAACAGTGATGAAAATGGGCATCTTTGTCATGTTCTAGATCTTAGAAGAAACACTTAAATTTTTCCCCATTCAGTATGATACTAGCTGTGTGGGTCTGACATATATAGTTTTATTATATGTTGATGTATATTCCTTTTATACTCAGTTTCAAGAATTTATTAGGAAGACATGTTGAATTTTAATCAAATACTCTTCCAGCATTAATCGAAATGATTTTATGATTTTTGTCCTCCATTCTGTTGACATGATGTATCACATTTATTGGTATTTGTTGAGCCATCCTTGCAACTCTGGAATAAATCCCACTTAGTCAGGAGGAATGATCTTTTTAATGAGTTGAATTTGGTTTGATAGTATTTTAAGGATTTTTGCATCAATGTTCATCAGGGATATTGATTTTTTTTTTTGGATGCATCTTTGGTTTTGGTGTCAAGGTAATTCTGGCCTCACAGAATGAGTTTGAAGATACTCCCTCTATTTTTGGGATAGTTTGAATAGGATTGATTAGTTCTTCTTTTAAATGTTTGGTAAAATTCAGCAGTGAAGTCATCAGGTTTCAAGCTTTTCTTTGATGGAAGACTTTATGACAGCTTTAATCTCATTTGTTATTGGTCTGTTCAGGTTTTGGATTTCTTGATGATTCAATCTTTGTAGGTTATATGTCTAGAAATTTATACATTTCTTCTAAGTTTACTATAGATGCTTATAGTAGCCTCTAATGATCCTTTGAATTTCTGCACTATCAGTTGTGATGTCTTTATTTTCATCTGATTTTATTTGGGTTATCTTTTTATCTTAGTCTGACTGAAGGTTTGTCAATTTTGTTTCTTTCCACAAAACCAACTTTGTTTCATTGATCTTTTATACTGTTTT
Source organism: Homo sapiens (assembly GCF_000001405.40). NCBI lineage: Eukaryota > Metazoa > Chordata > Mammalia > Primates > Hominidae > Homo > Homo sapiens. Next base: position 40,011,171 of record NC_000006.12, read on the forward strand.
ATTTCAATTTCATTTATTTCTGCTCTCATCCCTATTTCTTCTAATTTTGGGTTTGGTTTGCTCTTGCTTTTCTCATTCTTTAAGAGGCAGCTTTAAGCTTATTTGAAGTTTTTTTTTTTGATGTAGGCATTTATAGCTATAAACTTTCTGAAGTTTCACTGTCTCATGGGTTTTGATATGTCAGTTCATTATTTGTTTTGAGAAACTTCAGTTTTCTTAATCTCTATCCACTCACTGGTCATCCAGAAGTATATTTAATTTCAATGTGTTTGTGTACTTTCTAAAATTTCTTTATTTCTACTTTTATTCCATTGTGGCTAGAGAAATGTCTCAGTCTCACCCAAGGCCCATAGCATGTACTACTTAGTTATGGCTGATTATTCAGGGTCCAAGGGCTCTTTACTCAGCACATAATTAATCCTGCCAGGATTGGGCCCTTCTCTTTAAGATGATGGGTTGTTTTCTGGCCCAGGGTATGTCTAGTAATATCATCTGGGAGCTAGGGCCTAGAATGGCGGGGGCCTCATGACTTTGCCTTGTGCCTTATCCTACTGTGGCTGAGCTGTATTCAGCTTGCAAGATGAAATACTCTTTACTCTTCCTTCTCCTCTCAAGAGAAAGAAGTCTCTTTTGGAGCTGTGAGCTGTGCTGTCTGGGGTTGGGAGAAAGGGTGACACAAACACTTTCTTAGCTGCCTGGACTGGTATCTCACCCAGGTCACGTGTTCCCCAAGTCCACTGGTTCTGAGCCCAGCACAGCACTAGGAATTGCCTAGGGGTTGCAGTCTTTGTGACCCAGGTGGCCTTTCAAGTTTATTTAGAACTCGAAGACTTTAGCCTTCCACAGCAAGACTTGCTGAAACTCAAGTTGCAACCACTGCGATGAGTAATTCCCCTCTGGCTAAGGTTGGTAAATGCTCCCTCTGTGGGCACCAGTTGAGTTCTGCCTGGGGTCAGCAGTACTGAGTTCCAATGCAAAGTCCCACAGTCCTGCATTTTCCCTCCCCCAAATGCAGATTCTCTCCATGCCATGTGGCTGCTGCCAGGCTATAGAAGTAGGGTGCTATGTGCGCTCTTCCCTACTGTGGCCGAGCTGATATCTATGTTGCAAGACAAAGTCCCTTTTACTCTTGGAAATTCAAGGCTGTCTTTCCTATTCCCTTCAGTGCCTCTTTTCAGTGATAGGAAGTTAAAACCAGGTACTGTGATCCCTCACCTGGTTTTTGGTTCTTATGAAGGGACGTTTTTGTGTAGATGTTAAATTTGGTGTTCCTATAGGGAGGATGATTAGTGGAGGCTTCTATTTGGCCATCTTGCTCTGCCTCTTACTTCTTTTGATCAGTCATATCGGAGGTGTCTATTTTATTATTCATTTCAACAATCTCACTTTAGCTTATCTTATTGAAGATTTGTTTTTAATTCATGTTTGAGTTTATTCTCTAATTTTGTTAAGTTCTTGACCTTTTGAAAATTCCTGTTTTTAAAAGGTATCTAATAGCTATTAGCTTTATCACAGAGGCTGTAATATATGTCACCATTCAGTTCTAGGTATTTTTTTGTGTATGGACAAATAGATGTACTCCCCAAATATGTACATGTGATATTTTATGTATTCATATGATGTGTAAGGATCAAATCAGGGTAATTGGGATATCTAGCACTTAAATATTCATCTTTTTATGTTAGGAGCATCTGAATTGTTTTGCATTTTGAAATATATAATAGATTGACAGTCACCCTACTGATCAAACACTAGATCTTATTTCTTCTAGTTGAATGTTTATTTTTACCCGTGAATCAATCTCACTTTCCCCCTTCCTGGCCTCTGGTAACTGCCAATCTATTCTATCTTCATGAGATCGCTTTTAAGCTCCACATATGAGAACACACAGTATTTGTGTGTGTGTGTGCGCTTGTGTGTGCTTGGCTTATTTCACTAAACATAATTGCCCCCAGTTCTATGTTGCTAAAAATGACGATTTCATTCTTTATGACTTAATAGATTCCACTGTGTATATATACAACACTATCCATTCATCCATTTATGGAGATTTACATTGATTCCATATTTTGGCTGTTGTGAGTAGTACTGCAACAAACATGGGAGTGCAGACATTGCTTTATACTTATCTCCTTTTTGTATATACTCAGTGGAATTGCTGGAAGATACAGTAGTTCCATTTTTAGTTTTGAGGAACCTCTAAACAGTTTTGTGTAGTGGCTGTCTTAATTTACATTCCCACCAACAGCCTATGAGTGTTCCACTTTCTCTACCTCTTCACCAGTATCCATTGTTCCCATGTTTTTCATAAAAGCCTTCTTAAAGGGGATGAGATGGTATCTCATTGCAGTTTTGGTTTGCATTTATGATTAGTGATGAACATTTTTTCTTATGTGTTGGCCATTTGCGCGTCTTGAGAATTATCTATTCTGATGCCCATTTTAAAATCAAATAGAATAGTTTTTCCTACTGAGTTGTCTGAGCTCTTCATATATTCTGGTTACCAATCCAGAATATATACCAATGGGTGGTATGTGAGTATTTTTTCCCATTCTGTAGGTTGTCTTTTCACTTTGTTGATTGATTGGCATGCAGAAGCTTTTTAGTTTGATGTAATTCCTCTTGGTCTCTTTTTGCTTTGGCTGCCTGTGTTTGAGGTCTTACACAGTTTTTGCTGAGACTGATATTAGAGTATTTCCCCAATGTTTTATTTTAGTAGTTTCATAGCTTCAGATCTTAAAGTCTTAGTTCTTCAAATGTTCAGAATTCAGCAGGGAAGCCAGCAGGTCCTGGGCTTTTCTTTGATGGGGGACTTTATGGCTTCAATGTCATTATTTGTTATTGGTCTGGTTTTCTGTTTCTAGATGCTTCAATCTTGGCAGGTTGTGTATGTTCAGGAAATTGTCCATTTCTTCTAGGCTTTCCAATTTGTTGATATACAGTTGTTCATAATAGTCTAATGATTCTTTGTATTTTGGTAATCTGTTATGTCTTTTTTCTGATTTGACTTATTTGGATTTTCTAAGGAAAAGTTTCAATTCTGTCTTTTCAAAAAGTCAACTATTTCATAGATCTGTGTTTTTTAGCTTCAATTTAATTTATTGCTGCTATTTATCTGGGGTAAGATGATCTCATTGTAGTGTTTTATTTCTTTCTTTGATTAGTGATGTTGAACATTTCTTTTATATTCCTATTGGACATTTGCATATCTTTTGAGATGTTCATGTCCTTTGCCCACTTTTTAATGGATTGTTTTTCCTGTTCTGAATTTATGTCTTCTGGATATTAGTCCTCTGTTGGATGCATAGTTTGCAAATATTTTCTCTCATTCAACATCTCTTCACTGTTTTCTTCTGCTGTGTAGAAGTTATAGTTTATGTCCCATCTATTTTGTGTTGCCTGTGCTTTTGAGGCCTTAGTCATAAATTCTTTGCCTAGATTGATGTCCAGAAGAGTTTACTATAGGTTTTTCTTCTAGCATTTTTATAGTTTGGGTGTTACATTTAAGACTTTAGTCTGTTTTGAGTTGGATTTTGTATATAGTGAGAGACGGGGGTTGTTTCACTCTTCTGCATGTGGCTATCCAATTTTCCCAGCACAATTTATTGAAGAGGGTGTCCTTTCCCCATTTAAAGTTATTGTCAGCTTTGTCAAAGATCAGATGCCTATAAATATGTAGCTTTATTTCGGGGTTCTGTATTCTGTTCCAGTATTTTTGTACTAGAAGCATGCTATTTTGCTTACTATAGCCACGTAATACATTTTTAAAGTAATGTGATGCCTCCTACTTTGTTCATTTTTCTTAAGATTGCTTTGGCTATTCAGGCCCATTTTTGGTTCCATATGAAACAGGATCTTTTTTTCTAATTCTGTGAAGAATATTTTGAAAGGAATTGCAGTAAGTCTGCAGACTGCTGTGGGCAATATGGTTGTTTTAACAATATTAATCCTTCCAATCCATGAGCATGAGATGTTTTCCATGTGTTTATGTCACCTTCAATTTCTTGAGTCTTTTGTAGTTTTCTTCATTTTAGGGATCTTTTACTTTCTTGGTTAAGTTTGTTTCTAGTTTTCTTTTTTTAATTTGAGATAGAATCTTGTTCTGTCACCCAGGCCAGGGTGCAGTAGCACGATCTTGGCTCACTGCAACCTCTGTCTCCTGGGTTCAAGCGATTCTCATGCCTTAGCCTCCTGAGTAGCTGGGGTTACAGGGGTACAGCCACCATTCCAGGCTAACTTTTGCCATTTTTTAAATGGCAAAATCCACGATTACTTTTGCACCAAATATTTTTAGTAGAGATGGGGTTTCACCATGTTGGCCAGGCTGGTCTCAAACTCCTGACCTCAAGTGACCCACTTGCTTTGGCCTCCCAAAGTTCTGAGATTACAGGTGTGAGCCACCATCCCTGGCCAGTTTTTTGTTTTGTTTTAAGTGTTATAAATGGGATTGCCTTCTTGATTTCTTTCTCAGCTAGACTGGTGTATAGAAAGGCTATGAGTTTTTATATGTTGACCTTGTTTTTGTCCTGCAAAATTACTGAATTTATCAAATCTAAGTTTTTTAGTGACGTCATTAGGTTTTTCTAGATATAAGATCATATATGCAAAGAAGAACAATTTGAATTCCTCTTTTCCAATTTGGATGCCTTTTCTCTTTCCTTATTGCCCTGGTTAGGACTTTCAGTACTGCTGAATTGGAGTGGTAAGAATGCACATCCTTGTCTCATTCCAATTTTTAAAGGAAAGACTCAACTTTTCTCTGTCTAGTATGTTAGCAGTGGGTTTGTTGTATATAGTTTTTATTATTTATTCTATGTCTAGTTTGAGTTTTATGAAGGGATGTTGAATTTTATCAAGTTCTTTTTCTGTGTCTCTTGACATGATCATATGGTTTCTCTCATTCTGTTGATGTGACATTTATTTGCATATATTGAACCATCCTTGCATCCCTGGTATTAAAATCCCACTTGATTATATCTTTTTGACGTGCTGTTGGATTCAGTTTGCTAGTATCTTGTAACAGGTTTTGGCATGTATGTTTGATATGGTTTGGCTGTATCCCCACCCAAATCTCATCTTGAATTCCCACATGTTGTGGGAGGGACCTAGTGGGAGGTAATTGAATCGTACGGGCGAGTCTTTCCCCTGCCATTCTCATGATAGTGAATAAGTCTCATGAGAGCTGATGGTTTTAAAAAGAGGAATACCCCTGCACAAGCTCTTTGCCTGCTGCCATCCATGTAAGACATGACTTACTTCTCTTTGCCTTCTGCCATGATTGTGAAGCTTCTCCAGCCATGTGGAACTGTAAGTCCATTAAACTTCCTTATTTTGTATGTTTCCCAGTCTCAGGTATGTCTTTATCAGCAGCATGAAAACGGACTAATACAATGTTCAAGGATACTGGACTGTAGTTTTGTGTCCTTGTTTGGTATCAGGGTGAAGCTGCCCTCATAGAATGAGTTAGGAAGAATTTCCTCCTCTTTGGTTTTTTGAATAGTTTCAAAAGCACTGATACTAGTTCTTTGTACATTTGGTAGAATTCAGCTATGAATCCAGCCAGTCCTGGGCATCTCTTTGTTGGAAGACTTATTACTGATTCAATCTCATTACTCATTATTGGTCTGTTCAGGTTTTCTACTTCCTGATTCAGTCTTGGTAGGCTGTGTCTCCAGGTCTCTGATGTTGTGTTTCATATCAGTTGTAACGTCCTTTTCACTTCTGATTTAGGTCTTCTCTCCCTGACTAGTTAGCAGTTTAACAATTTTACCTTTTTAATAAACTGACTTGTTAATAATTTTATGTTTTAAAGTCTTCATTTAATTGTTTTCTTCTGTTAGTTTTTGTTAGTTTTAGTCTTCATTTGATTCAGCTTTTTCTCTTCTGCTACTGGGGGGGGGGGTTGGCTTATTTTCTCGCTTTCCTACTTCAAGCTGCATTGTTACACTTAATTTATAATCTCCAGCTGAAGCAGGAGAATCACTTGAACTTGGGAGGCGGAGGTTGCAGTAAGCCCAGATCGTGCCACTGCACTCCAGCCTGGGCAACAGAGTGAGAATCTGTCTCCCTGAACCCCCCACCCCCCCTTTGTTGATGAAGTCTCCATTGTTGATGAAGGAATTTAATGCTATACACTTCCCTCTTAGCACTGCTTCTGCTGTATCCAGCAGGTTATGTTTCCATTTTCATTTGATTTTAACTCCACCTGTCGATAATTCTCCTAGTGAGTTTTGTACATGTATTACAATGAATGCTTACTGTTTTCTAATACCTTAAACTTTTCAGCTTGTCCCACTTTTTACTGCGGGTATTAAATCCTATTTTTATGTAATATCTATCTTCTTAACATGGCAAGAAATTTAGCATAATCTTACATCCTTTCCCTCCCCCCCACATCTTCATGATTAATGTTATAGATTAATTCTGGATTATTGTAAATTTAAGATTGTCTTAAAAAATAGCTAAGATAAAAAAATGCATCTGATCATTGTTCTTGTAGTATATCCTAGATTTATATATTTTTCTGTAAGTATAGTGCTTCATCCAAAACTGCTTTTGACTTGAATAATAAGATGGAATAAGAGGTCTCCAGCCTGCTTCCCCCCAAACAATGATCAGCAGCAAACTCTGGACAAAAGTGTCCTTGTGGGATCATTGAAATAAAGGTAAGGGTTACAAAACCCTGATTATACCCCAGTGGCAGGCTTGCCAAATGTGGTACTAGCTGTAGACCAAAGATATCCCCATCATGCTAGATACTCATCCCCAGACTCATTTGCCACAGTCTCATAACCACACCCATCTGCCAGAGGACTTCAGAGTAGCCACGTTCATCTGTGTCCCTAGTAGCAGGCTCACTGACCTCAGATCCAACTATAAATTTTGAAGTAACCCTGTGACTTAGCTCCAGCTCTGTTCTACCATGACCCACAGTCAGTCCTTCTCACTCAGGGGTCTAGCAGGAGACATGCTTTTCTGCTCTGGTAAATAAGCCCACCAACGTCAAGCCAACTGTAGATCTTCAAAAGCAACCCTGCAGCCTATCTCCAGCTCAACTCTGATCTTAAAGCCCATCTTGATTTCCTAGGGATCTACTCAGGAGGAGCACACTTGTTCATACTCTTTGTAATGGGCTACTATCTGCAGAGTTAACTTTGGAACTAGAAGTGGCTTCATGACCTGGCCCTTCTCCTACTCAACTATGGTCCCATATAGGAAGTCCCTGTTCATCTGGGGATCTAGCAGAAACGAGGCCCACATATGGTTCATTAACAGGCCTGTCAACCAGGGACCAAGCTGCAGACCCAGTAGCAGCCAGATGTCCTGGGCTCTAGCCCCACTTGACTGTGATCCTGGAGGCAGTATCATCAATTCATGGACCTGGCAGAAGAAGGTCTTTACCTGACAAAGCCAGTGTGTTAAGATAGGAAGAAGTGTTTGCTCCTTAAAATGCAAGGCCATCAACACAAGACTACATAAATCATGATCAAATGAATATGACACTGAAGGCAACTAATAAAGCTCAAGTAACCAATCTTCCCAAAATGAGGATCTATTAGTTGCCTGAAAATATTCATAATTGTTTTAAGGAAGCTTAGTGAGCTGCAAGAGAAAAGACAACTCAATAAAGTCAGGAAAATACTTGAATAAAATGAGAAGTTCAATAAGTAGAAATCATTTTTAAAGCCAAATAAACATTCTGGAGCTGGAGAATACAATGGATGAAATGAAATGCAAGAGGGAGCTTCAACAAAATTGATCAAGCAGAAGCAAGCGTCTGAATTTGAAGACTGGTAATATAAAATTATCTAGTCAGAGGAGAAGAAATAAAGTGTACGGGATTTGTGGGACAATATCAAGAGAACCAATGTATGCATTAGAGGAGTTCAAAAGGGAGAAGAGAAAGGGGGCAAAAAGCTTAAAAAAATGGCTGAAAACTTCCCAAATCTGGAGAGGAATATGGACATTCATACCTGTGAAGTTTCAAACATAACCCCAAAAGATTACATAGACATTATAGTTATCAAAAGTGAAAGACAAAAGTTTGGAAGTCAGCAAGAAAAAAGTGAATCATCTCATACAAGGAAGATCTCAAAGCTATCAGCAAATTTCTCAGAATACTTCCAAGGCCAGAAGAGTGTCACAGAATATATTCTAAGAGCTGAAAGAAAAAAAAAAAACTGTCAACCACGACTACTACACCTGGCAAAGCCGTCCTTCAAAAACGGAGAGATAAGGACTCAAAAAAATCTGAGGGAGTTTACGGTCAATTGATCTTTGATGTTATAGTCAGGTGCCAGGAATACACAATGGAAAATGAATAGTATCTTAAATGGTTTTGGGAAAACAAGATATTCACATCCAGAAGAATGTAAATAAGCCATTTTCTCACATCATAAAAAAAACCCCAAAATGAATTAAAGACTAAAAGACCTATAACCTTGAAACTACTAGAGGAAAACGGGGGAAAAAGCTCAGTGACATTGGTCTGTAGAATAATATTTTGGGAGGCTAAGACATCAAAAGCACAGACCATAAAAGGATAGACAAATAGAACTGCATACAACTAAAAGGCTTCTGAACAGCAAAGGAAACAGTAAAAAGGCAGCAGTACTGGTAGTTAAGAGGAAGTTTTCTAGAAACAGCTGCATTAGTTGGTGCCCTATTTTTCTGCAGTTTCTCACGAGCACAGGGCTTCTGCACTGCCCTGGTTTTAATCGTGAGGATGCTGCACATTTGTCATGAAACAGATACTCTTATTCATGCTCCTCTATTCTCCCACAGCATATGCACATCAACAGTTCCTCCCTTCTGCCTTTAGAGTTTCATCACTTTTGACATTTTCCTGCTTGTTTTTATAGTATTAATCTCGTAGGAAGGAATGAACACCTGTTAGTTTAGCCCCTCGGTAGGCCCTGTTGGCTTAACATCTCTCTTCCTTCCAAACCTATATGAGAGGGTTAGATATTACTCACCCAACTTCAGATAGGAGAAATTAAGGCTTATGGGGTTCAGTGACCAGCCCAAAGGCCACAATGTCCTCCACACTGACTGTCCTACTTAAGTCTGAGCCAGTCCTCCCTGACATTCTACCTGCAAAGGTCTTGAGCACCTCCCTTCTACTTTTCCACCCATCCCCCAAGATAAAGAAACAATGGCTTGGCAGGGAACCATATTCTTATCAAGCACCCTGCCATGGCTATCAAGATGATACCCCTTTTCACACAGTTTTAACTACATTTCCCAAGCAGGCTAAATGGAGTACAGAGTAACTGCCATGGGGCTCTGCCCCAGGTAGGTTTCCAATGAAATATGTGTATCAGTCCCAGCCAGATAAGAGTGGAACCAAGGCAGGAAGAATTAAGTAACTATTTGATGAATTCAAACTGATCTTGGTCTTCACTGCATGATCTCTCCTATCCACAGAGAATCCTCGAAGCTCATGGGTCCTCCCTAATTCAGTATCTTACACCCTAACATTTTTCCATCTTCTCTCTTCCCTTTTCAAAATTTTGTCAGTCCCACGTTCCATCTTTAAGGAAACATCTGTACTGCCAGGAATAATAGATTCTAGGTTAATAGCTTTCCCCTTCAACATAGGTACTTTATCAGGTGTTATCTGGTCCAAAGACTTTCAAAATTCTTTAAGAGTGGTAGAAATATTAAGAGGTAGATAGGTAGATAACCTGAGAGTACATTTTAAATATTGATTTTTTTTGACCTTGGATTGATTCTTACACGCTACTGGCATGGAAGAAACAGCCTAATAATTGGGGTCAGGAGGAAGGGCCTCTGGGGCCCTCAGCATGCCTGCAGGAACAAGTCTGAGCACAGGCAAGAACTAGAGAGATGATGTGGCTTCCTCATTTCTAGACCCCGAGGCTGTTCAGTCCCATACTGCACAAACCTTCAGGCTTTTAAGGTCTGCCTGTACTCCTTGAGAGACTCCAGGAAGGAAGCAGGAGGAGGCCTGGTAGATCTACACCACAGCTTTGAGCAGCTTACTCAGAATTTTTGGGTTGGCCATCAGCTGCATGGGGTGTCCAGCCTCACAATGGCTTTACTGGCAGCTTCCCGTAATCCTCTGCATCTGACTAAAGTGGGAACAGAGAGGTAGGTCTTGGAAAGTCACTGAATGGGGTACCTCCTTTTATTCTCCTACCCCTACTGGCAGCTGTCCAAACTCCAGCCATTCCCAAAACGTGGCAGGAATCCAAATACCACTGAGTGTACACAGATGCTGCTCCTTCTACCTAAAGCTTATCTAAATAACACCTCCTAAATTCATTTCAGCTATCATCTGTGAAGTCTTCTAGTAATCCCTTTCTGGCCAGCTTTCCAAGAGTGGGAGCACTATTCTTTCCTACTACAGTTATCTGAACTGTAAGATGTAGAACACCTGTCCTATTGTATGGCCTTTGATAACTGCTTCACTTTCTAAGCAGAATTTCTTAAACACAAGGAATCTCCCTTCGTCTCTCAAATCCCCAGTGCCTAGCATGGTAGCATTCTCTAAGTGCGTTCATATGATATTTCTCCAGGTAGCCTGTAGGTTACAATTCTTTCAGGGTCCCTTTCCTCATTCCATCAGGCCTAAGGGTGATCACAGCTCCACTGTTGCTAATCACAGTTCAGCACACCTCACCCTTGCTTTGTAAAGGGTCCCCTTATAAACCTCCTCCAATTCTCCTAATACGTGGGAGCTGTCAGTTGAAAATTTGACTAATATTTACGATAGTTATAATATAGTTAGCTTATAAAATATAGGTGTTATATAGTTATAATAGTTTATATCATAGTTAAATATACTTAATAGTTACACATATATTTTTAGTTTAATGTTTTATTCCTATAACATTTCTTCTGAAAAATAGGGGGCCTGTGATCAGACATAGCATATCAGAGAAAGTAAGAAGACAGAAGAAGCCACTTGGCCTGTTAGGGGTGTTAGGCTCTACTCCCGGGGGCAAGTATCCATTTCTGGTGGTAGGTAGCTACATCAGATCTGGCTCCAGACCCCATCAACCATGGGGTTGGCCCATCTGCATCCATGGTTTGATGGTACCCACCAGGATCTGGCCCAACTATGGCAGCAGCCCCATTCAGGCTCTGTATGGCAAGGGCACCAAACAGCAGCCACTGCCCAGGCCACCCACCCTGAGTGCTCGGTCAGCGAGGGCACGTGAGGGAGAGGAACAGAATCTGCAACTGTGTGGGCTCCAGGTAGGTGCCTTCCTCTGAGATCTCATCTGGGGAAACTGCAGCCACCCAAAGGGTGCTTGTTAGATATTTAAATTTCATTTGCAAGAGCAGTAGGAAAGATGCAATTAGGTCTTATACGAAAAGATGCTTCTGAGGAGAGCGAGTTCCTTCTGTATCCGGGAAGACTATTCTCTCCCTTCCAAGTCCCTCCACTGGGCAGCATCTTCCGAGAGACTTAATTGCCCCTTAACCTGCATCTGCAGGTAGCCTGGGTAGGACACCAGCTGGAGATGTAACAAGATCTGTCAGGAATGAGGCGGGGAGTGGAGAAGGAGTGGAGCACAGGGTCTGAGACAAAGAAATAGGCTCTTGCAGTTTGGGCGGATTATATACAATGGGAAATACTGGTTGGTATTCATTAGTGTTTTACAGTTTATGAAACACTCTCATATTCACTCTTATCAGACCTTCATCGGATCTGGGAAATCCGTTGTAAATTAAGCATGCTGAGAGTTTTGAGAGCATTTCCCTGAAGTTACAGACTGCAATCCAAGTCTGATGACACATCTTTCTGTGCTCTAGGTCACACCTCTGGTGGCCCGCCTCGGTCCCCCCAGCCCACCTTTACTCTAGCTACAGCTGTCATACCAACTCCGGCACTGGAACCGCACATCTCACATTCTGCCCAGGGCCTTCTTTCACTTCCGGCTTTTGCAGGCACAGCTGAAAGCAGCACAAGCAATGAGCAGTTAATGACCAACGAGGTGACTTGACCAACCAGGTGACTTGACCAACTAGGAAAGGGAGCCAGGAAGTAAGTATTCCCCTCTTCTGACCCTTGAACAGACAATTCTGGGGTGGTTGTGGGACTGCTACAGCTCCTGGAGAATCCCTGCAAAAACATACCTCCCTTGTCCTCAGTGGTAACAAGCTTGCTACACCACACACTTAATTTTGGATGCCCCTCCCTCCTTCCTGGTTTCACTTAATTTGTTTCCAAACTCAGTTTCCTGGAATCACTCCTCAGACTGCATTGAACCCACACCAGCCCTCACCATCAGGCTTTCATGCATGTCTTTCACGCATGGACCACAGTTCCTTCTACCAGGTCAAGCGGTAGGGGTAGGAGAAGGACTGATACAGATGCTTTGCCAGTTACTACCTGTGTTCATTTCCTGTGGTTGCTAGAGTACATCGCCACAAATTGGGTGGCTTAAAATAATTTGTTCCATCAGTGTTGAGGCCAGAAGTCTGAGATTAAGGGATGGCCAGGGCCATGCCTCCTCAAAGCTCTAGGGAGGATTCTTTCCTTGCCTCTTCCAGCTTCTGATGACTCCGGGTGTACCCTGGCTTGTTGCGGCATAACTCCAAGCTCTGCCTCCACCTTCACATGGCCTTTTGTGTGTCAGATATCTCACTTTTCTTATAAGGCTGCTTGTCATCAAATTTAGGGGTCATTCTAAATTCAGGATGATATCATCTAATTTTCAAAGATTCCATATCCAAAAGGTCATATTCACAGAGTTCTGGGGGTTAGGACTTTTACATACTTTTGAGGAGGGGTGGCTATTCAAACTTATTATCTGTACTATACTACCTCTTTGTACAAAATACGAAAATAGCCAAGAGTCTCAGGATCTGAAAACCTAGAATAAAAGGTAGGTGAAAAGAAGGTGTGAGCCCAAAGACAGTGCTAGAGGAAGACAAGACAGCTGGAACAGTGTGGATATGTGACCAAAATCAGAGGCTGAGAAGCAGCCTGGTATGCCCAAAGTGTGCATACCTCACCTGGAACCTGAGGCCAGGGCCTGCAAGTAGGAGCAAGGCACCAACAAACTGGCCCTTGAAGCTCTCAAGGGTACATAGGTCCCATCCAGGTCACTCTGCACCTTCATGAAAGAGCAGAGTGCACAAACCTAGGAGTGTGGACTAGATTGCTGTGAGTGGAAGCAGACCACTGCTAGGAGTCTGAAAAGTTCAAGCCCAAAAGAAGAAACGGGTATCTTCCTCTGGACTAAATGGTGGCAGTGTATCAATGATATGGAAAAACTAAGCTCCCAGATTTTTTTCCAGAGAGAAAAAAGGAATACAAGATTGAGAGCCTGAGTAGAAGGGAAAGAAATGGAGGAGACAGAACAGACTATGAGCATTGGCACTCTAAGAGTTGGGCACTGTGGTAGGAGCTGTCCCAAATCTAATTAAAGATGTGTAAGAATACAACTAGAAATTTAAGTGGCACAAATTATAGACACATATACTGTTATATACTATATAAGACTCAGAAAAGCATAAATTTTGCCTGTAATTAAGCTAAACAAAAAAGCCAGTTATATTTAGTGTTTGCAAAAATGGATTTGTACTCATGTTTATAATTCATCACATTTTGTATTTTCCCATGTCAAAGTACATTTCAACATTATTTTTTTATGGCCATAGAGCATTCTGTTTTGAGCTACCATAATTTAACTATACTGCTGAGCATTTAAGTTCTATTTCTATATTTTTCTATTATAAGCACTGCAATGAGTTTTTATATACTTGCTTAATGACATGAGACAAATTTTCAGTAGAATTTGCTGAGTAAAAGGAGGTATGTGTATTTGTTCCCTTCAAGTCTAATTCTCTTTTATTGGGGTAAAATTTACGTATAGAGAAATGCATAGATCTTCCGTGTACAACCTAATGAATTTTAACAACTGTATATGCCTGTTTAACCACCAAACACTCAATATATAAACTACAGCCACGTGTGGCTTAATGATGGGGATTTGTTCTGATAAATGCATTAGGGGATTTAGTCATTGTGCAAACAGAGTACTTAAACCTAGATGGTATAAGCCTACTACACAACTAGGCTATATGACACAGCTTATTGCTCTGGACTACAAACCTATACAGCATATTACTGAATATTGTAGGCAGTTGTAGCATAATGGTAAGTATTTGTATATTTAAATGTATCTAAACATAGAAAAAGATATGGTATCAATCTTACAGGACCAACTCATTTGGTCCATCGTTGACCAAAACATCATGTGGTACTTGACTATTTCTACTACTCAGGAAACCTCCCTCACACTCTTAGTAGTTATTTTCTATTCTGACACCTTATAGGCAAATCCTATTCTAATTTCTATCACAACAGGTTTTGCCTGTCCTTGAACTTTACACAGAATCACAGCTTCTCTTTCGTGTCTGGCTTTTACTGGAAAAAAAAAAAGTTTTGAGATTCATCTTGTCACATGTATCCGTTCTTGCTATGATTTGAATGTGTCCTCCAAAGTTTGTGTTGGAGACAATCCCCAATGCAACAGTGCTGAGAGGTGGGACCCTTAAGATGTCATTAGGTCACAAAGACTTTGCCCTTTTGAATGCATTAATGCCATTGTCATGGAATAGAGTTGGTTATCACTGGATTGTGTTTCTGATGAAAAGGATTAGTTTGGACCCCTTCCTAATGCTCCCCTCCCATCTCCCTTCCATATTCTTGCCATATGCTTTCCACATTATGACACAGCAAGAAGCCTTCACCAGGTGTGGTCCCTTGACAGACTTCCCAGCCTCCAGAACTGTAATAAATCTCTAAAGTTACCCAGTCTCACATATTCTGTTATAGTAACACGAAATGGACTGGCAATTTATTAGTTTGTATTTTTGTATTTTGTTTTTATTCCTTGTAGGGAAGACACAGTTTGCCTTTGTTATTTTCTACACTGTATGACTGTATCACAGTTTGTGACCCTGCTCCACAGTCTTGGCTTACCGGCTTACAGAGGGTAGTAGAAAATCTCTTAAGTCCTGGAATGACAGTCTAAAGGGCTCTTCAATGATCAGAATTTTTGTGTCCTCCCAAAATTCATGTTGAACCCTAATTATCAATAAGTTGTTAGGAGGTAGGACCTTTGGTAGGTGATTAGATCATGAGGGTGGAACCTTCATGATGTATGAGATTTTTGCCCTTACAAGAGAACCCCAGCCCCAGACAGCTGCCTCACCTCTTCTACCAGCAAGAAACTATATCTATAAGCCAGAAAATGGGACGTCAGACAGCAAATATACTGGTGCCTTAATCTTGAACTTCCCAGCCTCCAGAATTATGAGAAATACATTTCTGTTTATTAGCTATCTAATCTAAGGTATTGTTATATCAGACTGAATGGATGCAAAATTGGTGCTGAGAAGTAGGATAGGTGCCCCTGCAACAAATACCTAAAATGTGGAAGCAGCTTTGGAGCTAGATAGTGGGTAAAGACAGGAAGAGTTGAGGTTCGTGCTAGAGAAAGCCTGCATTGCCATGAACAGACTGTAAAGGGTGATTCTGGTGGGGACTTGTAAGGAGTAGGAGAGCTATAGAGAAAGGCTCAGTCTTCTTAGAGAATACTTATATGCTCATGAACAGAATTCTGATAGAAATATGAATGGTAAAGGCCATTCTGATGAGCTATGAGATGCAGAAAATGTTCTTGGAAACTGGAGGAAAAGCGATCAGTCACAAAGAACTTGACTGAATTATGTTTATCTTCTAGTGTTTCGTGGAAGGTAGAATTTGTGAACGATGAAATAGGATATTTGGCTGAAGAAATTTCTAAGCAAAGTGTCGAAGGTGTGACTTGGCTTCTCTTGAATGCTTAAATGCACAAAGAAACAATTTAAAGATGAAATTTGTAATCAAATGTAATTGATTACAAAATGTAATCCAAACTTAAGTTTGGGAAATTATCAGGAATGAGAAAGCTTGTTTAGGAGAAAACAAGGGGATGACCATCTGATAAAGAGATTAGTCAGTAACCTAAAGAGAAGCCAGGACTTACTGTCCCAGGCAATGGAAGATAAGCCCTGAAGACAGTTCAGAAATCAAGGTACCACCCAATCACAGGCCCAGAATGCAAGGGTCTATGGAGCCAGGATGATTTTAAAGGAGGGGCTGCTATAGTGGTCCCACCTCACATCATAGGCTCCACTCCCTGAGCTCCATTGCCACACACGTTGTCTATGCTAGGTGCAGTGTGCACTGTACCAGGAGAAGCTATGGAGGTATGGCAGCCTCTACCTAAGATTGCCAAGGATGCCCCAGAAAACTGTGGGGTAGGGCCCGTCATAGAAAGCCCCTACCAGGGCAATGCCCAGCAGAGTCATGGGGGATAAGCCATTCCTAAGACCACAAAACTGGTAGAGCTACTGGTATGCAATTCTAGCCTAGAAGAGCCAGCCACCCACTATAACCCACGAAAGCTGTGGCATGGGCTGTACCTAGCAAAGTCATGAGGGTGGTGCCACTGAAGGCCTTGAGGGTCCAACTTCCACCTTAGTGGGTCTAGAGGTGGGACATCAAGTCAGAGAAAGATTCTGGAGCCTTAAGATTTGTTGTTTGCCCTGTTGAGCTTTGGACTTGCTTGGGCCCCAATACCTTTTTCTTCCCTATTTCCTTATTTTAAAATGGAAATGTCTATCCTCTCTCCATCCCTCCAGTGTGTTTTGGGTGCATATAACATGTTTGATTTCATAGGTCACAGCTGGAGAGCAATGTGCTCTAAGATGAATCATTCCTTGAGTCTCATCCATATCTGATTTAGATAATATTAGATGAGACTTTGAACTTCAACTTTGAAGTTGATACTGGAATGAGTTAAGAATTTTGGCACTATTGAGATGAATGAATACCTAATGTGAGAAGGATAAGTTTTAGAGGTCCAGGGATGGGATACTATCATCTGTTTTCCCCAAATTTGTATGTTGACACCCAATCACCAATGTGATATTAGAAGGTAGAGCCATTTGGGAGATGATTAGGTCATGAGGATAGAGCCTTCATGAATGGGATTAATGCTCTTATAAAAGAGACCCCAGAGATCTACCTTTCCATTTCCATCATGTGAGGATATAGTGAGAAGGCATCATCTATGAACTAGGAAGTAGTCCCCTACCATTATCTTGATCTTGTACATCTCAGCCTCAAGAACTGTGAGAAATACATTTATAAGCCATTCTGCCTATGATATTCTGGTACAGCAGTTTGAACACGTTGATTCCTATGTATTTGCCCCTGAAAACAACAAGTTAGAGATGATACCCAAAGGAACAGGCATTCACTCATGGTCTTATGGTTCTATAGGATCTGAGTCTCCTTGGCAGCCTTGAGTCAGAAATAGCTCACTTACAACAGTAAGATGGGAAGGGAGTAGAGGAGAGAACTGAATACATAAGGGTTAGACTTCTAGATAATAGAATTTCCCCCGCCTGATGATTTAACAACTCCAATACTCCAGGGGGCAGTAACTCTGGAGGAGGTTGGTTAATTATTGCCAGGCTGAGGAATCAAGTTTCCCCAAGACCCCAGTTTTCTGGGCTGCATTTCATACCAATTAAAAATCTAATCCAATGGGACCCCTTACCCAGCAAGTTAACTTCATGGACTTTGGTGAACTGATGCTTTTAATAGACTTGTATTTTGGTGGACTCTGCCACAGCTGTAACTCCTCCTCAATCAAGTCAGCAAGACCAGATCTAGGGAACAAGGGCCACTGGCACAAGGTGGGACAGAGCAGTGAGGGTGGAGAAAAGTAGGGAGTTAGAAAAAGCACTTTGGGGGATCATTCATTTTTTTGACCAACTATTTATGGTTAGCAGCAACTGACTGGGAGTCAGTTATTCTATAAGATTTCATTCAGTTAATTGGGTTTTAAATGCCAGACACTGGGGATAGATTTTTCAGGAGCTAGGAGTTTATAGGGGAAAAACCTCTGGTACCTCCACATACCCTCAAATACACATATTCATGCCCTAGACTATGCCTCATTTCTCCATTTTACAGTTGTACCTATGAACTAAAGCCTTATGTCTAGAATGTTTTGGTTAATCACTTGCCCCTCCCAGGAACGTTTCTACTTTAAGTTATGATCCAGTCATAGAACCCAGGTAGAGAGCTGGAATAAGAGACAAATGGGGCTAATGGAGACAAACCACCATAATGTGTTGAGAGTCATATGGCATTTAAGAAATGGCTTGGGTGATACACTAGTTAGGATTTGACTCCTGCTTCTAAACATAAAACAGATACTTTGACAGAAGTGCCACAATGGACAAAATTCTAAGATGCACTATTTTCTTGGCTTATGATTTCTAATGTAATTTTAACAAGTATTTATGGTATAGCTGTGACACCAGCACTGTGGGGGTGGAAGAGGGTATACAGAAGGAATAGAAACTCTGGCTAAAAAACCACCATTTCTAGTCTGAAGGATGGCCCTATAAAATTTAGACTATTTGGTTGCCTTAATTTCAGATGGAGCCATTTCTAGAAATTATTTCAGGGTTTAAGCCCATGCAGACATCAGGAGTTAGGGTTGATAAGACTGGGGTAGCTCATGGAATTCCAGATGTCAGACTAAGTAGCTTTAACACTGGCCCCTATTTTCTGAATCAAAAAATCAGGGACCTAGGGTTTGAAGTAGTATGTTCACTCCTACTACAACTTCAGTCCATTCTGTTATAAAACTGATTCAGGCACAAAAGCAGCTCTGACCACCAACCACCTCATTGGGGATAAGATTATGATGGAGACTATCCAGCTGTCCCTCATTTGGTGGTGGGGAGGGAGTTGGAGGTTTTAGATAAGTCTGTATATAAGGCATCTAGTAAATTACCCAAAGATGATCTTGGAGAAAAGACATTGGAACATCTTCATCCTTGCAAATAGAAAAAATGGTAGCTCGAGTGCCTTGAGCTTCCTGGAGCTAGGCAAAGACAGCTTTTTGCTGTAGGCTGGTAACACTGTAAATACAAAATGACAGGCTATGACAGAAAAAAAATAATGAAAAACTGACCCTAATTAATTTTATACAGTCATTCAGGTGTGTGGTGAATATTCCTATTGTGATGGTTAATATTAAGTGTCAACTTGCTAGAAGGATGCAAAGTATTGTTTCTGGGTGTGTCTGTGAGGGTGCCAGAGGAGATTTACATTTGAGTCAGTGGACTGAGAGAGGCAGACCCACCCTCAGGTCTTGGTGGGCCCCAATCAGCTGCCAGCACTGCTAGAAAAAGCAGGTGGAAGAAGATGGAATGAGTTGACTTGCTGAGTCTTCTGGCCTTCATCTTTCTCCCATGCTGGATGATTCCTTCCCTCGAACATCAGACTCCAGGTTCTTTGGCTTTTGGACTTACACCAGTGGTTTGCCAGGGAGTCTCGGGCCTTCGACTACAGACTGAAGGCTGCACTGTTGGCTTCCCTGTTTTTGATGTTTCAGGACTTGGAGTGAGCCACTACAGGCTTCCTTGTTCAACTTGCAGATGGCCTGTCCCTGGGACTTCACCTTGTCATTGTGTGAGTAGATTCTCCTTAATAAACTCCCTTTCATATATGCATATATCCTATTAGTTGTGTCTCTCTGGAGAACCCTGACTAATACACCTATTTTGTGCTAGACTGCCTCCCTCCAACCTCCCTGAATGTTCTGTTCCTTGAATTCACCCTTCTCTTCCTTCACAAACAAGGCAGCCTGTGAAGGAAGAGAGCATGGTTTTAACAAATATTTATGGTATAGCAGTGTGGTGGTCCATCCTAGGGGTGGGAAGGCTGAGAGGAAAACAGCATAAATAGGAAGATGAGAGAATCCCCCCTGAACCTTCTCAATAAAATTTGCTGCCCATTCCACTCAGCAGCTTCCATAATAGTTCACTGGGCCAGGCATTTTCCACGAGCTCTGCCTTATGCTCCAAAGGTCAGAACTGTAATTGCTTCTTCCCTCTAAGGACCCTGACATTTACAGAGCCCAACTATGAGCTCAAGCTCACCTCCAGCAGCCAAGATGGCTCCCAGGAGTCCCTCCATTCAAACATGCATTTTCTGAGCACAAACATGGATCACATTTATCAAAACATCTTGCTTGTCACTAGGGACTAAAGATGAGAGTACTGCCCTTGAGGGAGCTTATAGTCTTACATTGAAGTTTGCCACCTCGGCCTGCTTTCTGGTTCTCTTTTCTATCAAAATTTGGCCATTCCCACTAGGTTCCACAAAGATTCACCACAGCTCTACTGAAATGGGACATATGAGGGCATCGATGCTAAAGATTCACCTTGTGCCCCAAGAATTATCTGTATTCCTTTCTAGGGCAAAACAGTAAACTCCTTGTCCCCATATATAATTCACTCTCAGGTCCCCAAGGTATACCTTCAGCAAAGTTGATCTTCTTCCTTTCTTCCCATGACAATTATTGCTGTGAAGTTATTTAAGTTGGGGATGAATTACAAACACAGAAGTCACAGGAGTCTAATAATCTAGGCAAAGAACTAAGGGAGACGTCCTAAGGGGCTCTAAATTTAAGGAATCCTATCACACCCTTAGCACCTCCCGTCTGTGCCACGTATCTCCACCTTGGCATCTGCCTTGCTCCTTTCCTATCCACGATGACACCTCAAGTGCCACCTCTTATTAAAGGTCCCATCCAACTCAGAGGGAGGAGGTGGAGCGGTACTTCCATGTACCAATAAACAGAAAGCTAATAGGATTGATACAAAAGTGATGCCACTGGATGTAATTTAATACAGTAGCAGCAATTGGTAAATGATATTTACCTATAAAAAACTGGTCACCATTTTCAAATTAAAAATTCAGAGTTTCCCATGTGAACATCACTCATGACTCTCCTCTGCTCCTTCTTACCAGCTCAGTTCCACTGAACTGCCATGTGTCTGGCATCAGTGGTTATACACAGAGGGAGGAGCCCTGTGTAACAGGCCTATCACATTACCTGGGGGACAAGCACCTTCCCGCCTCCACCAAAACAATGACATTCTAAATACACTTGGGTTATCTGCAGTATATTCATGGAAGGAAATATGAGGGTCAGGGGATGTAGAGAATCTGTCAACACTATGAAATCTCAGCCAGGCCCAGATTGAAGTGGCAGTGAGCCATCCTAGGTTTTTCCGCCTGAATTTCAACCTGAGCCCTTCTCAGAAATTGTGATTTTGCTACTCAAGGAGTTTTACTTCTATTAAGATAGGAGCGATTAACATGCCTTCTGAATTTGAATCAAGAGATCAAATTAGTTTGTGGACAGAGATAATGAACTTAGTCAATATTAATAAAGAAAGTAAACTGCAGAAATGGGTATCTTATATATGAAAATGTCAGTAGCCGTAAGATATTGATAAGAACCTCTATGCAAAGATGTAGTTCTCAGTTTCCCTCAAATCTTCCCAATAGGTTGTATCCTCCCTTGTAGGGGCATGGGGAAATCATTGCATAAAAGTAGGCATATTTTGTTCAAGTTGATATTTGGATAAAGTAAAAGTAGGCAGGGTTTTGCTAAACTTTGAGACAGGATCTTACCATGTTGCCCAGGCTGGACTTGAACTCCTGCACTTAAAGGATCCTCCCGCCTGAGCCTCCCAAGTAGCTAGGACTACAGTCATGTGTCACTGTGCCTGGCAAATCTTGTGGTGTTTCACTTGGTTGTATTTTTTTTTTTTTAGTTTTGAGAAAGCATCTTGCTATGTTGATCAGGATGGTCTCAAACTCCTGGGCTCAAGTGGTCTTCCCATCTCAGCCTCTGGAATAGCTGGGATTACAGGCCTGCACCACCACATGATGCCAAGAACTTTGCTAAGCCTTTAACCAAGAACACCTCTCCCCACCGATCCTGTGGGTAGAGGGAAAGGCAGGACTGTCTGGTAACAAGAAAACTCTCCTCAAATGGGCAGTGGCAGACATCCACACAGCAGCTCCCCCTCAAATGGACTTCTCAGGGACACAGATGCCAGACTCATCTTAAGAATCTAGAAAAGTCAATTTATCTAAGACTAAGAGGTGGGTATTTCAGGATAAGTTGATTAAGAATACCTTGCTCCCTGCAGCAATATGTGCCCTGGTTCTGGGACTTGAGTCTTCAACAAATAGCCAAATGGACCCTTGGCAGGTTTCCTTGGAACAGGTCCCCAGTCCCAAATCCCATGACCCCACTATGGCACGGTTTGAGGGCTGCACTGCTCCTCCTTGAGATCTTTGGAGACAAAGTATAGGTGTGCATACAGAGAAGGGGGCCTGGTATTCAACAATCTATAATAGGGCTCAAAAGGGATTGACACAGCCAGGGACTTAGTTTATGTTTCCTCAAAGGATTCAATGCAGGTTTATTTGGGAGATACAGAGGAACTGGTAGGGACATAGGAAGTGATACAGAGAAGGGAAGGAGGCCAAAAAAGCTACAGAAAGGAAGGGCAACAGGAACTTACTTCCTTTTGGAGACCCTAGGTACTGGTGCAGAGTTAATGTCTCAGAATTATCTCTCCCAGGTCGGGTGTGTGTGTAAGAGGAAGTTGGGGTACTTATGTTCTTGCCAGTTACTGGTTGAGGGCAGCTCTAAGGTAATGTCAATTGCCTTATAATTTCAGAAAAAAGCTATCAGATGCAAATGCTGGCAAAAGTCAGCCCTGAGTACTCTAAAGGTCCAAGGAAAATAGGAGGGTCACTAACAGATTCTGTGTAGCCAGTTATATATACATACACACATATATACATATGTACACACATATACATATATACATATATACACATATACATACATATATACACATATATACACATACACACATATATACATATATATACACACACATGCACACACACGCACACACACACGTATACATCCAGAAGAGTCGCAAAAGCAGGGCTGGTAAAGGCAAGGTCAAGGCCTACGGCAAAAATAGAGGTCTATAGGACTTGCATAGGTCCTTTAACTCTCCCCCATACTTAGTCAATGATCCAAGAAATTCTTCTGAGAACATAACTCATTTTATAATTAGTAATTGGAAAATTGATTCACTAGTCACGTTAATAAAAACAAATCCATTCCTCTCATGAATCCTCCAACGTGAGAATCATCCTGTGATGCAGGTTAAATAGCAAGCCTTCTCCTGGTGCATTTACAGTGATTTAATCTGCGTAGGTTCAAGAACTTGTCTAGGGTGGGCATGGCTATGTGCAGAACCTCAATTTGTAATAAATTTCCTGGAATGTAATTTGTATTTTTCTTAGATTTGAAGGAGGTCAAAACATTTTTCATACCTATTATCCTACCTCACTACTAATGAAAGTCCCTGATTGGGCAGTGAGATACAACAAGGTTTTAACAGAAGAGATTTGGAAAAAAAAACTGAGTTTTTGGTCAGAATAAGGTTCACCCAAAGTCTAGTGGGTCTGAAAAACAAGATTTTCAGATCCCTCACAGGATTTGCACATCCCTCACAGGGTTTGAGGTGACCTTAGAACCTTCTTATCTGACTACCCATCCAAGACTGTCTCAAAACCCTTTACAGCAGCCCAGCCAAGCAATGATCCTGCAGCAGCTGTTGCTCAGTACAGGAGAGTCTGGTGACTCCTGGGGCATCCACTATTATTCAGACAGTACTTCGAATGTCCAGTGTGTCTCCCTTTAACTTCTAGTTCCTGGGCCATATAGTCCAACTTATATCCCTCTTCTGCCATATCTTAATCCATTTTCTGTAACTAACAGAATACTTAAGGTTAGAATGGGATGACAGTGACTACCACTTGGTGACCATGTACTGTGTGCTAGACATTCTAACAACATTGTACTTTAGTCCTCTTAGCACCCTTAGGAAATAGTTGTGAATCCCCATTTTATATATCAAAAAGCTGATGATTGGAGCGGAAATCATGAAAGTTGCCCAAATGCTCTTAGCTTGTAAGTAGTTAGGCTAAATTCTAACCCAAGATTGACTTGAAGGCAATATGATGGCTTCCACGACCATCCAGCTTCTTCCGAAAGCTTCAATTTCTTAAGCTCTTTCTTATAAGCCCCTTTTCCTGCCAGCTTACATTTCTCCCTCAATCCCATCTATCTCTGTCTTGCTTAATGTACTTCACCTCCAGAAGTCTTTCTTGGACTATATCCTATCTAGAATCATCATCTGGAATGTTACGCTTATCCAACTACCTTTGAAAGTATTAGCCTGCCTCCCATATTGACTCTGAAATTCTCTATCATAAAAGACCATTATCTCCCAACACATTTCTGTTGCTCTCACCCTGGGATAGGATGTTAATTTCAGCACCAAGACAATAATTTTGTCAGACTCCAAGCAAGTAAGCAACATTAGATCAGCATCTGTCAAAATAAAGTTAGCATGTACTGTGAATTGACTGATACAGTGAAATCAAGATTCCCACAGTTCAGTAATTCAGTCAAGGTACATTATATTCCAGATACTTCCTGTGCCACTTCCTGGCTTATAATGTATTGTGTTCTGAAATTCCATGGAATGCCTGTTCCTAAGGGCCAACATCAGATTTGGCATTGCCATCCATGGAAAACTGATAGATTTGGCAGACAGTTGTCCTCAGGCTTGGGCACCCAAAGGACCTTGCTTGAACCCATTAATATCTTGAATCCAAGAGGGCCATCATATGTGCCATGTCTTAATCCATTTTCTGTAACTAACAGAATACTTAAGGTTAGAATAATTTATAAAGAAAATTCTTATACAATTCTGGAGCTGAGAAGTCTAAAGCTGAGGGGCTGCATCTGGCAAAGGTCTTTCTTCATCATCCCGTAGCAGAAGGCATCACATGGTGAAAGGGCTTGTGAGAGAAGGCCAAACTGGCTTATGACAGACCCACTCATGACCCATTCCCCTCAAGAACCCAATCCATTAATCCGTGAATGGATTAATCTATTCATGAGGGCTGAGACCTCACAACTCAGTCACCTCCCAGAGGTCCCAACTCCCAACACTGCCACATTGGACCATGGCATACCACCAGTTCCAGCTACTTGCCCCAGTGAGGTGAGTAAGCCTCTGCCTCCACCCCATTCAGGCTCCTCAGGGAGCAGGACACTCGCAGGGGCTCTTTCCTCATTTTCCACTCTTGTTTGATCCACTGAATCACCTGTAGGGCAGCACTCTTGACCATACTGTTCATAGCAGAAGGCCAAGGAGTGGTGATTATTATGCCCACACTAGGGGCAAAGGCAGAGATTTCCATCTAATCATTCCATTCCGATGACTCAGGATTCATGTTAAATGAGCTCTTGGGGATTTCTTATTAGTCTCAGTCAGGATATCAAGAATGTGGCATTCCCATCTTAATAGATGAAAATTGGGCAGAATCATGCTGCTTTCAAACCACAAAGTCATACAGCAAGTAAGCAGCCAAGTGAGCCATTGGAATCAGCTATCTAAGCCAGATCGATGGCTTCCTCAGGCCACCTCAAGTCTGAGTGTCCAGTGTCTTAAATTGGGTTTTGACAGAGGAGACCCAAGCTCAAGATTTGAGCAAGTTATTTAGAGGGGAGCCAAGGAAAGGGAGGGAAGAAGTGAGACAAAGGGAAGATAGTCAACAATTGGTGTGTTAGCAAGCTTATTACCACCAAGGGTAACTGGAGCACACCTTTACAGGGGAATTCTGAGAGCCAGTACAGGACACAGAGTTGTTGCCATGGAAGGAAGAGGCAGCTGGGGTATTCATACATCAGCTCCTGTAAGTCATCGGCTGAGGACTTCTCTCAGTGGTGTTAGTTCCCTAGCCTTCTGGCTGGCCATGTGCTAGATTTCAATAGCTAGAGAAAGCTCTCAGGTGAAGAGTCATAGATGCTAGTCAGTAGTTGAGCTAGGGGGCACTGAAGTGGTAAGAACGAGTGGATGTGGGCAGGCCACCAACACTGTCTTACTTAAATGAGTTTCTCACCCATAATGCCAAAACTGATAAACATGTTGTGATGCACTTCAAATAGGTGTTAAGATATCCACGCTTCAGAGCTTTGGAATCTCCAATCAGGTGGGATCCTGAGACTCTGGCCCTAATATCTGTGGGGACAGGCTTAGCTCAGTCCTGAGGTGGCATCTACAGATGTGTATTCACCAAGGTAGAGCATCTGCTACAAATATGGGGGCCAAGAAGCTTTTTTTCCCTCTGGAGTTGATTCTCAGCATGAGTCTATGTCAAGGTTTGGCAAACTACAGAAAGTGCCAAACCTTAAGTATTCAGGATGTGAGGGCCAAGTGGTCTGTCAACTAGTTAATTCTTCTGTTGTAGCTTGCCCCAGCTGCCATAAACAAACAACACTGGGCAAACCAGGATGGGTTGGTCATCTGAGCTAGGAGTGTGTGAATCAGCCACTGTGGAAGCAGATGATCCAGTCCCAGTCAAGCCTGCAGATGAAACTCCTCAGATACCCTGTGTCCCAGATGCCCAACCCACAGAAACCATCAGGTCATAAATGTTTAAGACACTAAGTTTTAGGGTAATTTGTTATGCAGCAATAGATAAATAAAAGCACATAAGAGACCAGCCTTTTAGCCAGCTCTTGGGAATGAGCTTTGATAGGGATACAAACACTTGAAGAGGAAGCTAAAACTCTGTACCCATGTGTCCCACTTGCTCCAGATAAACTCTCTATCTTTCCCCACTCTACCTTGGAAGGCTGAGCTGTGTGAATGGCATCAATTGGGCTCCCTGCCCTGTCTCCTGGCTGTTTTCAGTTCATGGGGAAACTGGAAAGAATAGCAGGGAAGGGCAGGAGGGTCACCTCCAGCTGAGTGTACCCTTGGCAAAAAGTCACTGTTCCACTCAAGGCTGTATTTTCTTCTGAACTGGCTCCCTGGGTTCTGGTGACCTCCCCAGCTGGACACCCCCAATACCTTTGGGCTCAGGTGTGGTAACAACTTCATTGATGTTTTTGATCATTCTTTGTGCTTCCTGCTATGGTCTGAATATTTGTGTTCTTCCAAATTCATGTTGAAATCCTAAACACTCAAGGCAGTGTTATGTGGTGAAGCCTTTGGGAAGTGATTAGGTCATGGGAGTAAAGTTATCATGAATGGGATTAGTGCCTTTATAAAAGAGACCCCAGAGAGCTCCCTCACCCCTTCTGTCAATTGAAGACACAGCAAAAGGTGTCATCTATGAAGCAAGTCCTCACCAGATACCAGATATGCCAGACCATTGATCTTGGACCTCCCAGCTTCCAGGACTGTGTGAAATAGACCTCTGTTTATAAGCCACATAGTTAATGGTATTGTTATAGAAGCTCAGATGGACTAAGACAGTTCTTCTATGACCCACAGCTTCAAAGTTAGCTCTTTTGGAAGTCAACATTTTTTTAATGATTCAAATTTGACTGAGCCATCAGTTCCCTATCAGGGCCCCTTTGACAGATCCCAAGAGCTGAGTGACTGCGGAGCTCCGCCAGCCTCAGTGTCAGCAGCATCCCTTGGCAGACAGCTCCCTCTAGCCCCTCCAGAGGCAGGGGGATTTGGAAGTTGGTCCCAACTTAACTGATAGTTGCCTCTAGGAATGGAAAAAATAGCCCTAGAAGCAGCATTTTAGGCCATTCAATGATCCCTGGCATCAATGTGCCTGAAAATAGCCTCTGCCAATGGGCTATGCCCCAAGAGTGAGTGGCATATGGTACAGCAAACTGCAGGTTTTGTGAAAGAGCCTCAGGGGCAATATCTAGGCCACAGAGGCTTGGAATCCTCAGCTAGGCAGGATCCTGATTCTCAGAGAAATCTGGCTCTGGGCTTAGAGCTCAGTCCTAGGGTTACCCAGGCACATTTCTGATTACCTTCCCAACTATAGCTGGGCAAAAGCAGGCAATGCAAGCCTCATCTTTCCAGACTGCAGCTCAAGGAGACGAGTGACATGGTGCTCAGGTAGCTGTATACCAGGTGGTTGGGGACAAAAGCAAATAGGCCCTCAGTCTCATCCTGACACACAGCGCAGCCTTGAATAAGTGCCTGCAGATCCCCATTTGCAGCTGGGGAAAGACTACGGGAGCCCCAAGATGACTGCAGCTTCTCCTGAGCTCAGTACACAGCCATTCCTTGTCTGTGGGGCTATGACAGGAAGCAGGGGGATGGTGAGAGCAGCCTGATCAGAAGGACTCAGGGTGACAGCATAATCCAGTTCCTCCAAAGCAGAAGCACCATTCAGATGATCACAGAGGGGAACACCAGGGGCCAAGAGAGGGAAAGCACTCTATTTAGGGAATGGCAGTTTTGCTGACGCTCAGGTACTAGTGTATATCTAATTATCCAGATTCTTAATGTATTTCCTGCTCTGCAATCACTAGTCCCATGCCTAAGGAGGATACCTATAGTAGGCTTATGTGTCCTCAGTCTGAGTCTGGCTGTCTTAGGGAGGAGGGGACACCAAGGATGTGCCAAGGAGGCTGAGTGTAGGTTCAAGCTGAACGTCTGAAACAAATTCAAATCGCACTTTACAGACTAACAGGAACTATTGTGATCCATCACAGAACCCCATTGTCTCATGTAGGAGTAGCTCCTATTCTACCTTATCAGGGATTCCGGGGTTGTCATTCTTTCCATCCATAGTCTGGGGTCTGTACATTGGTCAGAGAGCAGCCCCATCCTATAGGCTACCAGAGCCACAACTGGGAAAGTGTTTTAAACATGGAGATGTGCCAATCCAGATCTACCAAGAAAGGACTTGAGTTCATCTCTTCCTTGGGCAGTTTGTGCCCAGTGACAGAGGGGTAAGATGTAGAGGGCTGCTCATTTTGGCCCAAAACTGGAGGGCAGGAGTGGCTGCAGAGTTCCCCACAGGATCAGCTGAGGCTCTGTTGAGTTTGCATTATTATTCAAATTCTATTCCCCTTTCTACTTCCTCCCTGCTTTCATAGGCATTGACCTCTAATCAACACCTTGCACCCCAAAGTCTGTCCTGGAATCTCCCTGTAATGGGGAGAAACTTAACATATGGAAGAGTTGCATCCTTTAAATCCAAGAAAATCTGGATGAAATGCGGCATTACACAACAGGGCCCGAGGGGACTCAGAACAAAAGGTACAGTACTGACAACTGACTATGCCTTAAGCTTGTGTCAGTCCAACAGCTCCCTAGCTCTGGCCTGAGGAGCACAGCAGTTCCCTACCACCCCTGAGCAGAGCACCTTGGTGCAGATGGGACTGTTCCCCCCATAAAGGGCAAGGTCACCTTTCTCCTGGAACAAGTTGCATTCACCAACTTCCTGTGCTGCTAGCCAGCTCCCTTCACTGGAACCCTGTTGTGATGTACTTAGGCATGTCCTCAGGAGCCTCCTGTTGCTCTTCTCCCTGGGAGGATGCTCCAGTCACTGAACTGTTTAATCATCCCACTTAGAGCAGCATCATTTGGCACCACTGTAGAGTTTTCCTTGACAGCACTCAAGGGAGTCTCATACAGGGCCGACATGCACATAGACCACTGGAGACAGCACCAGCCATGTGCAGACAGCCTTGCACACTGCCATGTGACAGGCACGCACACCTGATAATCATAGCTCCCCAGGTTCCTACATATGTCCCCAAGTGGTCCAGGCCCTCAGACTGAAGGGCATCAGGTTAACTTCCTCTCTTCCTTTAACGAGTTAGAACAGTTGAGCACAGGGAGTGGCAGCTAAGTGTAGACTTACTGGTTATTCCGTGTTTTCCCCCTAGAGCCATCCTGTCTTGCTCTGCACACAGGAGGCTAACCTGTGTGATTGTATCACTCAGCTCTCTTGCTGTTATAGGTTGGACAGTTTGGGATGCAAGGTGTTTATTAGGTATCGACACCTGTGAAAGGAAGGGGAAGAAGCAGGATTAAGCAGAGAGAAAATAATCTGACTGCTATGCAGGCCCAGAAGAGCTTTGGCCAGCTTGGTGGAGAGCTCCAAAGCAAGTATTTTCCATTTGTTCTATGTGTGGGTGACACACCTGGGCTTTTGCCGCCACACCTCAGTCACTGGTGGCTTCATGACCTTGGGTAAGTGGCTTCCTGTACCTGGGCAGCAAGCCCGGTACATCTTGTTGGGCATCTTAGTGACACAGTTGTGTCATCTATACTTGCCCTGTGGCTTTTAGTGAACTCAGCCCCTAGAAGGCACTCAAGAGGCCAAGGATGAGGAGAACAGGATGGGGTATTATTCCCTCTGTTCCTTTCCCTATAAGGCCATCTTTGGCCGGGTTGTGCTCCTTTACCAAAAGCTTTAGTTCCTGCTTGATCTAGACCCCATGGCTGAAGCTTGTACTGGGTTCTAGCAACAGCTTCTCCTGTACACCCCCTCCAGGTCCTGGTGGCGGTAAGTGCTCCTTTTGCTATTCCGCTGGTGTTTCACCATTGTTAGTTTCCTTCACCCTGCCTCTACTTCTTTAAAGGGTCCCTTTATTAAACACTAAGCCTATTAACTATGCCATCTCTTTTCTCCGAGGACCCAATAGGACCAGTAATCGAATAATTTTGTTCTCCTTACTGGTTCTCCCCTGTCCCATATTCCTTACAATATCCAAACTTTTCTACAAGTCAGATAGGGGTTTAGGGAAAAACCTATTTTTCTACTATGAAAAGTCATGTATAAAAGACTACTTTTTTTTTTTGAAACCCTGAGAAGCTATAAGCTTCTGTTTGCATAGAGAGATGCAGTATGTAATTTGAGTCTTAGGAACAGCTCCAAAACAGATCCTAGAAACAGACCTTGAGGTGAAGATAAGTACAAATGATTAAGGAAAGATTGCCAGGAGGATCTAGTAAGGAAGTCACAAAAGCAAGACAGGGAAAAGAAAGCCAATCAAGTGGGGATATGATTTAGGCAAGGTCCCGGAGACCAGCTGCAGCCTGATCCCACAGGAGGGCCCTGCACCCAAAGTCAGAGGCATAATTTTCATTCTAGTCACTGGCCAAGGACTGTTCCAAGAAGATAAGCTCCCAGGGATGTCTGGCTTTCTCTGCCTACAGATGAGATGGTCCCATTCCTTAGGTCAGTTCTCCCAAGAAGAGGCACATATGCAGGCTATTGGAAGTAAACACACAAAGCCGGGAAGAGATGCTCAGGAAAGGTAACAAGGAATTGAGGAAGTGACAGCAAGATGGCAGAATAGAAAACACTGGCTTATTCCTCCATCATGGAAACATGAAATATACAGGTCAGAGTAGCATTGTGAGAACTCTAGAAACCAATTTAGAAGCTGCAGCAATCAAGCTTATGCTCAACCCAAGAAACCACACTCAATGATAGGAAATTACTCAGCATTTTTGCTCAACCTTGCTTTACCACATCTGTGGGTGGTTAGAAGAAAGCTGCCCAAATCCTGGCCCCTTCCTTGGCACATAAAGAATGGAACTTGCCAAGTTCTGACTTGTCTGTGAAAAACCTGAAGGATTGGTTTCTGTGTCACTTGACTGAGCACTGACAGGAGTGGCAGCATAGTTTGAATATCAGGTTGGAAGCCCCTGAAAGCAGTGGCAGGTTCTGTAGCATGAGATTCAGGGGGCTGCAGAACCATGGGCTCCTGAGAATGAGAGATTCTGGGAAGAGAGGAACAATAGAACAAAGCTCCTGAGAAGAGGTGAGGCTCTTAACATGTTTAAAGGTAAATGTGCATACAGTGAGAAACATACCACATATCAAAGCTCCTAATTATATGAAGCAAACATTGACAAAATTATAGAAATAGACAACTTCACAAGCACAAATTAACACCCTACTTCCAATAGTGGATATAACAACCAGACAGGACCAATAGGGAAATAGGTCCTGAATACCACTACCGACAAGTTGTACGCAACAGACATGTACAGAACACTCTTCTCAGCAGCATACACATTTTTTTCCAAGTACATATGGAACATTCTTCGAGATAGACCATATATTAGTCCACAAAACAAGTCTTAATAGACTTAGGAGGATTGAATTATACAAATTATCTTTTCTGATCACAATGGAATAAAACTAGAAAACAAGAAAAACTAGAAATTAGATAATACACCCTTTAATCAAAACATAAATCACAAGAGACAATAGAAAATCTTGATAAACCAA
The DNA here is from genome assembly GCF_000001405.40 of Homo sapiens. Lineage (NCBI taxonomy): Eukaryota > Metazoa > Chordata > Mammalia > Primates > Hominidae > Homo > Homo sapiens. The sequence continues at coordinate 40,043,197 of NC_000006.12, forward strand.
GATAGAGAATATATCAAAACCTATGGGGTGCAATGAAAGCAATGCTGAGAGGGAAATTTATAGCTGTAAACATTTAAGGCAGGTCTCAAATCAACAACGTAACTTCACAACTTAACCCAGACACGTTATGGATTAAACCTAAAAGCAAGCAGACCAAAAGAAATGAAAATTAGAGTAGAGATAGAGAAATCAAACTATGTTCTTTGCAAAGAAAATCGACAACTAGATTTAAAAGAGTTAAATAACTAAGATCAGAAATGAAAGATGAAACATTACAACAATTGACTTTACAAAAACAAAAAACATTAAGAGGATACTAGGAATAATTGTGTGCTAAAGGATTGGGTAACCTAGATGAGATGGATAAATTCCTAGAAACATACACACCAACTTATTAAGAAAGAAAATCTGAACAGGTCTATAACCAGCAAGGAGATTTAATCAGTCATTTAAAACCTCTAAACAATTAAAAGCCCAGGACCAGATGGCTTCACTGGTATGTTCTAAAACATTTAAAAATTAATAACCCTCCCAAAACATTGAAAAGGGAATACTTCTAAACATTCTATAAGGCCAACATTACCCTGACACTAAAGCAACACAAAAAACACCAGACCAGTATTAGTGATAAATATTGAGGCAAACTTATAACAAGATACTAACAATTTAACAGCACATTAGAAGGATCATACTCCATGACCAAGTGGGCTCCATTCCTGGAATTCAAGGATGATTCTGTATATGAAAGAGAAAAGTCAATGTCGTGTACCACATTAACAGAATGAAGGAGGAAAAGCAAAATTGATGTGGAGAAAGAACTTCAATTTACCTGTTCATAATTAAAGACAGTCAAACTAGGAATAGAGGGAAACTTTTTTTTTTTTAACATAAATGTCTTATATGAAAAGCCCACAGCCATCATACTCAGTTGGTGTGAAACTAGAAACTCAGATCTAAGATTGGAAAAGGCTAAAGAATGCCTTGTCTTTGCCACTTCTATTTAACATAGTACTGGATGTCTTAGAGCAATTAGGGAAGAAATAGTAACAAGGCATCCAAATTGGAAATAGTTCCCTGTTCAGACATGATCTTTCATGTAGAAAACCCTAAAGATTCCACAAAAATGCCTGTTAAACCCCATTCTAAAAGTGGGCAAAGGACATGAACAGACACTTCTCAAAAGACGACATTTTTGTGGCCAACAGGAAAATAAGCTCAACATCACTGATCATTAGAGAAATGCAAATCAAAACCACACCAGCCAGAATGGCAATTATAAAAAAAAGTCAAGAAACCACAGATGCTGGTTGGGCTGTGGAGAAATAGGAACACTTTACACTGTTGGTGGAAATGTAAATTGGTTCCACCATTGTAGAAGACAGTGTGGTGATTCCTCAAAGACCTAGAAATGAATACCATTTGACCAAGCAATCCCATTACTGGGTATATACCCAAAGGGATATAAACCATTCTATTATAAAGATACATGTATGTGTATGTTCATTGCAGCACTATTCACAATAGCAAAGACATGGAATCAACCCAGATGGCCATAAGTGATAGACCAGATAAAATGTACATGTACATTGTGAAATACTATGCAGCCATAAAAAGGAATGAAATAACGTCCTTTGCACAGACATGAATGGAGTTGGAAGCTATTATTCTCAGCAAACTAATGCAGGAGCAGACAACCAAACACTGCATGTTCTCGTTTATAAGTGGGACCTGAAAATGAACACATGGACACAGGAAAGGGAACAACACACATTGGGACCTGTTCAGGGAGCAGAGGGAGGGAGAGCACCAGGATAATTAATGCGTGTGGGGCTTATTACCTAGGTGATGGGTTGATCTGTGCAGCAAATGACCATGGCACATGTTTACCTATGCAACAAACTTGCACGTCCTGTACATGAATTCCGGAACTTAATTTTAAGTTAAAAAAAAGCCTGTTAAATAAGCAAATTTAGTTAAGTTGCAGGATGTGAAAACAAAAATAAGTTTTCCATACACCAGCAATGTTAAGAAAAGGAAAACTTATAGTCACAAAGAATATTTAAGAATAAACCTAGGAAATGAAAAACTTACACTGAAAACAAAACACTGATGAAAGACAGTGACACAAAGACATTCCATGTTTGTGGATTGGAGTGTTATTAATGGCAATACTATCCAAATTTATCTACAAATTTAATGTCACCTCCATCACAATCTCAATTTTTTTTTGTAGAAAGTTTTAACTAAATTAATATGGAATTTCAAGACACCCAGAATAGCCAGAACAATTTTGAGAAAGAACAAAGTTGGAAGTCTTATACTTCCTGACTTCAAAGTTATAAAGCTACAATAATCTAGATACTGAGATACTGCCATAAAGTCATAGACCAATAGAATAGAAGAGTACTCCAGAAGTAAATCCTATCACATTATGGTCAAGTTATTTGACAAGGATGCCAAAACCATTCAATGGGGGGAAAGAACAGCCTCTTAAAATGGTACTGAGTAAACTAGATATCCCCACGCAAAAGAAAATTTGGAACTTTACCTTATAAGGCTTATCCCATATATAAACAGTCAACTGATCAAAGACTTACATAAAACTATAGAACTTAGAAAACCAGTTTGACATTTAATTTGGCAATAGTTTCTTGGATATGACAAAAGCATAGGCCAAAGTAAAGACAGATACATTGGACTATAAAGTTACAAACGCCCCTACAAAGATCACAATGAATACAGTGAGAAGGCAACCTGTGGGATGGGAGAAAGTATTTGCAAGTCATATCTTACAGGGGCTTAATATCCAGAATATATGCCAGGTACTCTTGCAATCCAACAGCAACTAAAAAAGTGGGCAGCGGACTCATCTGAGGGATGTCTATTCAAATGGTGAAAAAGCACACAAAGAGATGCTCAACACCACTAATCATTGGGGAAATGCAAATCCAAGCCACAATGAAATACCCCCTAACACTCATTAGGAAGGCTACCATGGACAAAACCCTACAAAATAAGGGATGCTGAGGATGTGGAGAAATTGGAAGCCTTGTTGGTGGGAATATACAATAGTACAGGCACTATGAAAAAGAGTATGGTAGTTTATCAAAATTAGAATTATATGAACCAGAAATTCTACTTCTGGGTATATGCCCCAAAGAGGTGAAATCAGGGCCTCAGATGTTTGTATATCCATGTTCGTAGCAGCATTATTCTCAATAGCCAACAGGTAGAAGCAACCCAAGTGTCCCACAGATGAACAAAGTGTATACACATACAATGGAATATTGTTCAGCCTTAAAAGGAAAACCGGCTCATGTCACAACGTGAATGAGCCTTGAGGACATTACACTAGGCAAAATAAGCCCATTACAAACTGACATACTATATTATTCCACTTATGAGGTACCTACAATAGCCACATTCATAAAGATAAAATGGTTCTCACAGGAGCTGTGGGGGAAGATACAAAGGGGTATATAAGTTTCAGTTTGGGAAGATGCAGAATTCTGGAGGTTGTAAATATGAACGTACTCAATTAACTGTATTCTTAAAGTGGTTAAGATAATGCGTATTTTACCTCAATTTAAAAGAAATTGGAGGATCTAGATTGAGCACAGAATGTCCACTATACTTAGGAGAAACTTCTTGTAAAACACCTTTTAGAATAAGGTTAAGGACAAATAATCAACTGTTACCTTGGGATTCATTTGTAACACAATAATCTGCAATGGGGACTTAGCAAAGCTACTACCTCTTACCTTGGTGTGCAGAGTTTAGAGATAAGGGTGAGCTATTTGGAAGTCTCTGGACTTCTTACGATGGCACTATTGGTTCCCTAGGTTAAAAGGGGAAAGAGTCCCTGAAATAGGATTCCCCAGAGAAAGGGAATTTCGGGCTGATAGTCTGGGGTCAAAATAACATTTAATGAATGCTGGGTTCTCTTTTGAACATGAACATTGTATTTTAGAAACTGTGAACAGGGGAATTGAATTTTAGTCAGCTGTAACTTTGTCACTCCAATGTGGAATCCCATTGTAGCTTTGACTGGATTTGGATCAGTAGAACTGAAAGGCATCCAGGATAGTTTAAGAGTGCCCTGCCAGTAGAAATAACTAGCAGAAGTGGACAGGTCAAACAGGGCTAACTTTCTCCAAGGCCAAACATAGCCCCATATTTTGAGAGCCATGGGGATTATCTTCAAGAAGTAGATATTGGACATATGGAACAAAAGTGAGTATTAGAGGAAGTAATTGATAAGGCCTGTTTTACACTCATTTGAGTTATATAAGTAGCCAAAGTTCAGGACAAAGGCACTTTCAGTGGTTAGTATTCTAGTCTGTCCTGCAACAAGATGGTCAGATAACCTTAACCCCAGCACTCAAGGACACTGACCCCCTTTTTGAGTGCAGGTACCACTCCCAGCTACGTATCAAGGGTCCTACAACCCGCCTTTCTCCTTGGGTTCATTTAATTTGCTAGATGGCTCACAGAACTCAAAGAAGCACTTTTTTTTACTTTAAGTTACGGGATACATGTGCAGAAGAGAAGCACTTTACTTATGTTTACCCATTTTTTATAAACGCTATTACAAAACACACATATGAACAGCCTGATAGAAGAGACTCATTAGGCAAGGCATGTGGGAAAGGGTTGCAGGGCTTCCATGGCCTCTTCAGCATGCCACCTTCCAAGCACATCCATGTGTTCAGCTATCCAGAAGCTATGAACCTGTCCTTTTGGGCTTTATGGAAGTTTCATTACATAGGCATGATTGATTACATCTTTGACCATTGGTGATCAACTTAACTTTTAGCCTTTTCTTCTGATAACCCAAGGTTGGGGGGTGTGGCTGCAAGTCCCAACCCTCTAATCATGCTTTAGTCTTTCCAGTGACCAGCTCCCATCCTGAAGCTATCTAGGGGACACTAGTCATAATTAGCATCATCACTTCAGAAGTTTTAGGACCTGTATATTAGAAAACAGGGATAAAGACCAATTATCTAATTTATACCATACTATGTCAAGCACATAGAGCTGTCAGGTGATATTACGGCCCTAAAAAGAACATATGGAACTGCCCTCACAGGGTTGACAAGAAGCACAATCCAGGCTTTAGGTAGAATTATAGTTAGGCATTAAGGTGTGTTGGCACATTTTGACCCACTTTCCTTGCAGCTGCCAACTGAGTCACATAGCATGCTGACTACTTGCTTCTCCATCATTCCTGTACATAGGTTCTCTAATGCTAGAATAAGACTTTTGCTCAAATATTGCTTAAGTTGCTTCCAGAACCCCAAATTCCAGCAGAATATCTGGTGTCAAACAGACTGAAGACCACCTGAGAAACTGACTCAGCTCAAGGATGCAATTTCTTCATCTCCTTGTCACATGACTTAACTTCTCATTTTCAGGACAAGTCAGTGATCCCCTACACCTCAGCCTGCCATCTGTCCAGAGTCCTTAAAAGCTCTATTTCCAAACTTCTCAGGGAGGTGGATTTGAGGTTTTCTTCTCTCCCATTTGGGTGGCCCTGTGATTAAACACTGCTGCAACCCTCAATGTCTCAGTATATTGACTTGCCAGGCATCAGGCAATGAATCTGTTACAATTATGATATTTAATGGCAATCTAGCCAGGAGACCCCTTGTGGGAATCTGTCCATGGCTCGGTTTCCCTACTTGTCATTTCAGTCTGCTCAGAGACAAACTCAAGAGGTCACCTGGCTCCTGAAGACATGGACTATCTCTGAAGCCTTCCCTGCTGGCTGGGCATTGCTCAGCATTGGTGCATACACTTGTTTCCAGCAGAAATATGGTATCTGGACCTGGAAGAACCCACTTTTCCTTCTAACTTGTTTACCTCCTTGGAGGTCCTGTAGCCTCTCCAGAGGTCTTGTTGACCCTCCCTTATCACTAGGAAAAGACTTGCTGAGGGCGAGGGTGGGTGGGTGGGAGGGACTTATTCCAACCAAAAAGGGAATAGAGGATCCTCTCTGGGAGAGGTACTCTTAGACTTGTCTGGGTCTTAGTTTCAAAATCAAATTACGGAACTGACTTGTGAGACCTTATGTTTCATCATGTCTTGTTTGTATGAAAACCCCAAAGGAGTTGCTGGCGAAAGCTCAGTTGGCCTGACTTGGAACCTGTTCTGTCTTACTACTTGCAGTTAGTGAGTCCCAGAGTAGTCAGCAGCTTGGTAGCCTAACTCAGGGTGGCCATCTGCTCTATCACACTGAGTGACCATTTGCTAGATTACTGGCTGGGGGTCATGTCTCCCCCACATTGTATGGATCGATAGTGTCAGGTACTAGCTGGGGCAAGTGTGAGCCTTGCCAGGTTGAACTCGGGCATTGAGCAGAGCAGCTTGTGTTTGTTGTGTGTACAGTGGAGTTTTGTCTTGGTTGATATGGAAAACGCTAATTTGATTCCCCCCAAAGCAGTCCATTGGGCTGTCTCCTCCAAAATCGGGTTTCTTACCTACAAACACATAGAAAGTGATTTTCTTTATAATACAGCCCGGCCCCAGTACTCATTAGAATACAGGGAAAGAGGCCAGAAAATGTTTTCCTTAATTATAATGCCATCTTGTAGTTACACCTGTTGTGTAAGAAAGAAAAATTGAATGAAATTCCTTATGTACAATGTTTTGTGTTGCTTTGACAAAAGCTGTTACAGAAAAATGCAAAATCATGGTACAATGGAATGTTAATGCAAACAATTTTGTATTAGTGGAATCACAGGAGAAGGATGACAATACTTTGCTAGTTCAGTTGAATGAGCCATTGATTTCACCTCCCCAACTTCATGGGAGAGATGTGACCATGCCACAAGCACTTGAATCAGACTCCCTGCCTTCAAAAGGGCAGGAACCTGGAGCTACAGCAATGGTTTCCCTTGTTGCTACTGTCAGAGAACCAAATTTGGCCAGGGCACCACTTTAGCTCTAGCAGGGCAATTCCCCCATTAATAGCTCCCCATGGAGGGACCGATGCTGACACAGGGCAATCCATAGGGCTTGTTTGGGTCTATTCCTCATTATCTACTTCTGGCTTAATCGGAAAAATGACTTGCCCACCTATTGGGATGATCAAAAATGAAAAATTTCCCCTTTATCTTTGCAACTTATAACCGCACCAGGGTCAGTGTCTAAAGCTTGTTAAACACACTTAATGTCTGAGGAACAGAAAATGGTCTTAGAAAAGGCTAGAGAAGAGGTAGATCCCCCCAGTATGCTGATTCCCCCAGTAACCCAGTGTGGGCAGCTGCCCAGGTCACAGTGCCCACAGCCAACCCTAAGTAGAATGTTAACACTGGAGGTAGGGATAAGCTTGGGCATTATTGTGCTCATGATTTCACTCTGGCCAGACACCGTAAAGGAATACCAAAGCAGAGAAGCCTTGAGTTTCAAGAAGTACAACAAGAACCCAGGTAGAGCCCCTCAGAAATCCTGGAACACTTTTTTTTAAGCACTTAGGCAATATAGTGGTATTGACACTAAGGCACCAGAAAATTAAGATAATATACATGATGTTTATTAGCAAAAGTGCCTCTGATATTCAGAGGAAGGCACAAAAAGGAACATTGACCATGTCTTTGTCCCAATTGGTGAAGATTGTTTTCAAGGTATTCATCAGCAAAGATCAATGTCAGAACAATGAAAAAATGCAACAGCAAGCCACCATGCTGATAGCTGCTCTGACTCAAGGAAACTCTAGACCACCCTGAGGGTACTCCCCAGGAATTCCACTTAAGGTAGAGCCTCCCTGGGCCCCATGATCCCCACAAAAAGAAATACCCCACTGGGGGTCCTAACCAGTGGGTATATTGCAGACAGGAGGGTCCATTGGGAAAAAGATTACCTATACCTCAAAAGGGCCAATATGGGGGTGGGGGGTGGGGGCTAGGGGGTTAAGAGGGGAATCAGTCTCCTGTTCAACAGATGCCCAAAATAGCTGAAGGGTCTAGAGGGCTGAAGATTTTGAGGATTAGAAATGACAGTACAAGGTCTCCCTCCAACACAACTAATACACTCCATATTTCCCACATGGAACCTTGGGTCACTATGACCATGGAAAATCAACTTTTGGACTTTCTAGTAGATACTGGTGTCACCTATTTGGTATTAAGTACATGCATATCCAAACTGTTGTCAGAAACTATGAAAGTGACTAGGGCCTCAGGGGAGACCCTGAAGACAATTCCTCCAACCCCTGGATCAACTGGGACAAGTCCAGTTAGAAACAGCTTATATGTGCCTGAATGACCCATTTTGAGACATTATCTCTTGACTAAACTGAATGCAAAGGTTACATTTTCGCTGGGTTGGCTGAGTATCAGAATGCTCACAGGACAAGCTTGCACCTTGCGAGCTTCGTTGTTATAAGCAGCTTAAAAGCCTGTGCCTATTTCTGAAGAATTTCCATAAGAGATGAATCCTGATACATGGGCAGATGGGAGGCCAGGGAGGGCCAACTCCACAACCTTAGTATAGGTAAAGGTGTACACAGGGATGGTACCACTCAATCTGAAACACCTTTTGAGAGAACAAGCGTGATGAACTATTCACCATTTGCTCTCCACTTTCCTACAGGTCAGGTTGAACTTATATGGGGACTGGCAAAGTCTAATAACCTATCCCCCCAGTTCAGAGACTCTGGACCAAAGAATATACGTTTGTTCAGGATTTGAGAGTCATTCATCAAGTTATAGAAGGCATTTATCCAGTGGTCTCCAGCCTTATACATTACTCACAACCTTAATTGGTGAGCTTTGCTGGTTTATCATCTTAGATATGAAAGATGCTTTCGTTTGCATTCCAAGTCCAGAATCCAAAGAATCATTTGGAAGGAAGATCCACATAACTAAGGAGAAAACAACAATATTGTCATTTGTCATCCAGGGCTTTATGAACTCCAACCACTATTGGGGAAGTTTTCCCTAAGGACCTCCAGGGTTAGCAATTAAAAGATGGGGCTCTGCTCCAATATGTTCATGACATTAGTTACTAGCACAACCAGAGAGGCTTCCAATCCAAACACCATACTGAAATTTTCTGGCTAAATGGGGTTTATAAGACATCCAAGAAAAAGGTTCAAATCTCAGCCCTTGGTTAGATATCTTAGATTTAACTCTCAAGGACAGAAAAACCTGCTCCCTGACTGAAGGGAAGCTGTTTGACCTATTTTGTACCTGAAAGGCAAAGTTGGTTTAGGACTGCTGATGTAGGACATGGGGAGCACCAAGAGGCTAGTTGCTTACTTTTCAAAAGCAGTTGGACATCACCAAGGGATGACCATCTTGCCTTTTGGCAGTTGTTGTCACCTGTGATCTACTTTGGGGACCCTGGGCCAGCTTACCACGGTGTATACCCTTTACTGTGTACTTTTATTGGAACAGAAAGGAGGCTATTGGCTGACCTCTGGAAGGCTAGGCTATACTTCAGGATGACCCAAATGTGATCTTAAGAGCTGTTTCTACCTTAAGCCCTGCTACTTTACTGCCGCAGATAGCATCTGAACCTACAGGTGACTGTTTGCAAATTATGGAACAAGTTTATTTGAGCCAACCATATTTGGCCAACATACCCCTTGGAAGTTCAATTGAGATATGTTCACAGATGGAAGCTTCATGGACCAGGGACAGCAGAAAGCTGTATATGCTGCAATAACACATTGGCCAGTTTTAGAAGCTGAAATACTTCCTCATGGGAAATAAGGATGGAAAGACAAACTTGAGGCAGGATGGGTAGTCAAGGAGGTAACCATGTCCTTGGGACATGTTACAGGCTACTGTACAGTTAACACAATAAGCCCCAGCATTCACATTGTAGTCAAGCTTATTCAAGCACAGCTATCTCCAGTAGGCAATTTCCCCTGTAGAGAACATGCATTTTTACCTGTCCTCAGACTGGCCCTTTGCTCATTTTAATAGTAAAAAAACACACCCCTGGGTGGATATTTAAGATGCTAATGCGACATATGTTTTGAACAAGCAGGTACCACTACTGCACATGTGCAAAGAACCACCCAGAACATGCTTACCAATAGCTCTTCCCACCCCCTTATGAATAATCATGTAAGACTCCCATAAAGGGAGTCTCTAGTGCCAGTCTTTGCTGTCTCATCCTTATGAGCACCCTACCCTGAATCTCAGGGTATACTATCTGTTCTGCACCTAATTTTCAACATATTCTTTCTCCTTTGCAATAAATTACTCTATGTTGCATTTCCTTTGCTGTATGACTTGTTTAGATTCTCATAAACTAAGAACCACCAAGGTTTCACAGCAGCCATCAAACTCATCACCCTGACCTGGGTGCTTCAGCTGGATGAACACCCATGAGCCACAGTCTACACTGATTCAAGATTAGCCTTTTCTGTGGTTCATGCTCATGGAGCCATTTGGAAAGAAAGGGGATTTTTAACCTCTGATAACAAATTAAACATGCTAAGAATTTTAAACTCTGTTGAAGGCAGCCCTGGTCCTAAAGAAGTAGCAATAGTTCATTGCCTTGGGCATCTGTTGACAGTTTGGTGGCAAAAGACAATTGGGCACACAAGGCTGCAAAGGCAGCAGCAAGAGAAAAGGTCCAAAACTTTATTAATGCCTGAAATAGACCTTGAATCACCTATATACTGTATTTGAATGATCTGAAAAGAGCACTTGACTGGGGTTGACCCCAATCAACAAACCTAGGACAGATAGATATATAAAAGAGAATAGTCCTGGACAACTCACAGATGGCATTGGACATTCATGACATCATATGACTGGGATGTCACTCTCCAATGGATTCAGAAATATCTTAGCCCACATATGAATATGGCTGTTCAAAGTGTATTTGTGCCTGAAACAACTTCAAAACTAGTCCTCTACTCTTGATGCAAGGAGTCCAGGTGTGAGATGAAAGGCCAACTGAAGATTAGCAGGTTGACTTCACCATGATGCTAAGGGTCATGGGAAACTATCTGCTTATGTTTATAGACACTTTCAGGATGGATTGAAACATTCCCTTGTGAAAAAAAGTTATTAAGGCTTACTCAAAGTTGTTCCTCAGTTTGGCCTGCCCATTTCTACTCTAACAGTGGTGCTGCCTTTGTGGCCAAGGTAACTTAGGATGTTTATGAAGACCTTGGCGCAACTTGGAAACTACACTGCTTGAAGGCCACGGTACAGAGGAAACACTAAAAAGATGAGTCATACCTTGAAAAAGGCTAAGATTTGTCAGGAATCAACCTGACCTGGAATAAGGCTTTGCCTATTGCCCTGATCAGAGTAAGAGTGGTCCCTACAATTGGGTCCAAACAGAGCCCTTTTGAAATCTTACATGGGAGAAACTTCCCATGCTTCTCCTCTAAACTGAAATGCCACAAAAGCATAGGTGTAAAAGAGCTAGACACTGTCAGGTATGTGCAATCCTTAGGTTTGACTGCCATAAGTCTTCTAGCAGGTTGTTTAGAAACCAGCACCCTGATAATCAACTGAAGCCCTAATAGAATGGACCATATGAAGTGCTGCTGGTGACTTGCTCCTCCATGAAATGTGTGGGAATTAAGGCTTGAGTCTACCACAGCTGTGTAGAGCTTGTCCCATCTGACCCACATTCAGAGCTGAGTCATCCAAAGGCTGCTAAACACTACCTAATGGATGAGCAAAAGCCTGATTGACCTCAAGTTTTTCTAAGAAAAACAACCAACTAGATAATACCAGACTTCAGAGCCTAAGCTTTCCATCTGTTTTCTGCTAATGAATAGCCTAACCTCTTATACCTTGATTATACTGTTTTTGGATTCATTACTATTATCCTATGTAAGAAGTTAGGTGAGGGGGCCAAGATGGCTGACTAGAAACAGCTACAGTATGTGGCTCTCACAGAGAGGAACAAAAGGGGCAAGTAAATATGGCATCTTCAACTGAAACATCCAGGTACTTACAGCGGGACTGATCAGACAAACAGCTTGACCCATGGAGAATAGAGAAAAAGCAGGGCAGGATGATGGCCCACCCAGGAGTGACACAGAGCCAAGGGAAACTCCCCTCAAGTGAGTGAATGTGCAACCCTGGGAACCCACACTTCTCCCACAGATTTTTGCAATTTTGGGCCAGGCGATCCCTTCACGAACCCACTCCACAAGGGCCTTCAGTCTGACATGCAGAGCTGTGTGGAATCTTGATAGAACAGCTCCTTAGGCATACATGGAGACCCAGAAGCTTTACATATTCCAGCTCTGGGCTCCTCGGCAAAGGCAAATGCAACTCAGGTAAGGCAGGAGGTTGGACCTCTGTACATACCCCTAGGAAGGGGGCTGAGTAGCGATGGTCTGCAGGCCCCACTTCCATGGCACCTCACAGGATAAGACCTACTGGTTTGGAATTCCAGCCAGCCACTGGCAACGGTGTTACAACACCTACCTGGGATGGAATGGAGTTCCCGGGGAGATGGGGAGGGGGGCAGGCCACTATCTTTGCTGTTTGGGCAACTCAACTGTTTCAGCCTGTGGGCTTTGAAGAGTCCACACTGACTGGGAGTGAAAGAAATCCCCCAGCACAGCTCCTCTACCAAAACGTGGCCAGACACTGCTTCTTTAAAGCAGATTCCTGATCCTTTCCTCCTTACTGGGCAGGACTTCCCAACTGGGGCCTCCAGCCATGCCTGCCCGTGTTCTCTGGTGGACAGAGATTTGAATTCTCCCTGGGATGGAGCCCCCAGAGGGAAAGGTGGGATGCCATCTTTGCTGTTTGGGCAACTTAGACATTCCAGTCTGTGGGCTTTGGAGTTATCTGAGGCACTTGGGGGTAGAAGCAGTACCCCAGAACTGCACAGTTGCTCTATGAAAGTGTGACTGAACTGCTTGAATCCCCAATCCCATTCCTCCTGACTGGGCGAGACCTTCAAACCAGGGTCTCCAGCTACCTCCTACAGGTGTGTTTGGACCAGCAACAGGTCTGTAACCCCCCGGGCCTGAGCTCCCAGAGAAAGGGGCAAGGCTGCCATCTTTGCTGCTTCACAGCCTTCAGTGGTGATACCTTTAGGTACTAGAAAATCTAAGATGACTAGGGACTGGAATAAACCCCCAGGAAAATACAGCAGCCCTATGGAAAAGTTGCCAGACTGTTAAGGAACCCACTCAAAGGTCAACAACCTTAACGATTGAGGGTAGAGAAGAGGCATTCGGGTTTTTGGACTTTTCAGGCTTTTTGTGCTGGTTTCTCCCCATCTTCGTAGATTTATCTACCTTTGGTCTTTGATGTTGGTGACCTTCGGATGGGGTTTGAGTAGACGGCCTTTTTGTTGATGTTGATGCTATTCCTTTATGTTTGTTAGTTCTCCTAATAGTCATTCCCCTCTGCTGCAGGTCTGCTGAAGTTTGCTGGAGATCCACTCCAGACCCTGTTTGCCTGGGTATCACCAGCAGAGGCTGCAGAACAGCAGATTTCTGCCCTTTGTTTCCTTTGGAAGCTTCGTCCCAGAGGGGCACCCACCAGATGCCAGCCACTGCTTTCTTATACGAGGTGTCTGTCAGCCCCTGCTGGAAGGTGTCTCCCGGTCAGGAGACATGGGGGTCAGGGTACCACTTAAGGAGGCAGTCTGACCCTTAGCAGAGCTTGAATGCAGTGCTGGGAGATCCGCTGCATAGAGCTGGCAGGCAGGGATGTTTAAGTCTGCTGAAGCTGCACCCACAGCTACCCCTTCCCCCAGGTGCTCTGTCCCAGGGAGATGGGAATTTTACCTATAAGCCCCTGACTGGGGCTGATGCCTTTTTTTCAGAGATGCCTTGCCCAGAGAGAAGAAATCTAGATGGGCAGTCTGGCTACAGCAGCTTTGCTGAACTGCAGAGGGCTCCACCCAGTTGGAACTTCCCCACAGCTTTGTTTACACCATGAGGGGAAAACCTCCTATTCAAGCCTCAGTAATGGCAGACGCCTCTCCCCCCACCAAGATTGAGCATCCCAGGACAACTTCAGACTGCTGTGTTGCCAGCAAGAATTTCAAGCCAGTGGATCTTAGCTTGCTGTGCTCCATGGGAGTGGGATCTGCTGAGCTAGACCACTGGGCTACCTGGCTTCAATCCCCTTTCCAGGGTAGTGAACGGTTCTGTCTTGCTGGTGTTCCAGGCACCACTGGGGTATGAAAAAAACTCCTGCAGCTAGCTCAGTGTCTGCCCAAACTGCCACCCAGTTTTGTGCTTGAAACACAGGGCCCTGGTGGTGTAGGCACCCGGGGGAAATCTCCTGGTCTGTGGGTTGTGAAGACCATAGGAAAAGCAAAAGTAGTATCTGGATTGATTTCAATCTTGGAGAACATGATCACATAAACAGAACTAAAGACAAAAACCACATTATCTGAATAGATGCAGAAAAGGCTTCAATAAAATTCAACACCCCTTCATGTTAAGAAATCTCAAACTAGGTATTAAAGGAACATACCTCAAAATAATGAGAGCCATATATGACAAACCTACAGCCAACATCATAATGGACAAAAGCTGGAAGCATTCCCCTTAAATACTGAAAAGATAAAGATGCCCTCTCTCACCACTCCTAGTCAAAGTATTGGAAGTTTTGGCCAATCAAATTAGCACTCTGGCCAGGGCAATCAGGCAAGAGAAAGAAATAAAAGGCATCCAAATAGTAAGAGAAGAAGTCAGACTATCCCCCTCTTTGCAGATGACATGATCCTGTATCTAGAAAACCCCATCATTTCAGCCCAAAAGCTTAAGCTGATAAATAACTTCAGCAAAGTCACAGGATACAAAAATCAATGTGCAAAGATCCGCAGCATTCTTACATACTAACAACAGTCAAGCAATGAACCAAATCATAAACGAACTTTAATTCACGATTGCCACAAAAATAAAACACCTAGGAATACAGCTAACAAAGGAGGTGAAAGATCTCTACAAGGAGAACTACAAACCACTGTTCAAATAAATCAGATTACACCAACAGAAAAAACATTGAGTGCTCATGGATAGGAAGAATATCGTTAAAATGGTAATGTTGCCCAAAGAAATTTGAAGATTTAATGCTATTTTCAATCTAACTACCATCGACATTCACAGAACTAGAACTATTTTAAAATTCATATGGAACCAAAAAAGAGCACAAATGGCCAAGGCAATCCTAAGCGAAAGAACAGAGCTGGAGGCATCATGCTACCTGGCTTCAAACTATACTACAGGGCTGCAGTAACCAAAACATGGTACTGGTACAGAAACAGACATGTAGACACCAATGGAACAGAATAGAGAACCCAGAAATAAGACCACACACCTACCACTATCTGATCTTCGACAAGCCTGACAAAAACAAGCAATGGGGAAAGGATTCTCTATTCAATAAATGGTGCTGGGATAACTGACTAGCCATATGCAGAAGATTGAAAGTGGGCCTCTTCTTTACACCATATACAAAAATCAACTCAAGATAGATTGAAGCTTTAAATGTAAAACCCCAAACTATAAAAACCCTGGCAGACAACTTAGGCAATACCATTCAGGATATAGGCACAGGCAAAGATTTCACGATGAAGATGCCAAAAACAGTTGCAACAAAAGCAAAAATTGACAAATGGGATCTAATTAAGCTAAATAGCTTCTGCACAGCAAAAGAAACAATTACAGTACACAACCTACAGAATGGGAGAAAATGTAAACTATGCATCTGACAAAGGTCTAACATTCAGCATCTCTAAGGAACTTAAATTTACAAGAAAAGAAACCTCATTAAAAGGTGGGCAAAGGACAGGAACACTTTTCTAAATACACACGTGGCAAACGAGCATAAAAGACTTAATATTACTGATTAGAGAAATGCAAATCAAAACCACAATGAGATACCATCTCACACCAGTCAAAATGGCTATTAATTTAAAAAGTCAAAAAATAACAGATGCTTTTGAGGTTGCAGAGAAAAGGGAACACTTATATAATGTTGGTGGGAGTGTAAATTAGTTCAAACGTTGTTGAAAGCAGTATGGTGATTCTTCAAAGAGCTAGAAGCTGAACTGCCATTCCACCTAGCAATCCTACTACTGGTTATATGCCCAGAGGAATGTAAGTCATTCTATCATAAAGACACACGCATACACATGTTAACTGCAGCACTATTCGCAATACCGAAGACATGTGATATGGTTAGGCTGTGTGTCCCCACCCAAATCCCAAGTTATAATCCCCATGATTCTCATGTGTCAAGGGAGAGACCAGGTGGAGGTAACTGGATCATGGGGGGCAGTTTTCCCCGTACTGTTCTCCTGATAGTGAGTTCTCATGAGATCTGATGGTTTCATAAGGGGCTTTTCCTGCTTCACTCCTCATTCTCCTGCTGCCATGTGAAGAAGGTCCTTGCTTCTCCTTCACCTTCTGCCATGAAAGTTTCCTGAGGCCTCCCCAGCCATGTGGAACTGTGAGTCAATTAAACCTCTTTCCTTTACAGATTACCCAGTCTTGGGTATTTATAACAGTGTGATAGACTAATACAACATGGAATCAACCTAAAAGCCCAATGATAGACTGGGTGAGGAAAGTGTGATAAATATATACCATGGAATACTATGCAGCCATAAAGAAGAATGTGATCATGTCCTTTGCAGGGACATGAACAGTGCTGAAGGCTATTATCCCTAGCAAACTAATGCAGGAACAGAAAACCAAATATCGCATGTTCTTACTTTTAAATGAGAATTTAAGAACACAAAGAAGGAAACAATACACACTGGAGTCTACTTGAGGGTGGAGGTTGGGAGGAGGGAGAGGAGAAAAGATAATGGATACTAGGCTTATTACCTAGGTGATGAAATA